>NC_000010.11:124432982-124744462 GCF_000001405.40 Homo sapiens | reverse complement strand
GCGGCTGAGCCCGCAGGACGCCCTCTAGCCCCGCCGGCGGCGCGCCGCGAGTCCCTCACTCCCCGCCCATCGGCGGCTGCGCGCACTGCACACTCGCCTGCCGCCGCCGCCGCACGCCGCCTGCCTCCTGCACGCCGCCGCCGCGCCTAGCGCCCGGGCCCGCGACACCGCCCGCTAAGCGCCGGGCCGAGTTCACGCAGCCGCGGTCTGGCGGCTCCGCGGCGGCGGCGGGTGCGGGCGGCCTGGCCGGTGCCGGTTAAAGGGACGAGTTGCAAACACTTCAGGAAGTGACAAGTCGATTTCCTCCTCCCCGGGAGTCGCTCGTACAAAGCGCTCGGCGCCGGCAGGCGAGCGTGCGCGCGGCGGACGCGCGGCGGGCACCCCGGACGACTTGGCGAGCGCTGGCGGTGACGGCGCGGGGTCCGCGCCCGGAGCGCCCCGCCGCGCACAGTAAGCGACCCGGGGCCGGGCGGCGGCGGCGGTGGCCGGGGGGCTGGCCCCGAGCGAGGTCCGGGCCGTGTGCGTCCCGGCCGCTGGCTGGAGGGAGCCCGGCTCGCGTGCGCAATGGGCTTGCCTTTTTTTTTTCTTTTTTCCTAATGTTGCTGGTTTCCTTTTTTTCTGCCTTGTTTCGCCTTTGGGTTGGGTCGGGCGGTTTCTCCGGGCGCTCGGTCTCGCCCCTGATGCAGGCGTGAGACTTGTCAGAGCACAGGCATGGGGAAGAACAAGCCTGGCTGCGGCGGAAAAGTCTGCGCTCCCCAGGCCAGGGCGGGCGGGCGCGGGGACTGCTGCGCCCGGGGGTGTCCTCTCCGCGTCTCAACTTGAGCCCTGACTAGCCGCTGCGGAGGAGGCGCGGAGTCTCGGGAGCCGGGCGGCCCCATTCGCCCCGAAGTTCCCGCATCGTTTGCAGACAACTCTTTTGTTCGCGGAAGTTTGCACCCGCCACCCCCGGGGTGCGGGAGCGAGGCGGCGGGCTCCGCTGCTGCTGGACTGTCCGGGGCGGTCAGGATGGGGGTGAGGGGGCATTCTGTCCCGGGCGGGGGAAGCCCGCGGGGAGGCCACCGCTGGGGCTTGCGGAGTGGGGGCGTCCGCGCCGGCGTGGCTTTTGCACATGGCGAGAAGGGCCGTCCGGCACAGGCACACTGGTCGAGTCACATTTTTGCTAGTCTTGGATTTTGCAAGCCCGTGGGAGTCAGGTTCCCCGCTCAGGGTTTCTCTTGGGGCAGAGACGAAAGAAACGAGGACACCCAGAATCCGGGGAGGGTTTGCGGTTTGTGTTGTCCCAAGTGTGTTCTCGCTCCCCCCGCCCCCCCACCTTGTCCCCCAGCCCCCAGCTCTCCACCCCCATTTTCGGACTTGGGGAACAATGCTTGTAGTACGGGCCGGGGCGCCGCAGCAGCGACGAACCGCGCGGACAGGTTTGCCCGGGTCCCTCGCGTTCGGACGCCCCCTGAAGCCGAGCTCCTTCCATCTGACCGCCCGGGCTCATTAACACGTACTGTACTTAGGACGATGGTGAACAAAGAAAAGCTCTTTGCAGCGTTTGATGAATGGGATTCTGCCTCCTATAGGCCACACTCCGAGTCTTCCATACGGTACAATCTCCGGACTCGGTGGTGTTAGGAAAGTGGCCCCCGGAATGGCTTGCATTCCGGGTCTGGGATCCTGGGGTGGGCATTTGTGCCGTCGCCTTCGCCGCCGCGCTCGCCTTGCAGGAGCGGGTGCAGATGGAGCCAGGCTGACGGTTGTTCAACAGGAACAAATGTTTGTTCAATTGTTGGATGGTGGAGAAAAGGGACTGTTTCCTATTGACTGCTGCAGGAGTTGGAATGGCATTGTTTATTGGCCTGGGAAGCCAGGCAAGCGTCTTGTGCTGCTTACAACATATTAGCAGACTTCCAAATGACATGCTAGCATATGTGTTCCCAGCAGTCCCCACCGGCTGGCAGGGAGATTCCTCCTTGCTCCAGATCCTGGACTCGTTTAAAAGATGCCACCTGGTTTGAGGACTTGGGAAGGAATGGAGTCAGCCGACCAGGTGAAACTCACTGTTCCTTATTAGGCCAGGTTTTTGTTTCATTTTAATTTATCTATTTAAGAGTAACTTGTGTCAGTTACAGTTTTGATATTGAATTGCAGGTCTACAGGGTCCCCTCCCCCGCCTCTAGCTGTGGACTACAGAAACAGCTACTTGTCCCAGTTGATAGTCCCATTCAGTGGGAGAAGGTTTGGCTCAGGATTGGTAGCCCTTGACTCTGTGTCTGCACTTGGCTGTCACCCATCATGCGACCTGGGAGTCTGCCGATCCAGCTTCCAGGCGCTTTTTCAGGTTAAAAAGCTAAGGAGAGGCGTGGGGAAGGCCTGTATTTTTTTCTTCCAAACGTTCCTTCAGAGAACGAGGCGATTTAAATTCAAATAATGTTGCCCAACGACTTCCTATTTTCTTCTGAGAAGGTGAGATTCATGTGCAGTCATTTTGATATCAAAGACAAGTTTTTAAATAGAAACTAGCAACCTCACTGCTGCAGAAGTGGACTTGAATGTTCCAGTCTTCTCAGGACAAAGTAGAGAGCATTCCACTGTCTTGGTTCATAATGTTTTAAATCAGTTTCCCTCTTCTCTTTTCAACGTGGGGTATGTTGCACATAGCATTTTGAAAGTACGCAAAGTTCTTTTGGAAAGAGCTTTATGATACCTTATTGTCACCGTGGTGGTTACGCTTAATTGACATTTTATGGGAAGTCCTGGTATTATTTCCTGGGCTCTTTCTGTTTCCATCTTTTAGTCTTTCTCTTTCCCCTTATATATTCTCTCACTGCCCCGCTAGCCTCTCCATCCTCTCTACAGAAGCCTAGTGGGCTTGGGTTCCTTTAAGCGGGTCCAGTGAGCAGGCGCCTGACCCTTGATTGAAGCTCAGGAAGGGCCAGCCTGCTCTCCTCCCCTTTTGGAGGCCAGAGAGGAGAGAGCTGTGTTTAAATATTAGGAGCTGGCAGCAGGGGACGCTGCGGAGCTCTTTTAAAAAGCACACTCTTCTCACCCACCGCTCGATGCCTTGGGCCCTGAAGACTGAGTTCTGGGCCCACCTTCAGATTGTTCAGTTGATGTTTTATTTGGGCAGCGTGACTTTCTGCAGTTAAATTGCGCATTGTATGGAAAACTCTTCTGTTCTTGTCCTTAAATAAAAAGACTGAAATAAGCAAATACTCAGATCGGCACAACCCCCATCATTACCACCACCACGCACACCTCTCTGATGTGTAATAAAAGAAACCTGCAGGCATAATTTGTTATGTAATATGCTGATAATACAAGTTTCGGTTTTCGATGGAAACCAGATGTGGAGGGACTCTCTTTAATTGATCCAGCAAGGGGAAGACTAATAGATGAACTAGTCCTTGCAAACCCCAGTGGTGTTTTGATTTAACTTTAGGGGAGAATCCCGAGCTCAGGGCTTTGGAGAGGTTTTTACCCTCAGCTTCTGCTTTGCTGCAGCTGTCCTTTTTGTCAGACTCTTCCTCTTTTGAAAGAACCGGTTCGTTGCCAACACAAAGCACATGGCCGGAGCTGGCGGGGCTCAGCGAAGCTTAGCTCTGCTGGACTCTCCTCCTCCTTGCCTCGTCCGGCTGCTACCCTCCCCTCCACGCCACAAAACAGGGTCTGGCCAGGGGACTTGGGTGCTGGGAGGAGTGTTGATTGTTCTCCCTCAACTCCTTTCTGAAATGTCAGTCTGATCATCCAGGGAGAGTTTCTGTTTAAACTTGTCCAACGGATACACTTTCCAAAAATCATTGACTCTCTTTCTCTGATTAATTTGTTTGTTTCCTGCCTAAGTTTGAGGGTTTTTTCTGGATGGCTGAGTCACCTTTATTATGGCTCAAGGTTGGGGACGGCACTGTAATAGCTGACCCCATTAACAGCAGTTTCATTGCCTGCCTGGATGTGAACTTTGGAAACAAACCCAGAGGCTTAGATATGCTGATGTACCCTGAGACTTGCTTAGAAAATTTTTGTTGTAGCGCAGTTTACATTAACATGATTAATGACTGCGCCACTGAAAAGTCCATATTCAAAAGCAATTTACCGTTCCCTAGGGTTCTTCTTACAGTGAAGTATTTTTCTTTGCCAAACAACTTTGTTTTAAGGTAACTTCTTTGATGCTTAATCCAAACCTCCTGTGCACAGCGTTTTGGGGCAAGATTTGGGCTTCGTGTATTGCGGGTTGTGGTTTTGGTGGTGCCTGTCTTAACCTCACCGAACTTAGGTCAGGGAGAACTCGGATTCTTATCTAAGAAAGTTCTCTGAGATCCTGAGCAACAGAGTGCTGTGCTGGCTAGGATGGGAGGAAATCTTCCAGAGGAAACTTGGCTTCTGGGTGTCTTGGAGTGATGCGAGGAGGCTGGAGCTGAAGATTTTATTTTCTTTCCCCTCACAGTGATTGGAGATACTTGAGCTTTTCTGAAAAATAGAGACGTCCTTGGGTTTTTCTTGTCGTTTTTTTTGTTTGTTTGTTTTTTTGTTAAATGTGGGTTGATTGAGAGGGGGAAATGCTGATGGGTGGATCTGAAAGCAGCCTTAGGAACCCGAGAAAATAAAAACACGTTTGAAGGACTCTGGAAGATTTTGCATTTCAAAGGGTCTACCTTGTAGAATTTCACATCACGTCAGGGGTTACAGAGGAGTGTGACAGGCACCCCCGCTTTAATGGTTCTCCGTCTCTCCTGCTGTGGGGGCTGCACGGGGAAGCTGGCTTTTGCATGGGGGATGGGGGACAGCTTGGCCAGACCACGCTGGACTATCATGGAGACCACATTGCCTCTTGGGCATCTGTAAGTCTCGGGAAGGACTTTTTTCACGGTGCCAGTCTCAGGAGGGTGAAAGCAAATCATGTTCGTAAACAGCCCATTTGACCTCAGAACGCAGTGGCAGGCTAACTCCTGACTTCTCCACTCACTCTTTTTGTTCTCTTGTTAAACAAAGAAACAGATTCTTCCCCTGCGCTAGTATAATATGATTCCCAAGGATTTAGCTGAAATGGGTGCAGATTGTTCAAAGAATAATGGCAGCACCCACTGGTTGTTGAAGGCCCACCCTGGGCCCTGGGCTTTGTATACACTCTCTAATTCTCAAAGCAAACCTGCAGTTACAGCTGAGGCTCAGAGAGGCCAAGTAACTGGCCCAAGGCCACATAGCCGGAAGGCAGAAAGCCAGGAAGGAGCTCTATTCCTTCAGAGCCTGGTTGCTTTCCATATGCCCTGCTGTGTGTTCATATGATAGAGGCACTGGGTTCTGTTTTATCTCAAAGCAGAAATTTTGTTTAGTCTTGTTAACACCACAGAGAAACCTAGAACTTTTAACTGCCTTTTCCCCTCCTCTCCCCTCTGCTATGGCTGTGTGTTTTTTTGTTTTTTGTTTTTTTTTTTTTGTTTTTTGGAGTGATTGGAATCTGTATGTACTGTAGGACCAAAGGCAGTGAGTGCCATAGTTTGGGAGGCTGAGATGTTTTGCTTCAATCTCAGAAAAGGCAGATTCACAAGAAAACATTTCCAGTGACCTTCTGGGGGAAACAGGAAGTAAACCTGGCAGCCCACTGGAAACACCACCATTTATTCAGATTCCATTTTCCATTCAGAGAGATTCTTAAAAGTGTTTCCAACTTTTTTTTCTTTTTGCATTTGTAATTCAGATGTCTCAAAGTAAATTATGATGTGGTGGTTGCCACTCCAGGTCTGTACAATATCATATTTTGTTTACGTGCCTAAAGTAATCAAGTAACTGAACACAATTGTATATCCTCCAGTGTGACTGAACTTGGTACGCCCCAGCCAGGGCTGGGCAGCGGCCCTGCATTCTGTCTCAGACAGATGGTTCTTTGCAGGTTGCTTCTCGGGGGGGTGTGAGTGTGCGTGTGTTTTGAAGGAAGAATAAGGAGACCCATCTCTAGCAAGGCCTGCCTGGCCAGGCATGCTGTCCTTTCTGCCCCTGAAGAGTTTGTAGGAGCGTGCTGGGGCCCCTGTGCTCTGAACTTCTAGAAGCTAGAGTAAAGTAATGGTTCTGAATATTGGCTGCACATTAGAGTCACCTGGGAAGGTTGGAAAAAAAAAAAAATCCAGATGCCCAGGCTGCATTCAGGCCCAATTACATCACAATCTTGGAGAGGGGGGCAGCAACCCAGCATTGGTATCTTTAAAGTTCCTGAGTCGATTCTCTTGTGCATCCAAGACTGAGGAGTGAGGGCTGTAATAGACCCCATGCATACCTACGGGTCGGTTCCTTAGTTTCCCTATTCCTTAGCAGGAGATTGGGGGCTTTCGTATTCGGGAGCGGAGCAAACCTATTGGCATTTGCTGCTGCTGCTGCTGCTGCTCTGTCTTGGTGAAGTGGCATCTGAAGGGCACCCATCCCTAGGGGAAGTGTCTGCTGTGGGCATCATCGAGGTCATTTCTGTTTCTGCTGGGCCAAGATTCAGCACAGTCCCTTTGAACCACCTTCTTTCCAGATTGAAGGGGGCAGATTTTACTCAGGCTGTGGTTTCAGGGCAGTTCTCATGCAGGCCCTGCCTCCCCACAGTCCTAGTGGTCTTGTTCTTTCTGGGGATTTGGCATACCGTGTGCCCCTGGGGCTCAGGGGAGGAAAGATGCAGTTAGGTTCCAGGGCATATCCTGGCAACTCCCAGTGAGTGGTGAGTCTTTTTCACCCAGGTTTGCAGTGAATGTCACTCTGTCAGCTCAGAGCCTGTCTTCCTGTGAACATACTCAGGATTACATTTCATAGAATTGTGTTTAGAATGGCCAGGGGGCTTGGAGAGTGAGAGCTTCTTGGGCCTGCTGATGTAACCTTCTGGAAGAGAAGTCCGATCCTTAAGAGGTGAGGTGACTCTCCCAGGGTCCCGTAGCCAGTTGTCAAAGGTGCAGACTCTGTCTCCTGAGTCCCTGCCCTACTGCTGTGTTCTCATGACGTGGAACCTTAATTCCTGCTTGCAAGACAGCCTGCTTTAGCGTAGACCAGCAGGTGAACTTGATCATTGCTCACAGAGTTCATTAGCCAAGTGAAACATGCTACCCATCCCCCGTCCCCACCCCCCAGTCCCAATGGAAGGTGCTGAAACCTTGTAAAGGTGAGCTTGCTGAAAAAGGTTTTGGCCTCTTTGCCAAAAGTGTGTCAGTCTGCCCGGCTGTGTTGTGGTGGTGGTGAGTAGTGAATAAGGGCTCTTCCCCCTGTGGGGAGTTGGGTTTGGGCCGAGTGAAGGGAGAAGAGGAGAATTGCTATTTTTCTCAGGGCTGCAATTTCCACATTCATTTAGCAGACATTGATTGGACATCTGCTGGGTGTCCAGTGTGGAGCCGGGCACTTTGCTTCATTAGTTCATTTAATCCTCAGCACAACCTGTGGCTCAGGGACTAGCCCGATTTCATTGCTGAAGACATGCTGCCTGCAGAAATCACTCACCCCAGGTTGGGATTTGAACTTGGCCCAGCTGACCTCAGCCCTGTATTCTTTCTACCACACCCTGCTGCTTTTCCATCCAGTGCTCACCAGGGGAGGAGAGTTCCTGCTGTAAGACACGTGCATTGCCCAGTGGGCGTTCCCTGGCAACTCCTGCCTGGGTGCCATGCTGCAGCTTCTAGGAGGGGGCGTGGGTGGGCCCTCGAGCTCCTGGATAGCTGGGTTTGTACAGGTCCTGTCTGGGGCCGCTGTGTGTCCTGGCAGCTGGACTGTGCCTTGTGCAGGAGAGGCGGCTTATGCAGGTTCCAGTTGCTGCTGCCTGCCCCCACCCCGTGGAGGCCACCCTCCCTCCCAGGCTGCCCTCTGGCTGAAGCCTGAAGCACCCTGACAGACAAAGCCCAGCTGGGAGAGGCCTCGGCCCTGCCTGGAATTCCCCTTGCTCTGGCATTGGCCTTGGCCATGGGCCTGGGAGCAGAGGGAGGTTCTGTCCGCTGGCTGGGAGCAGCTTCTCTGCATGTTTGGAAGTGGAAAGACTAAGTTCTCTGCAGCTGGGTGTCTCCATGATCTGGGTGAGGAGAAGGAGCCTGGCTCCTGAGCCCGGGGGAAAAGAGGTCTGTGGTTTTGAGTCTCCAGAAGGAGTGCAGGATGCGGGGAAGCCCCTCTGTGGCATGATCCTGGGGACCGGGCCGTAGGAACCGCTCTCCCCTGTAATCCCTTTGGCAGTCAAACGATTCAGTTTCCTGGCTGGAAGGTAGTGGGCACAGACTGCCTACTTGCTGGACCTAATTTGCCCTGTAACCCTCACTGGGCCTCTGATTTCTCACCTTGCTGGTCCTGCCACCCAGCGTTTTTAGGAAGATCAGTTTAGAGCTTGTTTGAGAAGCCCCTTGCAATGGGCGTAGTGCCTTGCAGAGCAGTGCCAGGTAGGAGATGAGTGTGACTGGGCAGGCAGGGGTTCTGCTGCAAAGCCCATGGTCGGCTGCATGCCACCTAGGTGCTTCTTGTGGCTGCAGGAAGAATGGGACTGTTTGGCGTCACAGAGGAACTTTGGGCAGAGTCTAGGTGAAACCCAATTCTGTATCATCGAGGGCAAAAGTAGCATTCAGCTTTGGAATCAGAAGCCTGGGTTCAAATCCTAGGTCTGCCCTTTGCCCGCCATGCCATGTGCCTTTGAGCAGGCGACTGTCTCTCTGGCCCCCATTCCTTCTTCTGGAGTATGGCAGTGCTGACAGCACCCCCAGCCAGCCCATAGGTTCGGGGCCCTGAGTGAGACCACACCTGAGGACACTTAGAGCCCACCAGACATTAGTGAGTATCTCACGCAGCCTGTGGCAAGCGCGTGCTGTTGCGAGGACTGAAGGGAGGCTGGAAGGACATGAGTCAGGCAGGTTGCCCTGAGGAGGTCAGTCAGTGATGACAAGATACAGGACAGAGCAGAGGGGACTTCAACTGGAGTTGGGCTTGGCTGGACGGGTCAGGCTGGGGCGGATAGAGCCTTTTCTCCTCCAGCATCTTCCTCTCTCAGATAGCGTAGGGTTTTTTTCGGGAGGAAAAGTTGAAAGTATGCATTACAGTTTAGTTTGCAGTGTGTCTGTTACCAAGAGTTGAGACTGGTGAAATCTAAGTTTTCTCTCTAGGAAACGAAATCTTTTTTTACCAAAAGTGATTTACTTTTGCTCCTAAGCATAGAACGTTAAATGCATGTATGGGTCATGATGTGGCCTCACCGTCTTGGCTCTGCTGCCACCGACACTTCTGTGAATGAATTCTTTGGAAACCAAGGAATTAATGGCTGCATACCTACCTAGACTGAGAGTGAGGGGCCCACTTACCACCTTCTGGATTCTCTTTAGGTGCTTTGCAGTGGGCATCTTTGTTTTTTGTTCTTCCTCTCACGTTGGGGGAGCTGCCTTGGACACCTGGAGTCAGCGTCTTCCGGGTGCGGGTTATGTGGTTGCAGCTGGAGCGCCTGCCCCCAGCTCGGCCTGCGGTGTGATTCCGGCTGCTTCTAGATCCCTTTGCCACCTGAACCTGACCTCAGTCTGCAGGAGCAAGAGCTCATCTAAGCTTGCTGAAGCTTTGAAAGGAGCCCTTGGCTTGGAGGACAGAGGGAAGGGTCCAGGCTGTGCCGCTTGGCTTCTGTTGGTGCAGGCCTCTGACTCCTGACACGCCTATTCCCTGGGTCTGGTGAGCATCGCGCCTCATGAGTCTGGGGCTGGCTGGCATCCTGTGGGGTGAACAGGATGGACAGTCTTGACTCATGAGATTTCCTGCTGCACTTTGGGTAGCTTTGAGGGACACCCCTTTGTATGGAGTGTGAAGACTCATGCTGTTCACTAGGTTCTGGGAGGGGGCCCTGACTCCAGACTGTGACAGCCCCTCCCCTCTGGTGCTGGCCCTAGAGCGTCCTTTCCAGAGGACCCACCAAGGTGGCTGGGCATGGGTGGCCTTGAAGCAGACCTGCTAGGACAATGAGATCCTGAAGCTTTGTGAGCGAGGGCTGCATAAGGGAGGTCTCTGAGGTGTCTCGGCTGCCTCTGGTCTCATGGATGTGACAGAACTCATCTGCCAGGTGGAGCGTGTCATCCTCACCCACTGTGTCCTCCTTGGGTGTGTCACTGTTCCTGTGATGAGCACAAAACATACCTGCCATGGTGGTGGCCCCCAGGCTCAGTGCAGTTCAATCAATGTGGAGTAACAGCTACTATGTGTGTCAGACAAGTCGTCAGGCCCTGAGGAATTCAGAGATGGATCTACCGAATGTCTGATTTTAGGGAGCTCATAGCTCGTATTATGGACAGTCAGACTGCAGGTTTTTATTGAGGTTCTACTATGTGCTAGACACAGTGTAATAAATGAATGAAAGTGTGTTTACACAAGGTACTGGTGAGTTACACCGTCCTCTGGAAGTCATAGAAAGTCTCTCTAACTGAGCTGAAGAGAGGAGGGCAGGGAAGGCTTCCTGGAGGGGGTGACAGCTGACCTGAGTCTTGAAGAATGAGCAGGAGTTTAGACAGATGAAGAACGGGGAGGAGGAGACATTCGAGACCAGGAGAGCAGGTGTCCCCAGTCACAGCACCATGGGACTGTGTCAGGGAATCTGGGAGACCTGGAGCCTGAGTGAGACGAGTGTAGATTTCAGAGGGGAGCGGAGCTGATCTAGGTCAGGATGGCAGTAAAGGGAAGGGCGAAGGGCTGGGAGAAAGCCCACCTTCGGGGTGACACTGCCCAGGGGCCCAGCCTTTTGACCTTGGAGTGACCTTCCTGGAGAAGCATGAGACTAGCCTCTGAGAATTTTCATCAAGTGCCGCCTTGGCCAGAGTGATGTGGTCTTTGTTTATTTTTAGACAAAACTCTCGCATTTAGCAGGCGCCCTTGGGATTCCCAAGAGCTTCCAGAACTTCTTGTCTGTGCTGCGCTGGAACTAAAGAAGTCAAAGTTCTGGCGTTGTGTGAGTTGAAACAGTCTGATTCAGTGTAAAACTACCTTTTTTTTTTCTTTAAAGGGAAAAACAGGCACCTAACCGTGTTGGTGCGATGGAAGAGGGAGCTTCGGTGCCCCCTGGGCTCTGTCATAGCCTGTTCTCACTAGTGTTCTCAAAGGCAGGGGGAAGCTGCTGACACAGACACTCGAGAATGGCGGGCCTGAGTCACCTGACTCTTGGCGGCCAGTGCGCCTGAGGCCTCCACCGCCCTCAGATGCCAGCCCAGATTCCAGGCCCCGTTGACTGTGTGGCATGTGACCTGGGCCCAGAAGAGGAGAATTAAGAAAAATACTGAACCTGTGCAGAGGTGGAGGCGGAACTGCAGTTAGCAGCCCATCTTAGCTTTGGGGGGTGTGTTTTCCAAGGCTGGTAGGGTTTTGCTCATCTGCATTTACTCCTAAGGGAAGAAGAAAGTGAGTAAGTTAGCCACAGATGGTTTTGATTTTAACAGTAAACCTCTCTGTTCATCTCATTCCCGGGGAGGTTAGCACATGCCTTCACCTGTTAGAAAAGAAAGTAAAAGAGGATCTGGCCTGGCTGCGTCCGCATAGGCCAAAAGTTGAGCAGCAAACTGGAGTGAAAGAGCGTTATGACCAGAAGTAGGAGCAGAGAGGAGATCAGACACCTTGGGCTCAGGAGAGTACGTGATAGTCCACAGGTAAATGAGTTCTAACTTGCTTTGGGGAAAAAAAGATTTTTTTTTTTTTTTGTGATGGAGTCTCACTCTGTCACCCAGGCTGGAGTGCAGCAGTGGCGTGATCTCTGCTCAGTGCAACCTCAGCCTCCCAAGTAGCTGGGACTATGGGCGTGTGCCACTATGCCCAGCTAATTTTTGTATTTTTAGTAGAGACGGGGTTTCACCATGTTGGCCAGACTGGTCTTGAACTCCGGACCTCAGGTGATGCCCCCGCCTGGGCCTCCCAAAGTGCTGGGATTACAGGTGTGAGCCACTGCCCCTGGCCAAAAAACAATTTTTAAAAGCATGTGTGAGGTTCAGGTGAGTCCTTATATGTTACACATGATTTCAGGAAGTCATTGTTCTGAGACATGGCGTGGTGGCGTGCTCCTCTGCCATGGAGGAGCGTGGCCAGGGTGGTGTCCGTCTGCTCACCTGAGGAGCTCCCTGGGTCTGCCAGCTTCCTGCCTGGCCAAGCCCTTCCCCTGCACTTGTAAGACGACGACTGAGCGTGGCTGATCCTGCCCGGTTTCTGGGTGGATAGTGGAACCTGGGGGAACCAGGGTAGAATCCCTTATGGGAGGCAGCCATTGGCCTGGCCAGGCTTTGGGCGCTGTTGGAGACAGGGCTGAATTTTTAGCCCTGAGTGTAGGCACAGGCGAGAGCTGGAGCCCAGGCACTTGTTCCCTGTGTGGCTGGCTGCTCATCTCTGATTTAGCTTTGGCTCAATTTTTGTCCTACCCCCTGATTGCTACTGGAGCCAGCATGGTGGTCACAGCCACTGGTGTCTTAGGGCCCTGGAAGAGAAGACAGCAATCCCAGGTTGCCCTCTCCTCTGCTCAGGGCTGATCCTGGCAGACATGGAGGAGGAGATAGGCAGGAGGAGATAGGGAGAAGACTTGGGAGGGAGCTGGGTCTTCATGCCAAATGCAGGAAGAAACAAGCCATCGTTCAGTTCATGTTTGAGCTGCGTCAGCCCATGTGAAGGCCCCCACACCTCTGGGAAGAACTGCAGGGAGCATCTCTCTGGTCCCCGTCTCCAAGGTCGGGGAAGCATTTTACAGTTTTGGAGGTGATGCGGGGAAGGGCCACAGCCAAAACTTCATGTGGCAGTCTAGCATGCCACACCTCACTGGAATCCCGCACGCTAGAAGGGAGCCGCCTTGTGAGAGGTGTTCCAGTGAAGTGGAACCCCACCAGTAGGTGGTGGGATGGGCTCCAGAACAGTGTCTGGAACAGGAACTAGTAGAGCTCAACGTCTTAGATTCCTTAAAAAAAAAAAAAAGGTTGATTTTGTGTGTCTTAATAATTTCCTTTATAAATGGAGCCTCTTATAGTACAAGGCAGTACAGATGAGCCCAGACAGTTGGGCAGAATGTTGGGTAGGGCTGATGTCAGTTAGAAAAGCCTGAGAGAAGAAAGAGTAGGGCACAGAACCAGTGAAAAGGATCCCTGGGTTCTAGTGCTGCCACTTGATGGCTTTTGACTTCGGTTCAGCCACTTCACTTCTCTGAGCTGTGATTTTCTCATCTGTGGACTGGGAATAATAGTGCCTACTTAACAGAGCAGGAGGAATAAACAGGATAGTGCGAGTCCAAGCACCCAGTTCTTTCCCGTTTTCATTCACCCAACAAGTACTTTTTGAATGCCACTGTGCGTTAGGCTTCGCCGTTAATTCATATAACCACCCTGAGAAGTGAGTGCTGTTATTATTCCCTTTTTATAGATGAAGAATATAGGGTTCTGTGAGGTAAAGTGCCCAAGGTCATTTAGCTCATGGGCAGTAGTTCTGGCGTTTGAACTCCCAACTTTAGGATTGGCAAACTATAGCCTGGTGACTAAATCTGGCCCACTGCCTACATTTGTAAATAAAGTTTTATTGGGACACAGCCACATCCGTTTGTGTAGGTAATGTCTGTGGCTACCTTCACACCACAGCAGCAGAATTTATAGACCACAGGGTCTACAAAGCCTAAAATATTTATTGCCTGGCCCTTTACAGAAAAAAAAATGTGCTGACCTCTTCTCCACATGAATACTCTGCACTCCGGACCTGGGCTGTTCAGTATGTTAGCTGTAGCCTCATGTGGCAATTTAAATTAAATCTAAATGAAACGAAGACTTCAGTTCTTTGGTTGCACTAGCCACGTGTCACATGCTTAATAGCTGCATGCGGTGGTCACCTCTCACGTTGGACAGCACAGACCCAGAACGTTGCTGTCATTGCAGAGTGTTCCATCAGGTAGGAGCACACGAGACTGTGTCCCAGTGTGGGGAGAATCCAAATCTGGGAGAACCAAAAGTGCAGAGGAGGTATTCTGCTGAAAGAAAAGACACTGGACCTTCCTGCTCCCAAAACACAGAATTGAAAATTAGTTTGTTGACTCTGAAGTGATGGAGAAATGTCTGCTGTGGCAGAGGGAACCTGGGCCTGGAGTGAAGAGGCTGTCCCTAAATCCTATGACCATTGGCAGGCCCCCACCATGCCCCTCTGCAGCCTGTAACCTCAGCTCCTGGTTCACTGGGGCCGTTGGCCTCATCAACTCTGCCATGTCCAGTGCCCCATGTGTGTTTGCATGCTGGGTCCTGCAGAAATCCCATTTTTATGTATTCATACCTGTTCTGTTCTGGGCCATTTGGGCCTGATGGGTTATACCATTGTTCCTACCATGCTGGAATGGGAAATACATGGTCTGATGAAATGACCATGTTTTCCATGGGCATCAGATAAAGAACTACTTCATTCATTCAAAATGATGGCTACTGTGTGGCATGAGGAAGGAAGGTGAGTTCCAGGTACCTCAGCTAGCTAGTATCACGTGACTTACTCCTTAAAATGCTGTCCACTGCCAACACTGATGCCGTGTGTTGAGTAGCTTGGAATTGGGCTGAACTGTAGCTCTTGTCTTGCTTGGTCCATAAATGCTCTGAATAGGAATCTCTTTGGAAGCTAACTAGGGGCAGAGTCATTCTGAGGGGTGAAGGCAAATATGGAGGGCGTAGATCTCCAGTTCATCAGACCCAGGCATAAATGCATCAGTGCTGGACCCATCTCCCCCACATTTGTGCATGCTGATAGACTCTGAGTGTGGAGAAGAGCTGTGTGGCTGGTTGTAGTCCACGCTGTCTACATTGGAGTCTCTGAAATGCATTGTACAGTCAGGAGTCCAGTCCATTGCTCCTGTTAGGAATGGCTGGCTTTTCCATGTTTGGTTTACATGGTTACAGTCTGCACAAATCTTCACACCTTAAACAA
Organism: Homo sapiens; assembly: GCF_000001405.40. Taxonomy (NCBI): domain Eukaryota; kingdom Metazoa; phylum Chordata; class Mammalia; order Primates; family Hominidae; genus Homo; species Homo sapiens. The sequence goes on along the minus strand of NC_000010.11, from coordinate 124,729,606 downwards.
TGCCCACTCCCTCTGTAATCAGGATGGAAACCTTTATAAAATGCAAGAATGACATACCAGGAGGACTTTTCAGGACCTTGGGCAAGAGTGAAAAAAGAAGAAAACCAGATAAGTAAGCCTGATGAACTTAGCTCTAGAATAGTTGCATGAAGGAAGTGCCTGGTAAGGAGGAAGTTGTGTTTAAGAGGTCGTACGTGGAAAATTTTTTCCCCACATGCTTTAAAAGGGAAAAGAATAGCCTTGAAAGGCCAGCCTTGATTACGTGTCCCCCTCCCATCCCACTGCCACCTTTGACACTGTGCTTGCCTCTAGCCAGCCACTCCTGGAATGGTGTCCTGTGTCTTCCTTCTTCAGCCAGTGGAGGGGTGAGATCATTCGAGATTAGGCTCTGCCCTAAGTTTCTCACTGCTGTCCCAGCCCTCAGGGAGACTAATTGCATGTGCCCAAAAGAACCCGGGCACAAATACCTTTATAATGGAAATTATCTGTTTTTAGAGTGCTGGCGTTTTCTGAGCACCTACTGTGTGCCAAGCACTCTGCATATGTTCTCTCATCGTCTGCTCATTGCACAGCCAGCTGGGGGTGACTAGCCCCGCTGGGCAGGAGCTGAGCTTCAGCCATGTCCCTGAGAGAGTGTGGCTTGTGATGGGCTAGAGCCTGGCTTGAAAATCCAGGTCCCTCTGCTCCAAAGCCAGTTTCTCCTCACCACCTAGTTTTGTCCCCAATTGTGCACATGTTGCTGTTTCAAAGAGAAATCTCTTGCTCCTCTGCATGGGTTCCCTGATGACATTTTTATCACTGCCTGTGGGCAGAGAAGTAGGTTGCTCACTGTGGGGTGACATTTAAGAAAACCAACTCCATCAAGCTTTCCCTTTGAATGTGTTGTTATGGTACAAGAAGTCTTCGTTTGTCCTGGGCTATTTTGAAATAAAAGGCAGGAAACTCCCCTCTTGTTTCTATATCTTGCATAGAAGTCATCAAAACAGAATCCTCTGTTCTGTGCGGTAGTCGTGATTGAGGAAGCAGCTGTTCTCTTCATGATGACCCAACCAAAGCCAGCAGTCTGGAGGCGTCAGGGATCCAGAATTGTCTCTTCCATCTGCTGGGTTTACTTGCGTGTGTTAGAAGTATTTGGCATGGAAACTCTTTCCCTACCCCACCTCGTGGGCGAGGCCAGAAGGGAGCTCTCCTGGTGGGGGCAGGGCAGACCCCAGGCTCTGCTGTACTTCAGATAATGCCACGGTTTCCTCCATAGAATGGGTGCCACAGCCTCCCATGGGGCCAGGCTGAGTGAACGAACCAGATCAACTGTCTCTCCAAGTCCATGGGTGGGAAGGCAGGCCTCTCCTGTCTGTGATTGGGAGTTGTATGGGTCTGCTTTGTTGTGCATGGAATTTCACACAGTCTGAGCTGTCTAGGCATTTTCAGGCCTCCAGCTAACTCACCGAGTGAGCCAGGGAGTGGTGCCGATGAGAATGTGTGACTGGATCGCGAAGCCAAGCGAGTCCATGGAGATCTTCAAACCAAGATGAAACTTAGTCGTTTGAGTGTTTTCAGGGGTCTGAATCGTCAGCATCATTTAGACTGGAGTTTGCACTCTGGTGGTCTGGGTCTGGGGGCCAGATGTGGTCCTCAGACATGATTTGTTTGTCTCATATGATGCTTTACAAGTTTTTAAATTTCTTGGGAACATAAAAAGGAGATTGTGCAAAGAAGTCCTGACTTTCAGTTTCTCTTAACAAGTCAGGAGGTAAATTTTAATAGTAGCCTGGATCTTCTTTCCCAAACAGCCCACCACAGTTAGCTGTAGCCAGAGCCGTCCACGGTGGGCCAGGCATGTTCTCTGCACATCATCTCGGTTCCTATGCAGCATGCTTCTCTCATTTGTGTTTCCTGCTTGGCCCTGGAAGGCATTTGAGTTTGAGATCCCTGGAGTGGATAAGACATTGGGAAGGCAGATTCAGATTTTCTGGCTCTCCAGGTTATTGGCACAGGGAGAACGATGGTGAATGGCAGTGACTAGTAGAAATGCCCAGGATGTTTGCAGTGCTCAAGGTCATTGCCATCATAATCCTGCTACCTCGTGTTCCACCTGCTAGTAAACTTGCAAAGATAAGCCAGTACTCCGGGCACTAATAAAAACTCTGAAAGTACAAATATGTCCCTTAAATCTTGGAAGCTAGTCTCAGGCCAGGGGCCCTTCTACCCTGTGAATGGCCCTGTGATACTGGGTGACCTGGGGATTCATTTTGTACCCCCGCACCCCCCCCCCCCCCACAATCACTCAGGTGCTTCACCTAGTGTAATCTTCTTATCTACAAGTGCCTTCCTGAGGCTGAGGCAGGCAGATCGCTTGAGCCCAGGAGTTTGAGACCAGCCTAGTCAACGTAGAGAAAACCCATCTCTACTAAAAATACAAAAATTAGCCGGGTGTTATGGCATGCACCTGTGGTCCCAGCAACTGGGAGGCTGAGACGGGAGGATCGCTTGAGCCTGGGAGGCGGACGTTGCAGTGAGCCAAGATCGTGCCACTGCACTCCAGCCTGGGTGACAGAGTGAGACCCTGTCTCCAAATATAAATAAGTAACTAAATAAATAAAAAGTGCCTTCTGGATTTTAATAGATATTGCAAGGGAATTTTTACAAATAAAGATGTAATTTTTAAATTCTCATGACAGGCAGCCTAGCTGCTGTGTACCAAGTAGATAACTTCTGGTGTTAGACGGAAATTTCTTAGGGTAGATGAAACATGTATCTCAGCTCTTTCTTTTGACAGAGACTCAATACAGCAAGTAGAAGTAAAGCAAAGATTTGCCAGATGGTAATTAGTATTTTTCAAAGAATTGAGGTGTTCTCTTCGTATTTCTTCAAATATCTAATAGCAATCCCTCCTATCATTTATCTTTTTCACTCAACCCTGTTTTTATCTCTTCGTATGGCAGCTGTTCTGTGACTTTTTGTTTCCTTCTGATTCTCACACGTATTTCACCGCATAGTCAACCTTTGGGATTCTTAGTGTCATTCCAAATGGTTTGCTGAATTTGAGAAATGTAGCTTGTCAATCCATTGCCTGAAAGCCCTTCCCATGCCTTTCCTTTGCAGCAGAAACATGGCATCCTCATCTGCCTCTTTCTCACCTACTGGTCAGGGCATTGTGCACCTGGGTGGTTGGTTCAGCCTCTGATTCTGCTAGGCCAAGGCTCTGACGATGCCACTGTTCTCCTTCAGTGCATTCTAGGGACTGTTGGAGCTCCTGAAGGCCAAGGATCATCTTGACCTAGATTTAGATTTCCAGGGCCTGGCCAGAGGACATGCTGGGGGTGGGTAGTAGGCCACCCATCCAATTCTGACCTCATGGCTTTTGCAAGAAACTCAACTTTTATGGATCCTGATTTTCTCATGTGCAAAATTGTCCTCCCAGTTACTAGGGTTCTAGGTACCAAATCCACTAAAAATGTGTTTTTCAAACTTTAGGAACCACCGGACTCAACCTGGAGGGCTTACTAGACACAGCTGCTGGGTCCCACCCTCATGCAGTTTGTCTGGGGTCGGGGACTGAAACTTTGCCTTCCTAATGAGTTCTCAGGCAATTCTCTACTGATCCGGGTCCACGCTTGGAGAACCAGTGCACATTGCTGAAGCAGGTGCCAGGTACCCCAGTGTTCCCCCCAGCAAGGATGTGGGTTGGCCTGTGTGGGTCTTGGCTGCCTGGCATATGAGGCTCGTCTTTCCTTTCATTTTCCCACTGCATCTTATTTTCTGGGAAACTTGAGACTAGATTCCCGGAGATGTTTTGTTTTCCGTTCAGCCATCTTCATGGAAGCTGTCCTCACACTCTCACCGTGATAGTTGGAGACACATTTATTTCCTACCTTTAGGTAATTCTATCACTAACACACACCATCCACTGTCCATCTCGGTTTCCACCCTCCACCTGGAACCCAGATACTAACGGAGGCAGCCTTGGCGATTTTGAGTTTTGAGCTTTTGGTTTCCCAGATAGGTTGATTTTACCCGTTCTCACCAAAGACAGGCCGCATTTGGGTCGAGCTGACAGAGCTGTCATGGACACAGCAGGTTACCCTGTACTCGGGAATGCTTCATGAAGCTTCCCACTCACTGCCGTCAGTCCAAGGCTGGGCGCCCTTTGTTTCAGGTGCCCTGAAATCAGTGTCTCCGTGCAGTGGTGGGAAATAGAGTGCTTAACCATGTCCAGAATCAACTGCTGTACCCTTTCTTTCCCTTCCCTGATGACACCTGAGCCCAGCCGGGGCTGCTGGAGGTGAGAGACCCTGGGACCCATCTGGGGAAGCAGGTGCAGAGCCAGGAAATGGTGCGTTGAAGTCCATACAGTCAGCCATGCTCACATCTAAGTGCTTAGTGGTGGTTTCCTCTCATTTGGGGGTTTTAGTTGTCCAGAGTGAACCTGAAATCACTGCTGGGTCTTGTGTCTTTAGCTCCAGATGTAGTCACTGGGAGGTGACGGGCAGGCTTTGGCTTTGCCTGGCCTTGAAGTTTTCCTCACAGTTTTGTTTTGTCAAGGAGTGTTCCCCCTTCTACTCTCGCTCCTCAGAAACAAGGGGACACTAACTCAGTCATGGCTTTGAATGGAGCGTTTCTGTGTGGTTTTCTCCTTGTCCCAGTACTCTGCCTTCTGCAGCTCCCAGCCCCCAGCAGCTGGGCACATTGGCCCTTGTGCTTTCATATCCACGAAAACACGTGGGAAGCGCGTGCCCAGCACATGCCTTGATCACATATTTGTAACTCGGGAGTCTGAGATGATCGTGACATTCTCGTATGGGGCTGTGTGTGGCCACTCCCATTCCCCAAGGGAGAACACAATTACTGTATTGTCTGTGGGCATTCTGGGCGAGCTGCTTGGGTCACGGCTGGGGCTGTTGGTATATTGGGGGATGGAAATAACCGTTTTGCAGCTTCCTACCTTTATGCTGCCATTTACAAAAGAGGGAGGTTTGGGACGACCTCTTAGAATCCCCTGGGTCACCTGGCTTTGTTCAGCTGAGTAAACCACCAGCCTGTGCCCCCCTACCCCGCCCCCATAGCTCAGCTTGTTTGCCTGCTATTCAGGCAGGACAGCTCTGGGAGGGCAGACCTCTGAGAGGTGGAGAGAAGCAGAGTGATGGGAGGCAGAGAGCAGGGTGGCGGCTTGTGGCTGTCCGGTGCGCAGAGCTCCCCCTGCCTGGGCCTTGTGAGGGCGCTGGCGCTGGCACTGGCCGATGTTGTGGCAGCTGACCTGTCTGGGCATCCTGAGGCTCCTTCCACCAAAAGCTGGGAAGGGGCCCTCCACTCCCAGCCCCGTCCCCCTAGCTTGCTGGAGTGTCAGACATGTCATTTAGCAGCATCCTAATAGAATACCCTCACCCCATCTCTGGCATTGAACTCCTGCCCAACACTCATGCCGCTTCCTCTAGGAAATCTCCCCAGATCTTTACCTCCCTACTTGGAATTCCAGGCTCACTTCTCTGCCCTTGTGGATTTATTATCGTATGACACACTATGCCTTGTGGGAAACCTAATTGAACACTTGCTGTTTGCGTGAACTTAGTTATGTATCACCTGCCTTCTTCCCTCAGTCCCTAGCACAGCCAGCCTAGTGCGTGTTGGACTTGGGACGAGACTGATACCGGGAGGAAATAATGCCCAGAGAGAAGCACAACACAGGGAGTACATGAGATTTGCCGGTTCAACTACAGTCACCTAGAAATACTTTTTGTTTCTGAGTAAAAGTCTGTTCTAAGGAGCGCAGCGTCACATGTGTATATAATCTTCCCATTGACCCATTTTGCTCTCTGTGGAGGCTCCCAGGACCTTGGCCCTCCCTGTCCCACTGGGGTTCCTGCAGAGGCCTGGGCTGTCCAGGCTCTGCCTGGCCCAGGGCCGGCCCTGCAAGTGCTGCCCGCCTCACATCAGGCCCTGACTGCAGCAAGACTCTTCCTCCTAAAAGCAGAACACAGAAAACAAAGCTGTTAGGGCAGGGCCCTGGGCTCTCAGTTTTCCCATGATTGGGTGTGAGAGGGCTGCTGGCCACCCTCCCGCCCACAGAAACTCTGATGAGTGTTTTCAGGTTCCTGAGGAGGTGTGAGTATGATCAGATACAGGGGTTTTTGTGCTGGTCACTGTGTTTTTCTGTTATGCTCTGCTACTGTGGAACCCAGAAAACTTTTGAGCCCAGCCCCTCCGTGAATCAGGAGGTGCTGTGCTTTGAATTAGTGTTAACAACATTTTGATAGCTATCGGAAACCCCCTGCAAGCAAGACAGATTTCAGTATCTCTGGCACCAAGAATGTTGAGACTTGACTTAACGTGGTGATTGTGTTCTTTGTTTCAGCAGACATTTCCTGAGCAGCTCTTTGTGCCAGGTTCTGGGGACTCAGGGGACTGAGGCTGGGCTCATGCCCTCCAGAAGCACACAGTCTGTAGGGGTGGCAGCTTGCTGGTTCATTTCATGGCCCTGTGATTCAAGCTCTGCATTCTGCACAGAGGCAGAGGGCGTGACCTGACTCAGTGTGGAGTGTGGAGGTCTTCCTGGAGGTGGTGACACCTGAGCTGAGTCTAAAAGATGAGGTTAGAGAGTCTGGAGGCTGAGAGGGCAGCAGGGAGCAGGGGAAGTGGGTGGCAAGTTCTAGCCTGAGAGACCAGCATGAGCAGAGGTCTGGAGGCAGGAAACTGCATGTGGTATTTGGAGAACTCCAGAATGTTTTAAGAATAGGCAGTACATGCATGTGTACAAACTCAGCAGTGAAAAGCAGTTTCCTCATCCCTGTCCCCAGCTACACGTCTCCCTCCTTCCTGGGGGGAGCTCCTGTTGTCATTTTCTTGTTTGTCCTCCCAGAGATATTCCATATGCATGTGCAAGAATATGCAGATATATACACACACAAATGTGTGTATAAAAATACAGTATTTTTTATATTTTTGATTTTAGAAAGTATTACCTATTTCTTGTGAAAGTCAATATCTCGTTTGGTTCAAAATTGAAAACATACAAAAAGCCATTTCTTGAAGAGTCTTCTCTCATCTCTGTTCCCGGCTACCCATTTCCGCTCCCTGAAGACAGGTTTTATGTTAAGTTTCCTTTGTATCCTTCCAGGACTTCTGTATTATTGGCACAATTATTTATTTAGTTTCACCCAAATGGGAGCTTAATATACCCACTGTTCTGATCTTTGCTTTTCTACTTAGCACTATACCTGAAGATGGTTTCCTCTTTGGATGTGTTGGGCTCCCAAAGCCTTCTTTTTTTTAATTTTTAAAATTAAAATTTAAATTGACACATAATTGTACTTATTTATGGGGTACATAGTGATGTTGCAACACATATAATGTATGATGATCGGCTCAGGGTGATTAGCATTTCCAACATCTCAAACGTTTATCATTTCTTTGTGTCAGGAGTGTTCAATATCTTTCTTCTAACTATTTGAAACTACATAATATTGTTAACTCTAGTCATCCTACAGTGCTATAGAACACTAGAACGTACTCCTTCTATCTGGCTGTAATTTTGTATCCTTTAACAAATCTCTTCCTGTTCCCCGCCTTCCCCCTACCCTTCCCAGCCTCTAGTCTCCTCTGTTCTGCTTTTTACTTCTATGAGATCAAAATTTTTTAAGCTTCCACATATTCTCGTAGCCTCTTAGAAAGCTGCGTTTCGTCCTTTGCATGGTGTTGCAGTGTGTATTTATCCTGTCCTTCCTGTTAGGCGGTTAGGCCACTTCCCATCTTGGCTGTGCCTAACGATACGATATGTACTATTTTGCTCATGAGTAGGACAGTCTGCAGGGCAGGCTGATTTGGCACTCACACACGTGTTCACAGGGAGAGTGAGTAAGGAGGATAGAACCGCACGAGGACACAGGCAGGTTATGTTTTACGCTCATCTCTCTAGAGGTTGACTTGTTCCCCCTTGTGAAAGGCAAGTGACTTTAAGTTGGATTCTGCTGAGTCTTGAGGAAGCTGTCTTACTCCTTTACTGTCTCCCATAAGTAAGCTCTGCAAAAGGAGACCTGGCCCAGTGTGGTCTCTGGAAGCAAGGTTCGCCCAGGGGTGTGGTTGGCGTCGCTTGGGGAGACTCCCTTACAGACTGTGACCTTCAGGCCATACCCTGCAGGACAAGGTCAGCTAGAACTGAAGCCTGCAGTGCGGCTCTGCCAGCCTTGTTTGCTGGGGCCTTGTGGATGTGGATGCCACCTCCGGCACTTGCTAGACTTGGGCCTCGTGAACATCACAGTTCTAGTCAGTAGTTTGTTGATTTATTAATAATTGAAGCGAGTAAGAGTCTGTCCAGGCAGGGGACCTGCCAGGATGTGGGAGGGAGAGACTGCAGGGTGACTTTGCACCCATCCCATGAAGGTTGTGATGCAGATTTCTGAACTTTATTTTTTGAGATGGATTCTTACTCTGTCCCCCAGGCTGGACTGCAGCGGCATGATCCAGACTCACTGCAACCTCCGCTTCTCGGACTCAAGCGATCTTCCCACCCCAACCTCCCGAGTAGCTGGGTCCACAGGCATGCACCACCATGCCCAGCTAATTTTTTTGTATTTTTGGTAGAGATGGGATTTTGCCATGTTTCCCAGGCTGGTTTTGAACTCCTGAGCTCAAGCCATCCGCCCGTCTTGGCCTCCCAAAGTGCTGGGATGACAGGTGTGAGCCACCGCACCCGGCCCAGATTTCTGAACTTTAGCGGTCCCAGTTATTTTATCATGCTATTTTTATCAAGATATTTTAATAATACCCTCTGCCTTTTAGTGCATTTTAATTTAGTTTTTATTTCACTCATCCATCAGTTGTTAATAGTTTTCACTTCCATGGGAGGGGACTGTGGCTTATGTATGTTCATGTCTTCAGCCCCTACCATCATCCCAGCAGTCACAAAGTAGTCACTCAGTAAGGGTTTGTTGAATGAATGAGTACAGTTGCCTGCCACGCAGGCTTTTGTCAGGACTGGTGGCATGCTGTTAACTGTTCATCCAGCACACTGGAAACTGGGTTTTGGTGCTTCAATGTCAACCTCTGACCAGTACTTGTTAAATTTCATCAATTCTGATCCCATCCAGTTATTCAGTCGGATAGGGTTTCTTTTTTTGTTTTTACATTTTATGACTTAAAAAAAAATTATTTTCGAAGCTAGGACCTCACTTTATTGCCCAGGCTGGAGGCAGTGGTGTGATCATGGCTGACTGCAGCCTTGGCTTGCCTAAGTGATTCTCTTGCTTCCGCCTCCTGAGTATCTGGGGCTGCAGGCACATGCCACCATGCCTGGCTAATTTATTTTTTGTCAAGACGAGGTCTCACTATATTGCCTAGGCTGGTATTATTATTATTTTTAAGTCTGAGAACATATCTATGCCACCTCCCTTGGGTCTGCTCCTGATCGAGGTGGCCAGTGTTGGTGGTTTGTTTGTTTTTTTTTTTTTTTTTAGATGAAGTCTCTCTTTTGTCACCCAGGCTGGAGTGCAATGGCGCGATCTCGGCTCACTGCAACCTCCACCTCCCAGGTTCAAGCAATTCTCCTGCCTCAGCCTCCCAAGTAGCTGGGATTACAGGCGCCCGCCACCACACCCTGCTAATTTTTGTATTTTTAGTAGAGACAGGGTTTCACCATATTGGCCAGGCTGGTCTCGAACTCCTTACCTCAGGTGATCTGCCTGCCTTGGCCTCCCAAAGTGCTGGGATTACAGGCGTGAGCCACTGTGCCCGGCCGTGTTGGTTTTTTGATGTGTAACTTTTCCTTCTCCTGCACATTTTTGAACTCCATCCAGATGACACTGGGGAAGAACCCCTTTCCACAGCGAGGTGAAGGCCAGTCCACATTTGGTTTGGGAGGTGCATGGAGGAGTGCTCAGAGGCCTGGCTTTAGAGTTTTGCTGCTGACTTAGTGAATGAGCTTCCTGAGAGCAAGGGAAGTACAACCAAGCCTGGTTCAGATGGCTCCACTAGGGGGACAGTGACAGCTATAGCCGCAGCTGGTGTACTTGGCAGTCTTTCAAGCATTTTGGGGTGTGCTGCGGACAAACAATAGAATGAATCTTTGTTTCTGGAGCCTGGGCCATTTCTAACGAGGAAGATGATTACTCATTTTTGGAAGTTGGGTTAACTCTTCCAGAGTCTTTTGACTCTCGCTTAGATCTGTAACGAAAAGCCGAGAAGAGTTCACCTTGGCATCCCAAGGTGTTTGCTTTAAAGCCGGGTGACTCTGGTTGGCTGTGTCATTTCCTCTTTAACACCCCTCCACCCAGGTCTTTGCCCTAAGTCAGGAGGCCTGATTGTCATATCCAGAGTGCTTAGAAGGAAGTGGGGCAAGTGTTTGCAAATGAGGTGCCCCTTTCTTCTCCTGTTCCCCCACCCCCATGGCATGCCAAAAAATAAAGAAGGAGCTCAAGACCCGTTGAGCAGCTGTTCCTCCAAACTTCTTAGATTAATTCCGTGGCCAGTTCTAAGTAATTTAAAGCCAAATGCCTGGACTTAGCTTTGAATTAGGACTTCATGAAGCCTTTCTTCGTCTTCTTCCTTCTTTCTTCTTCTTCTTTTTTTTTATTTTTTTTGTGAGACAGGATCTTTCTCTGTCACTTAAGCTGTAGTGAAGTGTTGCTATCATAGCTCACTGCAGCCTTGACCTTCCTGGCTCCCTACTCAGCCTCCTGTGTAGCTGGGACCACAGGTGTATGCCACCATACCTGGCTATTTTTTAAATTTTTTATAGAGATGGGGATTTCTCCATGTTGCCCAGCTGGTCTTGAACTCTTGGGCTCAAGCATTTCACCTGCGTCAGCCTGCCCAAGTGCAGGGATTATAGGCGTGAGCCACTGCGCCTGGCGGTGAAGCCCTTCTTTGCAGAAATCTCTTTCTCTGCCTTAAGAGGCAAGAATCTGGTGCTATTTTGATCTGTGAATAGACAGATGGCTGTTGTTACACATGCAGCGGCTCCCCCGCCATTGTGCTGTGGCTGGTGGTGGGAGTAGTCTTACTAGAATTTATCCTGCCCTCCAGAACCCTCCCCTGCAGTAGGAGTCAGGTAGATAGCTTTGGCTGTTTGACCTGAGAGGTGCCACAGAGCTCGGGTATACTTGTCATGTGACAGACCCGCCTGGCAGCTTAGAGTCCCTCCAGTTTTGTTTTGGCAGATGATGGCATTCTCGAATGTGTGGTGGAGCTTGCAGCGCGATGTGGGGGTAGAAGGGAGAAGGCGGAAGGCTTACCATGTGATTGATGAGCCTGTCTGATTAATTTCTACAACAGACCCTGTAGGTTGGTAGATATGACTCAGTCAGATCAGGAAGGGGGAAGTCCTGAAGTGTGAGCTGAGGTTAGGATGTGACCTCTGATGAGTGGGTGGCACATGGGCAACCTGGTGCCTCTCGTGCCTATAGCAGTTCTTACAGAGCTTGTTGGGACCTTCTTGCATCACCTGTCATGTCCCAGTGTGATATAGTCTTAGACCGGTGTGTTGGGGCTACCAGCCTGCAGGCCTCCTAGATAAAGAGATCACTGCCCTCGCAGCTGTGTTCCAAGGCCCAGCTGCTGAGAGATTACCTTCCCTCTGTGCAGTGTCTTTGGGGGTTCTGTGAGAGCTGTAGACACCAACAGGAATGCTTCTCCCTGCCTGCTGAGTGACTGGAGCTGCACCGGTAGGAAAGCTGTGTCTGTAGCCTGGGCTGGGGGTGGATTGTCCTGCAGGAGAGGGAGAGTCCGAGAGCTCATAAACATTTTGTAAAGGAAAAGGAGATTCTTGTCCTGAGAGTTGTCCTAGAAGATGAAGATGTCAAAACTGGTCACTGGCTAACTTCCTGGCTCTCCAAGAAACTCCTCTAAATCAGGTTGTTGTTAGCGTCACTGAAAGACACCAAGATGCCCCTGTATGCATAAGGATTGAGCTTGGAAAATGCAATCACGCATACATCCCCATCCTCACCCCATGGATATGTAAGAGAGGGGCAGGTTCTGCAACACCACCTCCCCGCTACCTCGGTCCCACCCATTGGAAGAGTCCCTGTGGCCTGCTCCGACTCTGCTTTATGGGAGGTCATAGCCAGGGCACTTTGATGGCAGCAAGTAAGGATTTGGCCTTTGCCTTTGTCCAGTTTCCTGGGACCTTGAACTGCAGGTCAGGTCTGAGTAGGACTGGAAAGGCCAGCATAGCAGTTGTTCCAGGACAGGCATCATCAGCTTACTGTCCTTTCTTATAGTTCATTCAGTACCTTCAAATCTATTGATTTTCATGCTCTCTCCAGAGTTGCCATTTGCCTGTGACACGTGAGGAAACTGAGGCCCAGAGAGTCATAAAGACCTGGCTGAAGCCACACAGCTGATACGTGACTACAGTTAGAGTCTCACTAGTCAGAAACGGAGCTTATCTGGCCCAGCATCCTATTTGACTCATGAGGGAACTGAGGCTCCGAGGAGGGAAATAACTTGGCAAACTGGGCAGAGCCAGTAAGTGGCACTGTCAAGCCCAGAGCCCCCATCCCCTAAGTCCTGCTTGATCCACCTAGGCCACACAGCCTTTTGTTTGGGTCTTTCCATTTTTGTTTTTAAATCTTTTTTTTCCACCCCTCTTCTGTTGGTTTTTAGTCATGGTTTGAGTAAATTCAGTATACTTATAAATAGGTCCGACTGAAGAACAGGTCATGGTTGTCTTAGGCTAAGTGGCTTAACATGATAGTAGATTATCTTTGGGGCCCGCTGCGGTCCCCTCATTGTCCTCTGGTTCTCTTCCCATTCTTTCCCTTCCCCCGGTTTGGAGCAGAAGGCGGCATCTAGCTCTGTGGCCACTCGGTAAGTGTGAGTTCTCCTCTCTCCGTGCCTCTTGTCCCTCGTCTCCTTCCTTTTGAGTGTGTCAAGCAGCTTCCAGTCTATAGCAAGCTCTTCTTTCATAGTGTTTGTGGGTTAAAAGGACATGAGCGGTCGTGAGAATTATGGGAGTGCCTATAGGAAGCTCGTCCATCAGTTATTTTTCATTGATAAATGGACTCTTGACAAGTCATGCATGCAGTTGGCTTCAGTTTCAAGAAACAACATGGGCTGTCTCATTCCCATGTTGAGATTTGTTTTGGCTTTTTGGATCCCAGCACTTTTATGTCCCTGAATAATGTCATTCCTCCCCCTCCTCTTGAAATGTTATTTGCTTTAAAAAGCAGAAAATCCCTACAACATTGAAAAGTCCAGGAGAACAGAGTTCCGATTTGGTTCAGCAGCTCAGTTTACTGTTTTGTCTTGTTTTGTTTTTCCCCCTTCCATTAAGGAGACACATAGGCGAGCCTGGGCCACTTTGTTCAGCCAGGGGCCCAGGTCAAGTCTCTTTCAAGCTGTGTAGTGTGACTCCCAGTCCTTCCCCAAGTGTGGCCTTCGGTGGCCTTTGATTACCTGAAGGACTAGATCAGGGAATATGTTTTAGCCCCAGTTACTGAAGAAAGCACCTCTGAGGACACACCTTCCTGTGGAGGGAGGGATGAGGAAGGGGTGAGTATGCCCTCTCTGTCTAAGGACAGCAGGTGCTTCATGCGTACAGCCAGCCACTCTCACTTGCCCTGCTGAATGTCCACCAGCCCAGTTGCAGGAGCAAGGTGCTTGGAGGACTCAAAAACATATTCTTGGCCCCTAGAAGCTAATGCTGTAGCTGTGAAGACGAGATGCTTTTATCCAATTTATGAGCATTTAATAAGGGCCTATGCCCTGCTAGGAATTGTGCCTACCTAGGGATTTCAGTGTTTCTAGGGATATTTTTGTAGTGCCCCCACCTACAGGGCGTTACCTCCTTAACTTATAGCTGAGGCGGGCAGCACAAGGGTAACGTCTTACATGTTACAAAGGCAGAAAGCTGAGCAAAGTTGCAGAGCTTAGCCAGGGCCCTGCAGCTCCTCTGGGACTGAGCTGGGCTGAGCGTGGACTCAAGTTCAGTGCTCTTGCTGTGATACTGACTTAGCAGATAGACATCAGTCAGGTTGCTGCCGTGGGCAGGCTCTGTGCTGAGGCCACAGGATGACTGAGGGAGGGCAACACCTAGGCTGCACACGTGGAGGGGGGGCTCCCCACAAACAACCTGGAAATGAACTTTGAGAGAAGGACAGGGTGGCAGTGGGGGAGGCATAGGCAGGAGGCACAGGACCTGAGGAGATAGGGACAGATGGATACAGGTTCCAGCTGGGGTTGCAAGAAGCCATTGTGACTCCCTGCAGGCCCAGGAGCACCCTGAGCTTCCTGGAAGACACTTCACCCTCTGCAGGTTACCCACCATGTCTGCACATCCATGCAGTTAAGGAGGGAAAGTGATGGCTTCCTGTCCCGCTTCTACCCTCTCCAAGATACTCGTCATCTGCCCATTTTTCTTGCTTACAGTGGAACCCCTAATACCATGTTTCAACATCAGTTCCAGAAGGTTGATGTTTGGCTGGGACACCTCAGGATGGGCTGTATTAGAGAGTGTGTGTATTGCAAAATTAGTGTCTGCTTTGGCATTTGATCATTTAGCTGACAAATCAAGTACTTAAAGGATAATTAACAATGAAACTTACAGGTCTTGGAGTAGTGGGGTCCAGGGGTTAAGACAGACTTTGGAGTTCTGTAGATGTGGGTTGAGTCTTTGTGCCTTGTTCACAACTAGGTGACCTTAGACCTGGGCCTCACTTTCCCCCTCTGTAAAATGGGATAACAGTAGTACCCTCTGATAGGGATACTCTGAGGTTGCAGTAAGCACAGGGCCTGGCACTGTTGCTTTGGCTAATATTTTCCTCATGCTGCTTTAAAAGGTAGGCTCTGTGTCACCTGTTACTTCTGCACTAGCAAAGTACTGATGAAAGAGGTTTTCTTTTTTTTTTTTTTTTTTTTTGAGGTGGAGTCTCGCTCTGTCACCCAGGCTGGAGTGCAGTGGCACGATCTTGGCTCACTGCAAGCTCTGCCTCCCGGGTTCCCGCCATTCTCCTGCCTCAGCCTCCCGAGTAGCTGGGACTACAGGCGTGCGCCACCACACCCGGCTAATTCTTTGTATTTTTAGTAGAGAGGGGTTTCACCGTGTTAGCCAGGATGGTCTCGATCTCCTGACCTTGTGATCCGCCTGCCTCAGCCTCCCAAAGTGCTGGGATTACAGGCGTGAGCCACCACGCCCGGCAAGAGGTTTTCTTTGCCTCTTTTTTTCTGTGTGTTGAGGGTGGTGCTGGCAGGATTGTTAGTTGTTTCTCAGCAGGACCTGAAGACATGGGAACCCTGGCTGTGGGAGTCGTTGAAATGTTCACTATAGTATAGAAGCTGCACATTCGTGGGTCCTGAACTCTGGTTGAAACACCAGACTCTCTTTCCAGTATCAACTTGGTCTGGGAAAGTAGAGGCCCTGGATAAAGTTCTTAGGCAGCTTTCAACTTTTATCCTTTAGACTCAGATGACTTAGTTAGTATATAAAATCAGCAAGCAGAAGCGTCCCCAAGCAGATTAAATCCCTTTGTCTTGGCGGATATGAAGCTTGACTGCAGCATTCGGCTCCCCTCGGAACCCTTCTCGCACTTTAGGGTTGTCACAGAATTTGGCAGGAGACAACGTGACCCACTAAGCAACACCCTTCCCCAAATGTTCATATACTTGCTTCTGGATTCTGCCCACAGATTGCTTTTGTCACACCAACAACTGAAGCTACGAAAGTTTCAAAGTGCACAAAGACCTTGTGGAATTGCTGTCTTCCCCTCCTATTTCCTTTGCTTAATGGGAGGGGGAAATGGAAGCTCTGAGAGCAATGACTTCCGGGAGCCACCAGGAAAATCACTGTCAGTGGCTGAGTTCTCATGTTTAGGTTTTGATCTGAGTCCTGTTTTTAAGGCGGTAAAATTAACTGTGAAACTAATGTGTGCAAGTAGTACGTACAGGCTAAATAAAGACACTAAAAGAAGGAAAAGCTTGTCTTGCTGATTTCCAGTTTCTTTTAAGGGATAGCCCTTCAAAATGCATTACAGAGCATTTGGTAAACTTCTAATCTTCTTAAGATTTATATAGGATTGTAGAGTTTGCAACACTTTCTTGTATGTATTAATTCATTAGCATGCAATCCTCTTTTGAAGTGGATGAGCCAGGTGGGGCTCCCACTTGCTGGAAGCTGAGAGTCCCAGGCCACAGTGATATCAGATAGCTGTGTTCAGCGGTTGCAAACAAATGAAGACACATTGAAGACTGTAGAACAAAAGCAAGAAAATTTCATGTTAGCAAGGCCTTGTGTGAGAGCAAAGCTGTCCCCCCTGTTTCTGTGGTGTCAGAGACAGAGTGGCCTGGGGAGGAAGGCCTGGGTTTGAATCCTGGTCTTGCCCCTGCTAGATGTATGATATTGGGCAAATGACTTGATTTCTTTTCTTGGAGCCTCAGTCTTCCCATCTGGAAAATGTGCATACTACCAACCATAATGCCTGTTCATAGGAACGTGAGAGGATTAGCTGAGAAGGACCCAGCCTCTGGTGGATGCCCAGGGAGATGGGAATGGAGGTGAGGGTGGAGGGCTGTGGCTGGAAGTGTGGCTGTGTGGGGCACATGGGGGTGGAGATGGGCTCTGGGCATGGGGCGTCTTGCTGACCACGGCAGCAGCCACCTGTGTGTGTGCCCTCCCACCCATAGGCCTTGCTTTGGGCACAATGCTGGCAAGTTTGGGGCCGTTCTTGGGCAGATGCACTCTTGGGGTGAGGACTTGGGAGGTGGGCAGGGGCCCCCTGCCACCGTGTCTGCACCCAGGGAGCATAAACATGGATCAATGGGAAGTCTGACCTTGCCTTTTGCTCTTTTCAGTGGAAATCCTGGTGAAGATGAGTCATTGAGTAGGGGCTCCTGGGGTTGAGTCAGAGAGCACTGTGTCTCCATGATCAGGTTGGGGTGCCAGCCAAGGGGAGACCCTCACCTAGCCCTCCTTTGGCAGATATTGGGTAGCCCTAGCTGTGTATGGAAGCAGGCTGGAGGCCCACTATCATGAGCACTGCCCAGGGAGTCACGGGAGAGAGGTGGGAGGTGAATGTGGGGACTGGGAAGTGACAATACAAGACTTAAATACAGGGCAAGGAAAACTGCAGCCGAGATGCAAGGATGGTGCCCGATGAGAGTGCGGCCCACGATTGCTACTTGTGCAAAGGGGAATGGACACCAATGCCTGGCCTTCTCTGTGCCGAGCTTTTTTATATGTGTTTTCTTATTTAAATCTTACAGCAGCCCCAGGGCAAAGGTATTATCCTCATTGTGTTTAATTACTTAATAATAATAATTATTTTTTGAGACAGGGTATTGCTCTGTGGCCCAGGCTGGAGTACAGTGGTGTAATCTCGGCTCACTGCAGCCTCTGTCTCCCAGGTTCAAGTGTTTCCTGCGCCTCAGCCTCCTGAGTAGCTGGGATCACAGGCATGCACCACCATGCCAAGCTAATTTTTGCATTTTTTAGTAGAGTTGGGGTTTCACCGTGTTGGCCAGGCTGGTCTTGAACTCCTGACTTCAAGTGATCCACTGACGTCAGTCTCCCGTAGTGCTGGGATTACAGGCATGACCCACTGCACCCAGCTTAATTATTTCTTTTGATATAAGGTCTCCCTCTATCACCAGGCTGGAGTGCAGTAGCATGATCATAGCTCATTTCAACTTCAAACTCCTGGGCTCAAGCCATCTTGCCTCAGACTTCTGAGTACCTGCGACTACAGGCATACACTCCCACGCCTGGCTATTTTTTTTTTTTAGTTTTTATTTTTTGTAGAGATGGAGTCTTGCTGTGTTGCCTAGGCTGGTCTTGAACTCCTGGTCTCAAGCAGTCCTTTTGCCTCAACCTCTCAAATGCTGGGATCACTGGTGCGAGCCACTGTGACCAGCCTCAGCCCCATTTTAAAGATGAGGAAACTGAAGTCGAGTGATTTCATGGCGAAGGCCAGGGCCGCTAAATTCCACACACACGTTCCTCCCCTTCCCGCGCACACGGTCTCCCTGGTATAATCAGTGGGCTTTAAAAAAAGTTTTAAAAACTTATATATAGCATAATACACTCTTTTGGTGGTTAGTGCTATGAATTTTGATAAATGCATAGATTGGGATTTATTTAAAATTTTTTTTTTGAGATCATTTACACTCATGCAGTTACAGGAAATAATACAGAGAAATCTCGCATATCCCTTACTCGCTGTCCCCTAATGGTAAATCCTACCAAACTAATGCAGCATCACAAGCAGAAAATTGTCACGGATACAGTCAAGACACAGAACATGTCTGTCTCCAAGGATCCCTCCCGCTGTCTTTTCATAGCCACGCCCATTTCCCTCCTGCTCCCACGCCCCATCCCCAACCCCTGACAGCCATTCATCTCTTCACTAATTCTATAATTTTGCCATTTTAAGAAAGGGATATAAATGGACTCCTAGAATAGTGAGCCTTTGGGGACTGGCTCTTTCACTCTGCATGAGTCTCTGGAGGCTCATCCAGGTTGTGGCGTGTGTCTCTGGTTGGTTCCTTCTTATTGCCGAGTAGTATTCCACAGTGTGGCTGTGCCCTGCCACATTTTGTCTAATTGTTCACCCAGCAAAGCGTCTGTGGAGTATTTCCTGGTTTTGGCTGTTATGAATAAAGGGCTGTTACAAACATTTGTGTGTGAACATAAATCTTAATCTCTCTGGAATAAATGCTAAGGAGAACTCTTGCTGGTAGTTGTTTGAATGGGCATTTGAAGGGGTTTTTTAGGGGATGGAGAGGTGAGGCATGGTGGGAAGTGCAGTCCTGAATGCTGGCCCACCAGGGTTCAAATCCCAGCTTTGAACCCGGACCCTGGGTGAGTTGCTGTATATGGCTGTAAAATGGGGATAATTCAATCTGGCTTGTGGCTAATGTGTGTAAAGCGCCTGGTACCTAGTAGGTGCTCAGTAGATAGAAGTGATTCTTGATATAGGTTAAGAGAAAACCCACTAGACCATGGCAGGGTGTGTGCCCCAGAGGTGGCCTGTGGGAGGGCTTTGCGAGGCTTCCACCTCGCGCCCTGTGGGATCACCCAGTTATTGTCTTTTTCTTGGCCATGCCCCCGGCTTCTCTTTGAGAAGACCCTGACCCTGTTTGCAGACTGGGCTCGAAGTCTCCGGCCTGGTCCTGGCATTCCCCAGTGAAGTTGGCCGGGCCAGGGCCCACGGGTCATAGGAATCCCAGGAAATTCCAGATCGTGCTGGGCTCTGCTGGTCTGGATTCGCCTCACAAATTCTGAGAACGTGCCCAGATCATTTCACATGTTGCTGTAATTTAGCTGGATTCTGGAAATGTGTATTGAGCTGCTAGGGTATGTGAGGGATCGTGGTAGGTGTTGCAAAGGGTTCAGAAAAAATTGCTCTCCCAACAGATCAAAGCAGCCAGCTCCAGCTTCTAACCTCCTTTGGGAGCCCCCACAGCTGCAGTGATAAGGTCTCCATTGAGTATGGCATTCAGAGCCCTGGGTCTGGTTTGAGTCTCTCTCTAGCTCCCATCCTGCTGCTGTGCCCTCTGCGTGCCCTGTGTGCCAGCCACCAGCACGCTCACCGTTCCCATACTCCAAGTCCGACCCGGCGGCCACGCCTTGCTTACACCCTTCCCTCTGCCTGGGTGCCCTGCCCTTCCTGATGAAATCTTGCCTGTTTTTTAAGAACTAAAAGTACCATGGGCAGGCGTGGGATGGAATATTCAAACCTCACATAGGGTTGGACGTGGTTCCTCTCCGGAACTGTCATTCCCTTCTCCAGGCAACCACTGTGTGGGACCATGCTGGACTCCTTCTATTTTTTTTTTTTTTTCTTTTTTTGAGGCAGAGACTCACTCTGTCACTCAGGCTAGTGGACTCGCTCTTCTTGCCTTTGTCACTTTATAGGATTTCTTGGAGATTGTTTCATATCTGTACAGTTTGAACTGGCTCATTAAAATATTTTTGAAGGCCACATGGTATTCCCTTATGTAACAACACCGTAATGTATTTAACCAGTTTGCCCTGCTTGTAGGCAGCTAGGTTGTCCCCACTCTTGGGCTCTTACGGTGCAAAGGAGTCACTTTAAGGCCTACCTCCGATGAATGTCCCCCTTTCTGCCTGCCTCTGAAATGTGTTGGCTGGGTCACTGCACTCTCTGTGAGACCCCCCAGGGCAGGGATTGTGCTACACCTGCCTTCTCCTTTCCATGCCTGCCACGTGTGCTGACCACCCAGTTACCCAGGCGCTTTTGGTGCTTCTGCTGCCTCTCTGAGCCCTGGCCCCTTGTCGGGACTCTGCTGGGGATGGAGCTAGAGAGAGCTGGGGTGCCCCGTCTTTGCCTCGTTCTGGCTTCCTGCTTCATGCAGAGCTGTGTCTGGATGGGCTAATGTGTTCCCATGGCGACAGACTTCCACAGTTTCATTCTACTGGCCGCCTCCTACTTCACCAGAGGGATGGGCCATCATATAGCCAGGCCCTTGTTAATGGAATTTAGCTTGTTTCCCTTTAAACACATTTGAGAGGATGGCCGCTTGGGCGTCCATTGCCGAGAGGAGGATCTGGACTCCCAGCCTCCCCCATGAAACTGCTAGCAGTAGCTGCTGCTGATTGAGCACTCTCCTGGATGAGCGAGACACTGGGCAAAGGACTTGGGCTCTGTTTTCATCAGATACAGTAACCTTGTGAGGCAAGCACTGTTTTCCCTGTTGTACAGAGAGGGAAACTGAGGCTCTGAGAGTAACTTGGCAAAGGCCACTCAAACAATGTATTTCAAGAGCTGGGATTCCAACTCAGTTGTGCTTGACTCAGGACCTGAGCCTCTGTAGCTACTGAGCCCACCTGGCTTCCTAGAGAGAGGCTGGAAATGGGGGAGGAGGGAACAGGCAGCTCACCTCTCAGGCCTTGTGCCGACGGCTGGCTGCCGTAGAGCTGAATTGGGGCTCACACACAGAAACATGACGGCTGCCATTAGGCTTCCACCACTGAGGAGGCACAAAAGGCCCCTTTGAAAGGCGAGTCCAGGAGCACCTCTCTGGCCTGCTCCTGAGCTAAGCCTGCAGTGGGGGCTGACAGGCATTTCTGGCTCAGCTGCCTGGCCAGAACTTGCAGGAGTGGTCTGAAATTCTTTCCTTGAACAGATCACACTTGGTCAGAACATGTCACTTCTAGATCGATGTGGTATTGAACCTGTGCATCAGGTCTCTCAATGCGACCTGGGAATCTTCAGGCTCCCCGGGGCTCCCTTCCTGAACATGTATTGATTTCCCTCCTCCCCTTCCCTGCTTTTGCACTTTGGATGAACCTTGTTTTCGAAGAACAGTAGAAGGTAATTTTCCTGTGCTTGCCAGCTGGCCTGTAATTGAGCAATTTCAGTAACACCCACTGTAAAGTCTAATTGAAGTAAACAGGAAAACATGATTTACAATCTGGACAGCAAGTAAATACCAGGGTGCAATTAATTTTTACACAGAGCAGCAGATTCTAAAACATTTTCCTGTGTTGAGCAGTTTGTTTCTGATTACAGATTGGAAGCTGCTTTTCTATTTAATACTGTTATCATGATTATTTTTTACTTTTTGATGGTGATCTTCAGGTTCCTTGTATCTGTGTGACTTTCTTTGAAGGTTTAGCCACATGGGGAAATAGAATCAGAGACATGAGTTTATAAGGAGGGATTTTTCAAACCTGAACTGAAGGCCGCACTCTTTCTTCATTTGTTTGGTGGGAAATGATGGTGGGTTATCGGAGAGGGGCTGCGGATAGGCTGTGCAGAATGGCGATGCTGAGTGGGTCCCATCACTGCTGGAAGCTCAGTTTAGTTCATTCTGGGGAAGATGACAAAACTGTGAAGGCCTCCAGTGTTGCAAAGATGTTGATGTTGAAATGTGGCACTTCCAAGGACCAGAAATGTATGCCTTTTTTTGGGGGCGGGGTGGGGACGGAGTTTCACTCTTGTTGCCCCAACCTGGAGTGCCGTGGTGCAATCTTGGCTCACTGCAACCTCTGCCTCCCAGGTTCAAGCGATTCTCCTGCCTCAGCCTTACATGTAGCTGCAATTATAGGTGCACGCCACCAAGCCCAGCTAATTTTTTGTATTTTTAGTAGAGATGGGGTTTCACCATGTTGACCGGGCTGGTCTCGAACTCCTGACCTCAGGTGATCCACCTGCCTAAGCTTCCTGAAGTGCTGGGATTACAGGCATGAGCCACCGTGCCTGGCCAAATGTATGCCTTTTTAAATGGACCCTACTGATTGTTCCATTAGCTTCTGTTCATAACTGGTTGGAGAAGGGAGCCAGCATGCTGACTGCTGGTCCCTTGCTGCCAGTTGGCTGCCTGAGGGCCGACCCCTTTGGTGTTGGATGCGGGGCTGAGGCATGTTCTGACCCTTGGCCTACTTTAATGTATCCTGGTGTGTGCTGAAGCTGCCTGTAGAGCCAGCTTAGTGGTAAGATGTCACATGACTTGAGTATGCTGCAGGGACAGCAGATTGTTAGCCACCCAGACCCTGAGATAGATCTTAAAGGTATCATGCGGCTGGACCCCAATTTGTTGTTCTATCCACCAGGCCATTTTACAAGTGAGGCAGCCCAAGGCTGGCATGGCAGGGGTGGGCGGGGGGACTCTGAGAAGGTAACTCTGGGCCTTGGTGACTCTCCCAGAGTGCATCTCCTTTAGCAGAGAGGTGGTTCCAGTCCCCTGGGATTTCCAGTACTGTGGGAGGGGTGACTCTCAGGGCCCTCGTCTTTCTTAGTCCTGAATCTTTTTGCTTTTCTTTTGTCTTTCCAGGGAGTTGACCACATTTGGCCATTTCCCAGAAGGGCCCCACCCCAAGGGTGAGTGGCCAATGGGGAGCTGTTTCTGCTGACATCAATTCCCCAGGAGGTACTCACCCCAAGTCTGCCCAAGTGAAGATGGCTGATACCCACCCTGGGATGGAGCCCAGCGCCTGAGGCCCTTATCATGGTGATGGTCCTAAGTGAAAGCCTCAGCACCCGGGGAGCTGACTCCATTGCATGTGGGACCTTCAGCCGTGAACTGGTGAGGACCTGGCAGGCTTCCTGCTTTCCATGACCATTTCTGAGGCCTGATGTACAGACAGGGCTGTGGACTGAGCACCTAAGCTTAGCAAATCGAGTCCAGAGTCCCCAAGAGCAAAGCTCTGTGAGGCGTCCCGGGCTGGGGCAACAGGGCACAGGAGCAGAGCTTGACTGAGAACTTGCTGGAAGGAAGGAACTCAGCTCAGATTTGAGGTCATCTGGTGAATGAGGAGGGGAGGCCATCCCCTGGTAAATAACAGCAAGTGTGATTCTGCCGCCTGCCAAGCCAGGATTGACATTCCTTCTGTCTCCACCCATTAAGGGGGGGTGGTTTCCAGAGGGGGTTGGTGCCCTGAATGGAGGCCCAGATAAGCCTGTCCCTCTGAAGGGTGGTGCTGCCTCAGGAACGTCGAGAGTGGGAGATGATGGGGAAAGAAGGTGTGGTGAGCTATGGCAACAGCCACCCTCTGCCAAAGGTGGTTCACCCTGGACCACCCTGGACCACTTGGTGGACTAGCGCAGAGAGGTAGCTAACTCGGCCTTCTTAGACTACGAGCAAAACAACCTCCAGTAGCTGAACCCTGTCAGCAGACCTGTCCTTCCAAGCCCAGTTCCTCAGATGTGAGTGCAGGCTGCTCCCCTGTGGAGGGAGCGAGAAGCCACACTCAGTCATAAGCAGTCTTGTGGAGATGGGCAAGTCCTCAGAACTCTCTGCAGCTTCCGTGATCAGGAAGGGGCCAACTGCCCAGGGTCACCTTGCCCAGGACCCCTCCTGGCGCCCTTCACGGCTCCTCGTGAGGACCCACGCCAAGCCTCCTTGGTGGGCCCCTTCCCCTAGCTCATGCCAGTGAAACCAGACCTTGAGCAGATAGACCTAGGTCTCTGGCTGTGGCAGGAGCTTGGGAAAGCCACCGAGATCTGTATTCTTTCCGCAGGCCTCACAGAGCGCCTTCCGTGTGTTGGGCACCAGGCTGGAGGAGTTCAGGGAACAGGATGAGCTGGAGCCAGGCCCTGTACTCCTCACCCTTGAGAAGCTCGTGGTCTAGAGGGAGGGTGTCTGGAGAGCTGTGAATACAGTGACACTTGAGGATCCCATGACTAAGAACTCGCAGCTGAAGCCCATGGGAAGCCCAGGGCTTGTAGAGGAGCAGGGCCAGCCTGGCTGTAGCACGCCAGGGAAAGCCTTGCGGAGCAGGGATACTTGATTTGGCCTTGAAGGGTGAGAAGAAGTGGCTTAGAAACCGTTGGGTCCAGCCTCCTTGTTTTACAAATGAGGCAGCTGCAACCTGGAGCAGGCAGTAACTGCCTCACTGGCTCCGCCTCCGCCTTCCCTCCTGCCCCTCTAGCCCCACTTCCTGGGCCTGCATTCAGGCCTCTGCCTGTTGCCTGGTGTCTGGACGCCAGTCTTGGTGGCCCTCCCTCAGTCAGGTCTCTTCAGCCCTTACCAGATGTGACACTGGTGCCACTCTGCTCATGGGCCTCAGCCTGTGAGGTCTCCATGGGGTGTCACCCCCAGCTGCAAGGATAGGGACTCAGCTTTGCTCCTCCCCATGTCCCCAGCACTACTGAGGCAGGGCAGACAGCAGGCACCTGAGGTGTGTTTGCTCGATGGCAGCCTTGGTCACTGCAGCGAGGAGTAGAGCTGCTGTGACCATTCAGCTCTTCTGCTACCACCCCATCCTTTCCAGTTCACATTTGCTGTGTGATGTGATTACTTCTCACCAGCCCCGCTGCCACCACCCTGGTTCCACCTGCTGTTCTCTCGCAAGGATTCTTGTGGTAACTGGTCCCCTGCCTCTGGCTCTTTTTAACCTGTTCTCCACCCAGCAGCCAGAGAGAATCCCAGTCAGAGCTGTCCTTCTCTGTGTAGCAGCTTCCACTGGCTTTACACTGAATGCTTAGCAAACACCCAGCCCTTACTAGGATGTACATGGCCCCATATATTCTTGTCCATGTGACTGCTTTGACCTCATCTCTGCCACTCTGCCCCCTCTGCTCGGTCCCCACTGGCCTCCCTATTCCAATATGCCAAGCGTGAGCCTGCCTCAGGCCTTTGCACTTTTTCCTTGGCCTGGAGCCCTCTCCCCACAGTAGGACATACTCCCTCCCTCCTTCCTTCTCTGGCTACTCAACCTACAGTTCAGTCCCAGCGCCAGCGCCCACCCCTTACCCCCACCACACTTTCTCTCCTCTTTTCCTTTTTCCCTCTTGGGCACTTAGCACTTTTAAACATGTCCCTGTGGATCTTGACCGAGTCCTTATACTAGAATGGGAGCTTTGAGAAAGCAGAGGATGTCTCTCTTACTTGTTGTTGAATGCACGGGGCCCAGCCCGTGGCAGGTGCTCAGTGGATGTTTGTGGATGGATGAGCTTGCAGGTTCCTGTCACCTGGCCTCTTCTCATTCACCATTGTCTTACTCTCTCTCTGGCTGCTGCTCCAGTTCACGACTGAGTGGGTGCGACTAGAGTAGCTCTGACCAAAAAGAAGGGACCTCAAGGGTGAGGAGCCATCTGGAGGTCCCGAGGGAGGAGCCCTACCCGGGTCCAGCTGTGCAGTTGGCTGCAGTGGCCGCCTCTGTGCTTGGTCCCTTCTCAGGGTGGGACTGCCTGGTGTTGGCTTCAGAGTTGGTTCCAGGACATGTGGGCCCAAGGTCAGCTGAGCTGCTCTTCCAAGAGGTGTGGCCTGAGCCCCTGCCAGGAGGAGCACGGCCTCCCAGCCCTGGCCAGGGAAGGAAAACTCATCTCAGAAAGGGAAAGCAGTCAGGGGAGAGCAGGCGGCTTTGCTGGAAGGGATTCTACCATGTGTTCTCTTGTGGCCACACAGATTAGAATCTGTGCTTTCTTCCTGAACTCTCCTTGCTTTGTTGGAAAGTATCCTTCTTTCTGCTGCTTTTTGTTACTGGCCTGTCCGGGCCCAGAACCACCCAGTGTGCAGTGCTTTGGGTCCATCTGTGGTCTTCCTCCTCCTCTTCTCTCCCCTTGGCTCCAGATGAGAGGTCTGTTGTGGGGAGCAGCCCTGTTGGAGATGGGCTTTCTCATTGCTCAGTTTGCTTATGCGCCCAGAACACATTGACTGGGCGTCAGTGCCTGGCCCGGCCTGGCTCAGCGCTGCCTGCGCTATAGCGTGGGCCAGCAGGAAGGTGTTGGAGGTGCAGCTACACTGAGGGTCTTGGGAAGTGTGTTAGTTCATATCATGTTGCTATGAGGAATACCTGAGGCTGGGTAATTTATAAAGAAAAGAGATTTACTTGGCTTATGGTTCTGCAGGCTGTATAAGAAGTATGGCACCGGCCAGGCATGGTGGCTCACGCCGGTAATCCCAGCACTTTGGGAGGCTGAAGAGGGCGGATCACGAGGTCAGGAGATCAAGACCATCCTGGCTAATATGGTGAAGCCCCGTCTCTGCTAAAAATACAAAAAATTAGCTGAGTGTGGTGGCAGGCGGGCGCCTGTAGTCCCAGCTACTTGGGAGGCTGAGGCAGGAGAATGGCTCGAACCTGGGAGGCGGAGCTTGCAGTGAGCCGATATCACAGCACTACCGCACTCCAGCCTGGGCGACAGAGTGAGACTGTGTCTCCAAAAAAAAAAGTATGGCACCTGCATCTGTTTCTAGTAAGGCCTCACGAAGCTTCCAGTCATGGCAGAAGGTGAGGGGAGAATAAGTGTGTCACGAGGTGAGAGAGGGAGCAAGAGGGAAGGGAGGAGGTGCCAGACCTGTTAAACTACCAGCCCTCACATGAACTAGAAGAGCGAGGACTCCCTGATCACCATGGGGAGGCCACCAAGCCATTCATGAGGGATCCGCTCCCATGACCCAAACACCCCCCACCAGGCCCCGCCTCCAGCATTGGGGGTTACATTTCAACATGAGATTTGGAGGGGACGAACATCCAAACTGTATGCCCAGAGGTCCAGGTACCTCCTCCCTGTCCTTGAGCCTCATGCCACCTGCTGAGGGGCAGGGGTGCACCCATTTCTACCCCATTATACAGGAAGGAAACTGTGGCTCAGAGAGCCCAGGGAGGGGCTGCCCTGGTCACAGATTTCAAGTCCAGGCCCTTGTCTGCTTCCCCCAGCACCTTCTCGCATGGGCCCTGTTCCAGAGGCTGTGATCGCCTTGGAGCCCCTCCAGGCCTTGGGGAGAGACACACGATGTAAATAACTGAAGAAATACTGAAAATAATCTTAGTCTAGTGATGACATCCACGGGACAGAATGTGAGATAAGCTGATGCTAGCATTTGCTTTGAACAGCCAGCAAAGGTTCAGAGGAAGTTGACGGGGTTTTGCTTTAGCTTCCTAAACTGGTAACATCATCCCCGTGTAAATACCATCAAGATAACAACAGGAACGATGGAAAATAATTTTTCTTTTGTTTTCTAATCAGACTAAGAAGATAACAAGTGGAGGTTTAAGATTTTAAAGGAAAGCATGACTGTGGGGGAGGCCGGGACTGGTATCAGCATAGGCCACTTTGGAATTATGGGAGCAGGCCCCAGAGGCGCAGCTCACCCTGGGTCCCCAGAGTCAGGCCTTAGTCACAGAGCGGGAAAGTCTCAATGTGCAAGGGAAAGTCACCAGGGTCCTCGCAACCCTGGGTGTCATGTGGCACTGGAGGAGGAGCTCGTGGCCAATTCTGAGGCCTGTTGAGGGGTGTGAGGACTCGGTCTCCCTCCCAGCCTTCTTAGGGGTTCATGCCATGGTTCTGGTTCCCCTGTTTTAAAAAACTAAATGCTGGTGAAACAACTGTCTTTCCCTCAAAGAAAGATGTGGGAAAAAGGGAAAAAAAGGACTGACCAGTGCTCAGCATTTTGCCTTTCCCAGCACAGGGCCCACCTGCCTGGGGGGAGATGGCCCTGAGGCTCAGCTGTGCCCATGGCCCTGGCTTCGCTTGCACTGCCGGCAGCCATGGCTGGGTCCAGTTCCCCTTTCCCCCACTCTGGCCAGTGCCTTCCTCTGCTGAGTGGGCTCTTCCTTCCAGTGTTCTAACATTAGCTGCTCCCCTGGAAGGCAGCCCAGACGTTTGACCTTGGAGCACTGTGCTCCCTCAGCTCCTTCCCGCACGCCCACACTCAGGCCAAGGGCCTGTTCTTTTGTTTCCAGAGTGACCACCTCCCTTGGCCAGGCCCGCTCTTCTTTCTGCAGCCCATCCTCCCTTAAGGCTGAAGACCAAAGGGAGCTGGTGGCTGGCTGCTCCTGGGCAGAGGGCAGCATGGAGCTCCAGGCTGCCTGACTTTCCACGTAACAACCAATACTTGTCCTTTGGAGGGGCTGATCTGGTAGCTAGAACAAGCACTTCCTTCTGTACTTGTCAGATTAGGATGCCAAGGCTAAATGACTTTTCTTACCTGAGGAGTTAGTGGCCATGTCAGGCCTTGCACCCAGTTGCCTGGGCACTGGGGTTCTTCATACTTCGGGCCATGCTAAGTTGGCACTTTGAGCTCAACAGCCCCAGCCAGGATCTCTGGCAGGCCCCAGGCTGGCCTGAAGTTAGAATGTGGGAGTGCACAGGGTCCAGGGCAGCCTGATGCCTTTCACCCTGGGCAGGCAGAGATACCAAGGGGCCTGCCCATGCTTTGGCTAATCCCAGAGCCTCAGGAGTCAGGGCCAGCGTATCTCTATCCGCATCTTTGAGAGTCTTCACACAAAGGTGCTGTTCCCTCCTCAGCTTCTCTTTCTTGTCTCAGGCCTGGATCTCCTTTTTGCTTTCGACTGCCACGGTCTCGCGGGGTTGCATTTCGGAAGTGTGGGTGCTCCACTCGTTCCCCCGCAGGGCATGAGCGCGAGCCTCCCCCTGTTGCTCTGTGGCTCCCTGTAACACCGTGTCAGGAGATGGAAAAGGTGATTTGATTTCTTTAGTGGATAATGTGCAGAGCAAAGTTACCAAGAACCGTGGTTGTGGCCTGGCATTTTCTGCAGGGCCAGTTCCTCATTTGGAGCCTTAATTGTGTCTTTATTTAAGCCAGGGCTGCTTTCTTTAGTCAGACAGATGGCCCTGAAGCCTCCATTTGATTTCCAGCTTTTGCCTTTCCTACGAGGATCTAATTCCAAAAACCTTCTCTCGTGATCTGAGGAGTCTCACAGAGACGAGGCCCTGCCCCGGCGTGGGCTCGGGAACAGAGGCTTCACGGTGGGAGAAGCACAAAGGGGAAATGTGCTCTGGTCTTATTTCACTGCAGACCTCAGCTAGGGCTCGGGTGCTCGCAGAGTGCAGACACTGAGTGTCTTGTGAAACCTCAGAGGGCCGAGGGGTTCCCTCGGCCTGGTGGGGCCTCCACACCGTGATTGGCTCATTCTTCCCACTGTGGGTGCAGGAGGTTCAAAGTGTTGGAAAGGCCGTGTGTATAGGAATGGTAAATACCAGTGGGAATGTTAGCATATACTGGGAAGCCTGGGGAAAAAAAGGCCCTGGCCAACCTAGAGCCAAGCAGGAACTCTGCTGGTTTGCCCATGTGGAGTTGGACCAGGGAAACCTGCCAGCGGTCAGGGTACACTGGGGCCTGGCACCCTGGAAAGCTGTCAGTACATGACATTCTGGCCTGGCCGCCACTGGCTTAGCCTCACGGATGGGGCTCAGAAAGCAAGATGGGCCGTGATCTGGTCTTGAGGTCAAGCACGAAATCAGTCAGGGTTCCTCCTTTGTCAGCACCAGAGGCCATCTCCAGCTAACTCACCCCGAAAGAGAACTCCCTGAAGCACAGGGCGAGCTCGCAGGGCTGGAGAGGAGGGGGCCAGTCGGGCCTCAGAAAGGGCAGGGTGGGAGCAGCTGGGAGGACTTTAGAAGCAGGTGCTCACGGGCAGGCTGAGGGCCTCCTTCCTGGGCGGATCAGCCCCAGCTCTGTGGTTCAGGAGTCAGCCATGGAACCAGTGTCTGGTCAGCCAGGCTTGAGTTCTGGGCCTAGCCTGGGGCCAGGGGAGGTGGAGGCACCTTGGTTGACAGTCCCACTAAGACATGATCCAGTGACGATGAAGGTATCCCAATTCAGAATTGGGGTGCTGCTGACAGAAGAAGGGGGCCGCACCACTGGGCTGCGCGGTTTCATCTGTTCAGTGAGGAGCAAGCAGTGGCTTGCCCGGGGTGGGGAAATGGAGAAGTCGTTCTTTCGAGTTAGAAAATCATAGTGTGCACCATTGCTGGTTCATGGGAACCCTTAGGTAGAGTGTTGGAGACCGGCATGAGGAGGCCAGGCTAGCCTGCAGGGCGGCTCTGACACTCAGGCTGGCCTCTCAGCCCTTCCCCACTGAGGTTTGACTTTGCGTGAGGCCAGCGATTTTGGGAGACAGTGACTTCTGCCCAGTGAAAATCCACTTCCGTTGCCTGACATCCACTGGGTGTGTGGCTGCAGGAGTGGGACAGGCTGGCGCTGACAGGTGGCTGTAGCCATGGTGCCTGCTGTCAGCTGGGATGTTGGAACCAAGACAGCCCTCCTTTCTCAAGAAGCTTCCGTTCCCATGGAGCAGAGAATCAGTACAGGAACAGATGTTCTGATACCTGCCATGTTCATTAAATGAGGCGATGGGAGAGAGAAAAGCAGGTGGGAGGCACCGCTTTAGCCAGGATGGTCCGGCAAGGCCACTGAGGAGGCCACAGGGCAGGAACAGTGCAAAGCCTGCTGCGTGAAGATCCCGGCACAAAGCCCCTGAGATGGTAGTGACTGGCCTGGCCCCACTGGGTGGTGTGAGTGAGGAGGGGAGGGCCAGAGCAAGGTTGGGGGTACTCAGGTTGGCTCATATGGGGCCCTGTAGGCTGTGGAGGAGAGGTAGTGGCCGGGATTTGATTCTGGTTGTGGTGGGAAGTTGTTGGAACAGAATGACGTGGTCTGATCTCTGCTTTAAGAAGATGGCTCTGGGTTCTGGATGGAGGGTGGGGAATGGGGGCCGAGGGTACAGGCTGTAAGAGCGGTTAGGAGGGGCGTTCACTGGGGCTGGCAGTGGCTGGGATCAGGGCCAATGGTGGGGTGGTGAGGAGTCAGTTTTCCAGGTTAGAAATGGCAGGCCACTCTGGGGACCTGCTGCAGATGCTGATAAGTCCTCATTGAATGAATGAATGAGCAAGTTGAGTGAATGTATGAACGAGTGCCTGGGGTGCTCTGTGTGCTGGCCCAGTGCTGCCTCTGTGGGCAGACAGACCCCAGCATCTCTGGCAGTGTTCCTTGCGAAGGCCTGGGTCAGGAGGGCCCTGAGGTCCCCCTTGGTCTAGAACATGCCAGCTTGGTGAGAGGCGGCCAGCAAGCACTGTTCTGCTGGCCAGGCAGGGGCGGCTCACTACGTGGCTTCCTGCTTTGGTGTGGAAAGCCCCAAGCCCTCCTGCATGCATGCCAGTGAAGCACGCGGGGTGCTTCAGTGTTCCTGTTCAATTCTGCTCTCCCCAGCCCCCATCCTGGTGTGGCCTCTCTGGCCTCCCACCCTGGGTTACCTTCTCCCACCTGGCAGGCACGGGCTGGGGGCCGGGGTTCCCCAGGGGGTAATTTCCTTGTGCCCAGGTGTTCCCTTAGTGCTGGGAGCTGCCTTCCTTGGCAAGCAAGACCCTGGCCTGACTTCCCTCTCTGAGCCTGCAAACTGGGCGCCTGCCTGGCGTCCACAGGCTGAGCTCTCAGCTGTGCAGGCAGTGCAGCCCCAGCAGCAGTGCTCTCATGCGCTTGTCATCCACTTGCCATTGGATGACTTCGGTGTGTTCTCAGCTGCACCTCTCAGCTGGGATTGTGTTGGGGGATGGGAGGAAGCAGGTGCAGCCATTTTGAATTCTTCCCAGATATTTCCACAGATGGCGGTAGAGGGGATGGTTACATCACTGTGGAATCCAGGAGGGTGACTGAGCCTGATGATACTGTTAGGATCATTTTAAACTGAGGAGGGCAACCTGTAGGAGGACTGCCCCGTTCCCCTTCCGCCCTAGAAGCTCCTGTGGTCCTCATCAAGTGTCTAAGCATCCCCCCCAGGAGGCTGCCCCGACCTCCACCCTCATCCCAGCACACTTGCCCTGGACATCCCCTCCAGCCCTGATCTCCCTGTGGTTTGTCTGTGACCGTCTTCCATGAAGAGTGAGCCCTCCTTCACCTCTGTGTCCCCAGGTTGGTCAGCATGGACCCTTAGTAACCCCGTGGGATGAACACGGCGTTGACCTTGTGCAGAGGTCCCTGGATTGGGTGGATGGGGATGAAGTGAGGGAGCTGGTGCCAGGTGCTTGCCGCCTTCTTACCTGGAGGGGCCAGGCGTTCCTAGTCAGCCCCATCCTCCTGCCAGGCCTTAAAGAGCCAGAACCTGGGCCCTTGTCCACTTACCAGCCTGGAAGTCTTGTCTGTTTGTGTCATTTTGATATGGGGAGTGTTCAGGGTTCCTTTTAGAAGTCAGAGCCTTCTGTGACAGGCTCATTTCTCTGGGGCTAAGAGCTCCTTTCATCATTGCATGATCAACCCCCAGCACAGCCCGCCTAGGAAGAATCACCAGCCCGTGCCCACTGAGCGAGTGGGCGAGTGAGTGAGGAAGCCTTGGAGCACTTGAGGCAGAGCTCCTTCCTGGGGCTCTGGCTGGGTAGTCTCTGCTCATGAGAGGACCGAGCGAGCCTCTTGACCTGGGTATCACCTAGCATGAGGAACCCCCAGAATATTCCACACCCAGCTTACTGTGTAGCCATGGAGCAAGTGCCCTGGATTTGGGGTTCTTCTAGGCCTCGTTGGCCTATTCTGCCTGGTGGCCATAGCATTCAGTTGAGGGTAGGCGGGGGGCATCAGGGAAGCTGTAGAATGTTTGCAGTGGAAAGGGAAACCATTGTGGAAATACAGGGCCAAGGAGTTCAAAAGCCATAGCTGTTATGTTGAGACCAAATATAACCCTTGAGTTTCTGTTTCAGTTCAGAGAAAATGCCTCAAGGGGACTCGATGTAGCCACAAAACAGTCTGCAGAGCAGACGCCAGCCCTTCCGAGCTCTCCCCATGCTTCTCACCAGAGCGGGAGAGCTGTTCTCCCTGGATCTGGAAGGGAGGGGTCTCGGAGTCGGACCTGGGGCCCTCTGCTCCCTACTTGAGGTTCTTCGTGTCCCCAGGGAGGTCCCCTCCTCTCTTGGTCTCTTCTCAGCCCAGCTCAGGGAAGCTTGTTCCACTGTTTACCATCCATCCTGCCCCCGGGCCGCCTCCACATCACTTATGTGGAAAAATCCCCTCGTGTCAGAAGTCGTGGGGCTTTCTGTGTGTTTTCAAAGCCCATTAACTCGATGGACTCCATAACTCACTAGAGACTTGGGACAAAAAATCTGGGCCTAATTTTGTGCAGATGTTTTCTCTTTGAATACCTTTTCCTCCTTTCCCTGATCTGACATTGGCAAAGGACAGTCACCCTTTTATTGTGACTTTAGAAGGGATCAGTAGAGTCAGTGCAAACATGCTTCCTATGATTTGAAGAGTGAATAGCTTTTCTGGTTGTTTTCAGCACACGCCAAAGAAGATGAGTCAAGGACCTACACTTTTCTCTTGTGGAATTATGGGTAAGTACTCAAGGCCATCCTGGAAGCTGTCCTCCTAGTCCTTCCAGCCAGGGTCTGAGTCCTCCAGGTGAGACACTCAAAGCACTTTCTGGACACAAGTTCAAAAAGAGCAGCCCCGGGACTCTTCTGTGTGTTTTAACTATTTTGGTCCCCTACGGTGCCTGAGTGAAGGGACAGGCACTGGTGTGTGGTTTACAACTCCAACATTGAGAATTTCTGTCTGATGATTAAAGTAATTCATGTTGATTTTTTTCATTCAGAAAATGCACAATAGTGTAAAGTATGCAATAAAAATCTCTCGTAGCCCCAATGCCCAGGGAGAGTTACTGTTGATATTTTTGTGTATGTTTATGTTCTTAGCATTTTTTATATAGCCCATTCCACGATGAACATATAATTATGTAAAACTATATTTGTTTGCTTTTTTCACTTGGAGTAGTTACCATCATCTTCCCACAGCATTAAAATTGTTCATTCCATGCATTTTAATGGTCTACAGTACCGCATTGGGTGGTAAATGTATCAGAATGTCTTTAGTGATGTAACTACATCTAGGCTGTTGGGTCAAGAGGCTGTTTTATTTGCTGTTGTGATGAACAGTGGCTAGGTAAGTGCCTAATTCTTTGTCTGCCTTTGTGATGATTTGCTAGGATAGTTTCCAGGAGTGGAATAGACAGGCTGGAGGGCAGGGACATTTTTAAGGCTCTTGATTCATTTTGCTGACATGCCTTCCAGAGAAGATTGCCTTGATCTTCTGTTTCTGTGCAAGTGTGAATTACTGTTTTTTATAGGCGGTAAAAAAGATGACCATTGATTACTTGATGCTTCAGATGATTGGGCATTGTTTGACCTCTCAGTGTCTCTCTGTGGCTCTCCTTGCCCACCTTTGGGGACGTCTTGCCGGATGAGTTTCTGTAACGTCTGCGTGGACTCAGAAACCACTCTCAGATGATAGATGATGATGACTGTGGGCTTTCAGATTCAAAGGTTACTTTGGTCAGACCTCAGAGTCTCCCTTGCCTTTCCTTCTCGGTCCTCCCTCCATGTGCGGTGTTTTGTTTTTCTTCTTCAGATACAGTTGCCATAGATGAGGTGATGTGTCAGATTGAGCACTGTGCCAGGCTCCTTACATGCTGGGCCCCGCTGGCTCTGCCAGTGGCATCATTCACATACGGGAGAACTGAGGTCTAGTGAGGTGGCCCTCTGCAAGGTCCCTCAGTAAGCGGAGTTGGACTCAGGTGGGTGACGAAGGGAGACTGTTTTCTTCTCAACCACCTGCCATGGCTCTGGGACACCTGGCGGTGCTCTTGATGCTGCCACTGAAGAAGATGGAGACAGGGAGATCAGCTGGCCCTGGTTTTCCATGTGACATACTTGGGAGGCCCGTCCCCACAGGATTGAATACCTCCCCGGTGGTTTACAGCTTTCAGCAAACCCTCAGGGCCCCAGACACATAGCTCAGAAGCCTGCCTCCTCGCCTGCTTCCTGGGACAACCTCACCTTTGCGCTTCCTTCCTGCGTCATGCTGGGAAAGAGAGAGGCCCCGGCATGCCCAGCCCCTCAACCCTGCCTAGGCTTTAGCTGTCAACCGGGCCAGACCAGTAAACTGGGTTGTGGAGATGTTGGTCTTTATTTCAAGGATTTCTAGTCTTTGCACTGTGTAAGTTATAATAAGGTGGAAGTCTGGTGGGTTTGTGATGACAGAGAGAGTCGCCCTTGTAGGGCCAGGTCTTGAGGCCCAGAGACCAAGGCAGAGGCCCCGGAGAAGGGAGGTGTGTGGGAAAAAGTCCAGATGGCCCAGGAGAGTCTATCGGAGGCTGCAGAGCCCAGCAACCTGCTTTCTACCGGGGAGGCCATGGTTTCCAGGAGGGACTACGCTGTGTCTGCAGACTCCTGTTTACAGAGTGGCTCTTTAGGAAGTGCTGGCTGGGTCCCAATGCCTCCGTCCCAGGCTCTTCTCCTCTTCAGCAGGGTCCTGTCTTCCTTCTGCTCTGTGGGACAGTGCCAGGGCACTGCCAGGCAGCAGAGGGAGAAGCGGGGAGCCGTTGTACTGGTGGGAGGTCTGTGGAGTCCCCTTGTTCTCCTCTGCTGCTCTCTCTCCATGGGTCTCATCTTTCTGTTGGTCGGCCCCTCCCTAATTCAGGAAAACCCTGACCTGCATGGCTGTGCATCACTGACGTGTTTCACTGACTGCAGTTTGTTTTCATTTTCAGTGGCTTGCTGTCATAGATATGACTTGAGCACCTGCTGTGTGTCAGGCACCTGGTGAGGGATAGAGTGAATCAGACCCTGCCCCTTCTCTCAGGGAGCTTTCTGTCTGGTGGAGGAGAAAGATCAACGAACAGTGAATTCTGCACTGCTTAGGCCAACTCCCGTGAGATGTGGAGGCCCTTGAGCTATGGGGATACCACCCCATCTTCCCGGCTAGGTTTCCTCAGTTTGCAAGTTGTGAGGATTTAAGGAGACGGCCACACACTAGCACACATCCTCCCTCCCACCTCTATCCCTTTCCTGCGCTTGCTGGAGCGGAGCGGGTGTCAGCAGTCAGGAGCCTTACCCCGTGCACTCTGTCTAGTGGAAGCTCAGGTTACCTCTCCAGTCCTCCGTGTGCTCCATGAACTGGGAGTGCACTCCACCCAGGCAGCGAGATTTCATCTGAGGTGTGCCTGCTTTTCTTTTTTTTTTTTTTTTGAGACAGAGTCTCACTGTCGCCAGGCTGGAGGGCAGTGGTGTGATCTTGGCCCACGGCAACGTCCGCCTCCCAGGTTCAAGCAGTTCTCCTGCCTCAGCCTCCTAAGTAGCTGGGATTACAAGCGTGTGCCACCACGCCCAGCTAATTTTTGTATTTTTAGTAGAGACGGGGTTTCACCATGTTGGCCAGGATGGTCTTGATTTCCTGACCTCGTGATCCGCCTGCCTCAGCCTCACAAAGTGCTGGGATTACAGGCGTGAGCCACCGCGCCCGGCGTGCCTGCTTTTCAACAGTGGGGAAGAGAATACTCTGAGGGGCCGGCTAGACTTTTCAAGAGGGTTTTGGGCCCTTCCAGCGCTGGACAATGCTGTGCGAAGATAAAACACCAAATTATCATAATCACCAACCCCCAGCCTGTCTCCTGAAGATAAAGGACTCATGTTCTGGTGCTGATCAGTGGAATTCTCCCATGAGAGCTGGGGACAGTTGGCCCTGTGACTCAGGATTTTTTCCTCCTGAGCCCCCATGCCAGGGTCCTCGCTGGGAGCCAGTATGAGTTCAAGTTTCACAAATGTTCTGCAGAAAATCTGGGCAAGTGCAGTAGAGCAAGGAGCACAGCACCCTGGTCACTTTTTAAAATGCCACCCTTTCAAGTAGCTCAGCCTCCTCTGCACCCACTTAGATAAAACACATAACTAATATAAATTGAGTGTTCACAACAATGCCTTTTTTTTTTTTTTTTTTTTTTTTTGAGATGGAGTATCGCTCTGTCTCCTAGGCTGGAGTGCAGTGGCGCATTCTTGTCTCAGGGCAACCTCCGCCTCCTGGGTTCAAGCGATTCTTCTGCCTCAGCCTCCCGAGTAGCTGGAATTATAGGTGTCTGCCACCATGCCCGGCTAATTTTTGTATTTTTAGTAGAGATGGGGTTTCACCATGTTGGTCAGGCTGGTCTCGAACTCTTGACCTCAGGTGATCCACCCGCCTCAGCCTCCCAAAGTGCTGGGATTACAGGCATGAGCCACCGCGCCTGGCCTATGCTTTTTATTTATTTATTTATTTATTTTAATTAAAAGCACTTCACGCCCTGTGATTGCAAGCTGGATACCGGGCCCCTCCCCACTCTTGTCCCCTACCCCAGTTTAGGAACTTGATACAGATAAGTGGTTTTGTTCTTCTCAGTGTGGAAGAGAGAACAAAGCCAGCGTGAAGCGTGGGTGGGAGAAGCAGATAGGGTAGAGCTGAGTGCTGCCCAGCCAGCCCTGCACCAGGGCTCAGTGCCCCTTATTAGGGTGCCAGCTCAGCCGCCACCACAGGGCTCCTGCCAGCGGAGGCTGTTTTGACTCTTGGCTTCCTTTCTCATCTTCCAGAGCATCCCCAGTCCACCTTCTTTGCTGAAATGGAATTTCCTCTACAAAGCTTCTCTGGGAAAGAGCCATTTATATGACTGGTTCTTGTGCTCTCGACACAGGAAACATGGGTCAGGTGGCAGCTCCGTGGTGCGGCCCACCCCCTGGTCAGCCGGCTGGGTGAGGGAGCCAGCCCTTGCTCCTGGCTCTCATTTCTAGTGGGTACAAAGAGGGGCCTGGGCTGTGGCTGAGAGTCATCCTGTGTGGGGAGAAGCGGGGCCACGCGTGGACTCTCAGTCAAGGCTCCCTCCACATCTTCTCCCACTTGCAGTGGGGGACCCAGGGTCACACGTGTACTAGTTTGATCTTTTTTGGTGAAACAGGGCAAGTGGAGTGAGCGCAGTCTCCATTCACCACCCTTGGCTAATTGCAGCCATTCAGTGCATTTGTATTGCAGGGACAATGGACACCACACATTCCATTTTCCTCAGCACTCAGGCGAGGAGGAGACCTGGAAATCACATCATATGTAAGAAAGCGAAGGCAATACCAATTATTTTAAAAAGGCTACTAGGAAAAGTCTTGTAAATACAAGTCAATGGACAGAACAAAACAATTCATATGCTAAAAAAAATTGGATGGAAACCCATAATTACTTTAGGAGTTATGGTAATAAATTATTTATTAATGTAAATTATTTCACAGGCAAAGAACATACAGGAAACTTGAGCAGAAGGATCATACATTATGTATAAAAAGGAATTGTAAAAATATTATAGCAGCCCTCCTTGTGCCGCCCCAGTTCAGGTTTGTCCGCATTTTAATTATAAGCCCTTACTTTCAGGGTTTAATTACTTGGCTGTTAAAGTCTACTCTGTACATAAAAGGGTTGTTCCCTGGGGCACTCTCTGTATTAATTTCTACAGGGTAAACCAGTTGGCTGTGTTGAGCTGGGGAGGACTAAGAGATTTTGCTTTGAGATTTGGTAGCTTTTGGTCTTTAAACTCAGCCACTGTTTGTCATGGAAAGTGGAAAATGATTGCGCATTGCAGGAAAAGCGTGGCCCTCAGAGCTTGAGTGCTTTTGATTCTTAGAACAAATAAACGAAGAATCAAAATGAGTGACAGCAATAACAAAATCAGAGCTTCTCAGGCCCAATTTTTGGTCTCTGCCACTTTTTCTCTTTTGCAGAGACAGCCATTTTGAATGTGATCTTTGGGCCAGGTCCTCCAGTAAGAGACTGCTCATTAACCAGTGTAGGCTAGAATGAGATTTGTTTTCATTGAAAAAAAATTACATCCATATGTAAGTATGTATATATATATGACTTTTTAGGGTTTGCTTTATTATTTTTATTTTTATTATGGTCATATGTGTGATTTTTAAAAATCTCTAAAATAGTTTGTCCATAAAGGGTATGTAAATTCTTCCTTGTACCATTCATTGGTTTCAGGCAGTTTTTCAGGAATAATAAAGCACAGAATGGAAGTAGATGTAAAATGTGGTTGGCACATGGTAACTGTTGCCAGTGACGAGTGAAGACAGAGCTTCCCAGGGCTGCCTTCTTACCCAGGTTGGGCTCACCTGATGGGGAGGGGACCACAATAGTGCCAGAGGACAGGGAATGGCCACTGCCAGCCTGTCTGGGTGCCATGCCTTCCACATGAAGAAATGGTCAAGTTAGGCAGCCTGGCCCAACTGCAAGAGCATGACCTTGGGTCTACAGACTAGGTTGACGTCTGGGCTCTGTCATTTGCTGGATGTGTGTCCATGGGGGAGATGTGACATCGTTCTGAAGCCCAGTTTCCCCCATCAGTCAGATGGAGATTGCTGTGACAACCCATGAGATGAGTCACGTGCTTGGGATGCACATTCATGCTCTTTCTCAGCTTCAGCAAGGACCCTATTGGAGTGTTAGCTGATTAACAGTAAATATGCATTTATTGACAGTTTCGTGAAAAGCTCTGCCTGTCGCCAGTTCCCTCGTCGGTTTAATGGCGCCCCGCTTTGCTGTGTACATCAGTTAAGAGATGCATCACCAGCAGCTGCCCGTTTCACTTGCTCTGTGCACACCCACAATCAGGATGGAAATCCAGAGGAGATGGACCAAACTGACCTTGTTGTCCCTTCAGAGTTCTTGTTGCCAGTGCAAATACTAGCTGTTCCCTGTACATTTATGAACGCCTGTGGGAGCTGAGGGGTAGAATAGGAAGTCCTGGTCAGACCCAAAAGGGCTGTCACAAGACCCTAGTCTACCCAGCCTTGTGCAGATGGTGAGATTGAGGCCCCTCTTCCCAGTGCCCCATCTGGTGTGGTTTTTAACTGTGAGGATCTCACTGGGCATCTTTTTGTAAGAGCAAAGACTTCCCAGAAGCAGTGGCAGCTGCCATGGGCCACCCCAACTCTGCTGGTAAGGGCAGGGCCCTGGTAATGGCTCTGAACCCCGATCTTTGTCCTTAGTAGCTTCTTTGTCACCTCCCAGAGTCCTGCAGACCCGCCTGCCTTCTTCCTTGGATGTGGGGCCTGATGGTGCATTACCTCTAGCCATCGGAATCCCTTGTTCCTTGTGCCTTGTGTGAGGAACTTGGTGTCCTGTGTTGCTGTCCCCGAATCCAAGACACAGCTGCCATTTTACAGTCCATCCCAGGTGCGTGGGCAGGACCTGAAGCTGAGGCCTGGCAGGCAAAGCCCGAGGACTTTTTGTTCCTGACACTGCTCTGAACTGAGTCTCCTTCTGGTCATACAGGCAAAGAGACTCTCCAGGGAGCCAGAGGCTCTAAAGTCCATTTAAAAACAGATGAGACGATTGTGGGGGAGCTCATGTCATTGCCCTGCTTGTGTCCCCCCCACCCCCATGTTCTTTTCGTAAGATCAGTTTAGCAAAACCGCCTTCAGAAAGACACCTCGGCTCTCTTGATTTTCCCATTGATGGGTTGGTGAGCTTCTCCCCAAACCAAGCATAGAATCTTTGTGGCCCTGAGGCCAAGTTAGCACAACCCAACCTACAGGGCAGGGGAGAGATACTCATTGTCAGCACAAGTAGATAGGTGTGAAATGTAAGAATGAGTCAGCTGGTTGTGATCTGACAGCAGGCTTGCTAATCGGGGCATTTCGTATCTTGGTCTGTACTTGAGGTGCTTAACCTTTTCTGGAAACCACATTCTGTACTTATGTGACCATAAGGCACCATCGAAAACATAGCACAGAGCTCTCTAGGGCTATAAAGCTCCTCTATCTTTTGAAAATATGAAGGTTTATAGTCCCCCAAGAATCTGGAGCCCTGGGAATTTTCCTTCAAATTTAAGGGTAGGAATGGAAATAAGAACATTTGAGGTCAAATGCCATTCGTATTCCTCTGAGTGTTTTTCTTGCTTCAAGCTCTAGGATCTGTGCACACAGCAGTCTTCTGCCCTTCTTAGTCAAACGGTGGCAGGACCAGAGCCTTGTGAGTGCGAATTTGGGAATTTGAGTCCTTGTCTCTGCATATGTAGGCAACTCATTCTCCTGTTCTTTGTGGCATAGTCAAAAGTCAGAAACTGCAAGCTCAGTCATCAAACCTCAGCTTTGGAAGAGACCTTGCTTACCTAGTCTGTCCAAGACTGTGAGAGAACTGGGCCCAGGGATGCTTGTGTGTTCACCCTCCCATCTGCAGGCAAAGGCTCTTGTGTGTTTACGCTACACACAAATGCACACGCTCTCGTGTGTATCATTTCAGACTTGTGAAGATAATGCTCAGTGGGGACGTGGAGAAGCTTTACATGCCCTAAAGGCTAAAGCAACAGGCGCAGCATAGAACTGAATGGGCTGGTGCCATGCTCTCAGGCTGTGGGCCATCGCGCTCTGCTCAGGTCTGCCAGGGGCTTGGTGTCAGGCTGCAGATGGATGGGGGGCCCTTCTGCGTATCTTTAGGACACAGCTGATGGGCCCTTGCGTGTTCTCAGGGAGAAAGTGGGAGGCTTCACACTCATCTTGTTCATAGGAGTGAGTTAGCTTCTAAGGCCTTTGCTAGTGGCTGTCCATCAAGAGCATGTTGTGTAGCTTGAGAAGGAAGCCCTGAGGGTCCCCATCCTGTCCTGTGAAACCTCTGATGGGTGAAGTGATCCTTCTCCATACTTCTTCCTGGAATTAGCCCAAACCAAAACATAAACACCAACTTTCAGTGTTGTTATGAATTCAAATTTGTAGAGACCAGAATTGTCAACCCTCCTGAAGCTTCTGGGCAGTGGTGCTGGATGGTCTGGATGGGCCGCCATTCGGACAGATGTTTGAGAACTCAGTTCTCCATGTCATCTGCTTTCCAGAACAGCATTTCTCAACATTTTTGCATTGAAATAACCTGGGGAGCTTATTAAGATGCAAATGCCTACCCAGAGAGACTCTGATTTACCAAGTCAGAGACGGGGTCTAGAAACCTGCATTTTAACAAACACCCCCAAAGGATGCTCCTGTAGGTGGCCCAGAAGTCACACTTTGAGAAATCCTAGTCAGAGAAGCCAGGTTTCCATTCCAGCCGGATTCCACAGAGGCTGGCACCCTGTTGCAG
This sequence comes from Homo sapiens, assembly GCF_000001405.40. Taxonomy (NCBI): domain Eukaryota; kingdom Metazoa; phylum Chordata; class Mammalia; order Primates; family Hominidae; genus Homo; species Homo sapiens. Next base: position 124,687,576 of record NC_000010.11, on the reverse strand, counting down.
CTCTGGCTGAGTCAAGCCTCAGCTAGGAGAGCGTTTTCCAGTACCGTTAATTATCCTTATGATGACTGCTGTTTTTGAGAGCCTACTCTATGCCCTGTATGAGATGCCTATTTAATTCTCATAATAGCTACGAGGAACTGAGTAACTTACAGAGCTGAGGTTTGAACCCAGGTCCTTGCCCTTTCCACTACACCAAGTGACTGTTGCTCAGTAGACTCCTACATCCATGACAATTGTGACTTGAAAGAGTTATAGTTGTTTGTGCAGAAGTGATATTGAATGGAGGGGGCGGGGGCACCCTGTATCCTCTTCTCGGAGGCCTACCGAGGCCCTTTGTATGGTGTGACGTCAGGGCCTAGCGCTTGGGGCAGTTTGCCATGAAAAATTAGCTTCTATTCCTGTTTCTTTTGTCTGGTGATCTGACCCAACAAATCGCTTTCTGTTCCCTGAGCGAATGGGGAAAACACAGGGCTAAACATAGCCTTGATTGTTTTTACTTTTCTCGTATTGTACTTCTCAAAGCGATAAAGATAGAAACAATTACAATATTATCTGCCTGCAGACTGAGCAAGTGGTCACCTGGCTGGTGTTGATACACAATAGCAGTGCTTTGCTTTTCCAAAGTATTTTAGACGTGACTCTGTCAACCCCATCTCCTTGCTGAGTCACACATGGCCACATGGCCCAGGTAGGGCAGACGGTTCAGGGCACAGTCCTGGTTGGACTTACCTGGCCAAGGAAGACTCACCTTTGCCAAGGACAAAAGACAGGTGAGTCCCAGAGAACACCGCATCCTCTTGTAGCTTTTATCTGCAGTTTGCAATCCACTACCTCATTCATGCACCACCAACTAAGGTCTGCTGTGTGCCCTGCTCTGTGCTAGGCACTGGGGAGCCACACTGGGGCTATGCTTGAGAGTCTGTGGCTTAGGAGGAGAAGTAGATGTGTACGCAGATCAGTAATTAAAGTTCAGGTACATACGTGCTGTACGATCACAGAGCTAGGAGAAAGGTGTATCTTCAGAGGAGCTTTGAGTTGGCTTTTTAAATGAGGAGACTCTTGGTGAAAGGAAGATAAAGGCAGGAAAAGAACGGTCCAGGCCTTTGCAAAGGTGTGGAATGTTCTTTGCAAAGGAGTGAAAGAGCTGATGTTTGGGGGAAGCTGCAACTTCTCTTCACAGTTAAAAACTGACTCTTCGAATCTTCCCTACGACAAAGAAATCTTATAGGCCTTAGAGGCTTACTCTGTAACACAGAAGGAGTAGGTCCTGTAGGAATTCATCACCCAGCTCTGATGCCCCTGGGTTTTGGTAGTTACCTCAAGGCCCAGCAAGCTGGACTTCCAGCCTTTCTGCATATAGATCTTATCTGTGCTTGTTCCTGCAGTCTAGTTATTAAACTTTAGTTTTATAAAGAATCGCTGGTGCATAAGAATTACCCTTTTGGGTTGTCTACACAAAGCTGGGGGGAGGAGTTGTACTTTGTGGGCTGGTTCAGGAATTCTTCAAGGATGGTTTTGACTCTATATGATTCTTTTCTGACCTCCACTGTCGTAGGAGGTTTGATACCTGGAGTGTAGGGTTTGTTGTGGGGAATGATGTGGAGATGGGCCCGGGTGCCAGTCTGAAATGCTTGTCTTCTTTCCCGGAAACAGTGGCTGACAGCTGAAGCGAATGGGCCACAATAGGTGGGGGCTTCAGAAAGTTCTCTAGAGGCAGTGAGGAGGTAGGCCTGGAGTAGGGAGGCCCTGAGGGGTCCCTTCAAGAAGCACCAAGATCGCAGGCTGGCCATGGGAAAGGAAGGCAGATGGGAGGGATGGTGTGTTCCTATTTAGCTGGCTCCCGATTCCCCTTTTGGAAGTGATTTCCCTAGAGATGGGGAAGATTCCAGGCCAGTGGTGCAAAAATGGAACAGAAAATGGTATCCTCTGAGAGTGGGATCAACTCCTTTTCATGTCACGGGTTTCCCCGAGGCCTGGCGGAGACGCAGTCTGTAGTATGTCTCAGGCTCCGTGAGCACCGGCCACCCTCGCTGCTCTGTGCCAAGCCCATTGGTTTCTTCCTCAGCCGGCCACATTCCTGGCCCATCTGGTGCCTCAGTGCCTTGTCTCAAAAGAGAAGTTAGTGGCCAGCATTTTGTATGGCAACTTCCTGAAAACCCAGAGGAGCCAACCCAGCAGAGGGCGGGCTGTGGGCCCCCGCTCCGACCCTGGCTCACTTCCTGAGTTAAGCAAGGGCACAGCACCTGTGGGCTTGGCAGTCACATCCCCCACATATTCGATAATACATTTTTTCTCATAGGACATTTGGAGACTATAGAAGAACAAAAGAGAAAAAATAAATTAACCAACCAGCTGTCTGCCAATCCACTATTAACATTTCGGTTTATTTCTTTCTTACCTTTACATACAACAGACATATTTTGCTAAATAGGAATCACACCCTCTATACAGTTTTATATCCTGTTTCTTCATGCTCAGCTTTATATTGTTAGCATTTCCCCACATCATTTAATATTCTTTGAAACTCTGCTTCTTCATGCTCCATGTTATTCCTTGATAATTTATTTAACCGGCCCCTACTGTAAGACGTTTTAACTATGTTTACCATTTTGCTGTCACTCATCATTTTGATGAACATCATCATACATAAATCTTCACTTTTTTCTTAGGATAACTTTCTGTTTTCTTTTAAATCAGATAACTGGGATAGTTGTGACTGTGTCAACAAGAGTTTCTATTTCCTTTAATTTTACTTTATAGCTGGTCACGGTGGCTCATGCCTGTAATCCCAGCACTTTGGGAGGCCAAGGTGGGTGGATCACTTGAGGCCAGGAGTTTGAGACCAGCCTGGCCAACATGGTGAAACCCCATGTCTACAAAAAATACAAAAATTAGCTGGGCGTGTGGTACATGCCTGTAATCCCAGCTACTTAGGAGGCTGAGGCACCAGAATAGCTTGAATCTGGGAGGTGGAGGTTGCAGTGAGCTGAGATTATGCCACTGTACTCCAGCCTGGGCCACAGAGGCAGGTCCTGTCTCAAAAAAAAATTTTTTTTTACTGTATATTAGTTTATTGGACTTTCAACTGCTGACCAGTGTCAAGTTGAAACTGATTTAATAGAATGGTGAATACCCAAAGGGAATGGTTTCCTTGGTGGTGAAGCATGTTTGAACAACCTAAAGCAACTTGCAGGAAGAGGTACTTTGGATGATTTTTGGACGTAATTGATCCAATCCAGTTGGAGGAGCAGATATTGAGACCTGCTGTGTTCAGGCCCTGGGAAATTTCAGAGATGAGATGAACGATGTATGATGAAGAAATTGGATGTTTAGCGACAGTCTTGCTTTGTTGCAGCTGGCTTGCCTGGGCTTTTGGAAGGTTTCTCTCCTGCATCTTCAGCTTCTGAGGCCCTCTATGAATACAGCCTCTGGACAGTTCTACCAGTGTCCCCTGTCAGGGTCCCCAGCCCCTCAGTTTGTATCTCATGACCTTGGCAGGATGCCCAAGAGGAAGGAGTACCACCGTTAGCTCTGCTGACCTTGGCAGGATGCCCAAGAGGAAGGAGAACCACCATTAGCTCTGCCTCGGCTTTTTCTCTGGGCTCCTGGCCCTCCCTTTGGTCTGCACAGGTCATTCCCGTTGAGTCAATCAAGTAGCTGCTGCTTGTGACGCTCAGCTGGGGTATGTCTCTTGGTGCCCTTTGAGGAGTGGCCACTGGTAGTGGAGATAGGTTTGTAGTCCTTGCTGCCTCGAGCACTCATGGGTTAAATCTCAGTTTTCTGCACCTGAGCCCATCTTGCCTGACCCATAAACTCCTTAGGGCCAGGGCCAGAGTCAGGCTCACCCACAGTCCACCTCAGCGCTGCAGTGTAGTGAAAAGGGCCTGCGCTCTGGGGCCTGACTAAGCTGGGTTTACATCCTGTCTGGTGTTAGCTGTGTGGCCTTGGGCTAGTTGCTTAGTGTCCCCCAAGCCTTGGTCTCCTGATCTGGTCCAGGATGGTACATGCACTCAGGGGGCTGTGTGGATTACACAGCCCAGCTGAATGCTCAGTGAGTGATCTGCATTGCTGAGAGACCCGGCGTGCATTTAAATACCTACCAAATATCATTTCAGGTTTCACTTCTATTCTTCTCTTGACTGACTCAAGCCATTCACATGTGCATGATTTATAAATATATATAGGCTCGAGAAAATAGTACTAACAGGTTGTTCCCTGATATCATGGCATATTTTGTAACTTTGCTTTTATACTGTAAACTTGAATACAAGAACTATGTCAAATTTATCTTTGCATCTCCTAAAATTCCCAGCACGGTGCCTGATTCCATAGTAGAAAAACAATAAATAGTTCTTGAATATTTCACAAAATAAAGGTTCGTGTGCAAATGTAGCATTTCATAGCAGGGTTGGTTATTTATTTGTGTATTCAAGTAAAGACCTGAATACATAAGTTTAAGTGGTTCCCTTAAGTCTGTGAAGCCCAAGACTTGTTCTTAGAGATTTTAATTGCTTTAAGTGAAAAATCGAGTGAACACAGAGAAAGTGCTGTGATTGGCAGCCATTGGTGACGCTGATGTTGAGCATTTTGACGGAGGTGACCTAAATCAGTACAAGTTCCAGCTTCTATTATCAGCAAAGGCTTTCAAGGTGGAATTGGGGTGAACTAACCTGGCAGTGCCCCAGCCATCTTTTGGCCTTGGCCATCCGAGCTGTTGAGACATCTTTGGTTGTGGTCTTCTGCCAGGGCATCGAGTCCCAGTCCTGAGAGCTGCAGAGAACCTGGTGGCACTTAACAGATGTCTTGTCCCGACTCTCTCATCAGCCAGGGGCAGGGTTCAGGGCAAGTCGATTTCCCACCCATAAGATGAGAAACATTTTGGATGAAAAATATTGCTTTGGATTCTCCTGGGAGGCAGTGTGGTACACTGGAAAGAAAACCATATCAGGAGTCCCAGGGGTATATCTGGATTCTAGGCCCTGCTCTGCTTCCAACTTCCAACTCAAAGCCTTGGGATTCACTTCTCCTCTCTCAGCCTCAATTTCTCATCTGTAAAATGAGGTTGGACTGGATGGTTTCTAAGGGCCTTTTGGCTCTAAGATACTGTGTTTGAAACGGGCTGTTGGTGTGGAGATAATAAAGGGCTGGAGTGAAGGTCTTCTCAAATCCTGTTTTCTCCTTGTCATTTATGAACCAGAAAATGACAGATGGCGAGACCTGGACAGGAAATGCCCTCTTCAGATTGACCAACCGAGCACCAGCATCTGGGAATGCCTGCCTGAAAAGGACAGCTCACTATGGCACCGGGAGGCAGTGACCGCCTGCGCTGTGACCAGTCTGATCAAAGACCTCAGCATCAGCGACCACAACGGGAACCCCTCAGCACCCCCTAGCAAGCGCCAGTGCCGCTCACTGTCCTTCTCCGATGAGATGTCCAGTTGCCGGACATCATGGAGGCCCTTGGGCTCCAAAGTCTGGACTCCCGTGGAAAAGAGACGCTGCTACAGCGGGGGCAGCGTCCAGCGCTATTCCAACGGCTTCAGCACCATGCAGAGGAGTTCCAGCTTCAGCCTCCCTTCCCGGGCCAACGTGCTCTCCTCACCCTGCGACCAGGCAGGACTCCACCACCGATTTGGAGGGCAGCCCTGCCAAGGGGTGCCAGGCTCAGCCCCGTGTGGACAGGCAGGTGACACCTGGAGCCCTGACCTGCACCCCGTGGGAGGAGGCCGGCTGGACCTGCAGCGGTCCCTCTCTTGCTCACATGAGCAGTTTTCCTTTGTGGAATACTGTCCTCCCTCAGCCAACAGCACACCTGCCTCAACACCAGAGCTGGCGAGACGCTCCAGCGGCCTTTCCCGCAGCCGCTCCCAGCCGTGTGTCCTTAACGACAAGAAGGTCGGTGTTAAAAGGCGGCGCCCTGAAGAAGTGCAAGAGCAGAGGCCTTCTCTAGACCTTGCCAAGATGGCACAGGTAAGAGCCCCAGCAGCCTGGAGTCACCTTGGTGCTCACTGGAGCCTCTGCTGGTTCTGGGCCGTCCTAGACAAGCATAGATTGCCAGTTTCAGAAATACCCAGGAGTGGGTTAATTTCCTTGTTTTTTTAAATCCTATTCAAAGAAAGATTATTTCCAGTTGGTTTTTAAAAAGCGTTTATTTCTATTTACAAGCAAATATTCCCTTTCACTGTGAGCTCAGTGCTAGGGGTACAAGGGCAGGTGGATGGTGAGAGGCGGGGTGTTGGTGGGCAGACTCACTGGACCAAACACTGGTAATCCCCTCCGGCCCTTCACTGGAGCCGTCTCTCCCAGGAAGCCACCCCTGCAGCTGCTGCAAGAGATATACACACACACTGGGGTTCAGTGTCCCTTGGATTATGCTGATCCTGAGATCAGGGTTGTGGGTAATGGTTTCCAAGAGCTAGCGATTGGGGGGACTTATTCCTTTGATTATACTGTTGAAACATGAGGCCATCAGGATGTTGTGATCAATATCCTCTGAGCTGCCTCTGCAATCATCCTTGCCCTTCACTGTAGAAGAAGTATCTGGCCACACGCCCCTGTCACTTGGACTTTATCCTCTTTGTCTTGGAGCTCTGCCTTGTGCTAACACTGATCTTGGATATTGATTTGAATGAGATGAACTTGGAGTTAATACTCTGTCATCAGGAGCGTCTCTGAGCCCGAGAGTTGGCTGCATCTGGTTCTGGCTGGGGATGAGGAAGTGGTGCTGGCCCTTGTGACCTCTGACTCAAGGATGGGCGGATGTGATGGGACACAACACTGTTGGTTCTGTGTTCATCCAGGAGGCCATCGGTTGCTTAATGCCACGGTCTGACCATCATCTTTTCTGGACTTATTTATATAAACATTGGTCTCGCTGGGTTTCAAGGGGTAAAGATCTTCTTGTTGACGAAGATGGTTTCAGAGGGGTTGGTTGGAGGGGATGGCCTTGGTCACTCAGCATTATGGCCAGATCCACGGCAGGCAGGCTTATCACGCTCGCTGCGTTTCAGGTGGGCATAGCTGACTTCCTTCCAAGCCCAGTGTTGTTCTCTCAGTTGGGTCTTCTTTCCTTTTACAAAGAACATGCAGTTTCTCTTCATGGGGTTTTGCTCTTCTCTCCTTTAGTTCCTACTCCCAACATAGAGGTCTACCCAGAAAAGAAGAGGTGCAGGTGTCTTAAGTCTAAAGCATACCTGGCCCCAGAGTCCAAACTTTCTGGCCACCTTTGTTCAAGAGCCTGGGCACTGGCTGGGGCATTATGGGAGGGCAAGATGGTGGTATGCTTGTGCCTCCCCTGTGTCAGTGGGATCCGCTTGGGGGAGAGCCTGAAGGGGTGTGGGGCAGAGCTCTTGCCTCTTCTCAGCTAGTTTCCATTTCTTCCATTGTGGCTCTAGGCGTGTGCCAATCTTTTTGCTGTGTAGTGGAACGTTTTTGACTTTACTAGCTGGACAGGGATTGAACACATTTATTGGACACCAAGAGGAATTTCCCTTCTCCAGAAAAATTTAAATAGGTTAAAAGTCTGGAAAGGTGACAGATTTGGGTGACTTCTGAGGAAAACCAAGAGCCCCGAGTTCTGGGTATGATAATGGCTTCAGCTAAATTTTTAATACTGAGCATATTTTATTACCTAATCAGCTAGATAGGTAACAAAAACAACATGCATGTTATTATATTTTACTAGCCACAGTTGGAATAACACCACTGGCATCATTGGAGACATTTCTTGACCTCGTTTGGTTAGAAACTATTTAAAAATACATTGCTCAGTGGGGCTGCGCCCAGTTGTATAGATGGCTTCATCAGCCCCAGGCAGGCCTCCCAGATCTGGGAAGGTGTGCGGAGCCTGAGGAGGCTGCTCTGGTTCAGCCTGTCTGTCCTTGGCCGCCTGCTTGGCAGTGGGTCTCGGGCACAGGGAAAGTAGAGAGGGGCCTCTGGAAAGTGTGTGTGCCCAAGGCCTATGGCCAGAGCCCTGAGGCTGGGCCCGTGGACGCTGAGCCATGCCCCCACCAAGAGTCTAGACCCTGGTCAGCCCTCTCTCCATGGGGCTCTGCCTGCTTTGGCTCTGCCATCAGATGATTTCTAGCCTGGGGAGGTGGACCTTGCTTTTCTGTGGGGCCCTGAGAACGAGGCCTAGGGTATCCCTGTGTATTTATCAAGAGCCCTGGCGAGTGCACGGCCTTGTGCGTGGGAACCTGATGAGCTGGGCATGTTGCTGGTGTACAAGGACTAACGTGTTGCCAGATGGCCAGTGAGGTGAGACCACTGGCCACAGACCCCAGCCTCTGCGTGCTGTGGCTTCACTCAACATTTGGGACCACTGAGAAGGGGTTGGGGTCTGCTCTGCATGCCCATGGAAGCAAGGCTTGGAGTTGGGCTTTCTGTATCTTTGGAAGGGTAGGCTGGTACCCAGGTGTGGCCCACGCTTCCTTCCGCTGGGCTCTGGCTTCTCTTTCGTGGGCCTTTTGATCTTGGTTTACACATTCGCCTTTGGGGGTGAGAGCTCCACTTGTGCATTCTTGTAAAGGCGCCCTTCGTGTGTGGGTTCTGAGGCCAGGTGTGTGAGAGCCTCGGGTTAAAGCTGCAGAGGGCCTTTTCAGTTAGACCTTTGGAGCAGCTGGCCATTCTGAAAAGCTGCAGCTCCCCTAGAGGTCCCGACTGGGGCCTAGAGCAGATCTTGAGGGTGTGTGTGAGCACACGGGGGCTTCCCTCTGGCCATCATTCGGTGTGGCCAGATAGACTGTGGTTAGCTGGAGCCCCTCCAATCCGCCAGCAGGAAAGGGTCCAGGGAGAGAACCCGAGAGAGTAAGAGGGCAGGAAGCTCTGAGGTCCAAGGCCCTGCCCTCATCTGTATCCACAGTTGAGTTCAGCAGGAGCAAGTGCCCTGGGGTGTAGACTCTGCTAGAAGCAGAGGATATCAGGAGATGTGACCTCAGAGCTTGTCCATTCCAGTCTCTCTTGAGGAAACTGAAGATCTCTTGGTCCCTGTGCCCATCAGAGTTTTTCTGGGCATGGTGTTCACTTTTGGATCTGCATTTAGAAGGTGACATTGACAAACCAGAAGGCCTCCAGAGGTGGGGCCAGAGACTGGAAGCCCTAGGCAAATTGCCTGACATGTCTGTGCAGCAGATGCCACCACCGCCACAGGACTGTGGGAGGAGCAAGGGAAACAACATGTGTGGATAATGCACTATCCATATGGGTGTGTGTTTATATATGTGTATGTGTCCACATCTGTTGATATGCGTGTGTGTGTATCTGTATCTGTATGTACACACACTCCCCCCAGTGCATTGGCTGGCACAGGCCGGGTGCTGACAGATACTTATGATCATCGTCACAGTCGCAGGACTTGGAGGGAGGGTGTGGGCTGTTTCTGGGTGTCTCCAGAGGCAGAAGTAGGAGCAGAGGGTGGACATTCCTGGGAGGTGCCCTCAGTCTGCTGTAAGAATGCCTGTTTTTCTTTGTTTGTCCAGTGTTTTCCCTGTGTTTCCATCCTCCCTTTTCTGTTCACGCCACTTTCTTTGTCTTGTTTGTTCATCTTCTTGCCTCTTTGCTTTTCTTTTGTAAATGGGAAGGAGGCCTGCCCTGCAGCTCAGCTCAGCCTGTAGTCAACTCGGTGTTCAGAGCCCAGGGTTATGAAATGGTGACAATTGGATTCACCCCCCCTTGTCAGAGGGAGTTCGCCGTGTGTGAGCATTCTCCTGTCTGTTGCCCTTGAAACTAGGGTGGAAATATCCTGGGGGCCTGCTGGCCACCCTGCCCCTTCCTAGCCACGTCCCTGGGGCACAGCTGTCCAGTTAATGGCAGTGGGGGCTCTTGTCTGTCGGGGATGAGACACACAGGGTGGGGTGTAGATATTGCTTTCAGATTGTCTTTGCTCATGTCTTCTGAAAACCCCAGTGCCAAGAGAGCAGGCAGAGATGCTGAATGAGGCTGCAGGTGAGCCGGCCATCTGGATCCTGAGTCGGGGAGGCTGACTGTAGCGAGGAAAGCCCTAATGGGGGAAATGACGCAAGGACCTAGTCCAGCAGTGGCCGCCCTCCCTGTACTTGTAATTACAACCACTTGGTTCCACAGAGCAGGTTGTCCAAAGGCAGCTCAGAGGACTGGCTATGCTGCGATCCCTGCGCAAGCCCGGCCCCGTGGGCCTCCTGCACAGCTTTCCTCCTTACGTGGTGTTTTTGGCCCTCCTGGCTGGTGTTCTCTGTGAGGCTGCAGCCTTCCTTTTGCACAATGACAATGTCTGCCATTGAAGGCAGGGCCCAGCCTGAGGGTGTGAGTTGTTTATTAGCAGGACTTTTGCTGACATTTTCCTTACTGCTTTTTTGAGACCTGGTTTGACCACCCAGCATTGGTTGGCTCCCAGCAAGACTTGAGCCATACGCGGCCATTTAGACATGGATCACGTGTGTGTGAGCAAAGATTTCAGAAAAAAGCAACAATTAAAAAGTTCACCCATTGAATGCAGTCCCCCTAGGTGTCATAGTCCCTGCTGTATTTTTAACTCCAAGCTGGTCAGCTTGAAAGAGCAACAAATTGTACTTCTCAACAGTGCTTCAAACAGAAGCAAGATGTTTGTGGGGAGGGGTCGGGATGTCGAAACAGAGGTTTGATTGATTGCGGCTGCCCACACACTGAGTCCCCGAACCTCCCTGAGCAGGCCTCAGAACAGGCAGCAACTGTTGTGTTAGCAGATGTTTGAGGGACCGTGAAAGCTGGCCAGGGGCAGTTTGGGGTAGAAAAGAAGCATGAGAGAAACCAGCATGCCAGCACGTCTTTGGGAAGCCTCTGAGAGCCGTATTCCTGGGGGTGAGTCCAGGAGAGCTGGGTGGGCGGGGCCGCAGGGACTGGGCAGGATGAGGGGTTGCTGCAGGAAGTTGGGAGAGCTTGTGCGTATGCTCATCAGTGACTCGCAGCTCTTTGCTGGACAGGTCCTCCCCAGGTGAAGCCCCCCCAGCCAGCTTCCACTTTCCATCTTTTGTGCTGGTGGGGCCGCCTTTGAGGGACAGTGGCCCTTGTTGGTCGCCATGGGGTTGGCTACATGACTTCTTGCGCTGGCACCCCCAGCAGCTGCAGGCCAGCTGTGCCTTTCCTTGGCCAAGTTCCTGTGCGGCAGGCCCAGCTTGCCTGCACCTTTGTGACTTTTCCTGTCCATCCTGCCAGTGGCTGTTCACCTTCAGCTGCTTAGGGTTCCCACCGCCCTGCACCCTCAGCACCCTTCCTCTCAGGGTGGGAAGCTGTGCTGACGGCAAGTAGAGGAATTCAGAGGTGGAGCACCCCTTATAACACAGACTGCAGACAGTGTGAAGATCTAGTGAGAGAGGTAGGCATGGAAAGCCCTAGAAAGCCCATTGCAATGAAAGAAATGCTAAATACAAGTAAAGGCAAAAACTTTTGTGGGCAGGCACACGAGAGTAGTTGCTTCTGACTTAGAGATAGTTAGGATAGGCTTGAACAAAGGAAGAGAGCCTGTAAGACCTGGGCTGTCAGAGTTTAGGGATGTCAAGGGGGCAGCTTTGGATGCTGAACTAGCACTCCTCCTTCCGTGCTCTTGACAGACATTGCTAATCAATCACGGCAGCCTTTTCAGGTGAACTTAGTGGAGGTCTTAGAATCCTCCTCTTGGCAGTCTTGGCAGCCATTGCTAATTGATGGGTAATTGAACGTCATCCACCATCTCTGTTCTAATCCCCTCACTTGAGGATGAAGCCTCTAGAGTACAGGAAGAGTTGGGGCCTTGCCCAAAGTCACATGGTGAGGCACCTCGGAAGGTGGGAACCCTGACCTCTTGACCCCAGGCTCAGTGCTCCCACTGCTGTGCTTGGTCCTGGGTGAGGACCAATCAGCTGGCCCTTCCAGAGGACTGATGCACATGGGGCATAGAGAGTGTGGCAGTGAGAAGTGGGAGCTTCGGAGTCAGATAACTGGGGGTGTGTCCCCATTCTGCCACTTTTGAGCTGTGTGCCCCAGGCCTCATGTCTGTGTCTGTAAAATGGGAATGGCAGTGCCTGTTGCTCATGAGTGTGGGAGGAATCATGTCGCATGGATCTGGCACACGGTTGGCACTCAGCAAATGCCAGCTTTGATGAACAAAGAAAGCCCGGGCCTGCTGCAGCCTTTCTTCTGTTGCTCCCATGGTAGCTCGCCCCACACCCTCTGCTGCTCTGGGCAGTGTCCTGGGCTCTCCACTCTTGGTGGGCCGGGATCCTGCCAGCTGTGGCGCATGCTGGCATCAGGCTTCCAGGAGACTAGTTTCAGCTCTAGTCCTCATCTTCCCTGCTTCCCTTCCTTCCTTTCCCTCCCTTTCTTTCCTTTCTTTTGACGGAGTGTTGCTCTGTCACCCAGGCTGGAGTGCAGTGGTGAGATCTCGACTCACTGCAGCCTCCGCCTGGATCCCTCCTTTCTGTCTCTAGTCACAGCCCTCAGGTTGCACAAGCAATCTGCTTAAGGTCACTGGGATCGGGGCCGAGTGTTGCCACAATAGCTTTGATCTCCTGGGGAAGAGGAGTTCATCTGGGGACTGCTAAGGAGGCAGCTTTTAGTGCCACTTGGTGATTTCCACGCTTCAATTGAGAGCCATCCTGAGCAGAGAATGTTTGAGAAGCTATGAGACTCTGGGAGGCCCCGGCTCTCTGAAGTAGGGGCCCTTTCCTAAGCCAGCCGCTCAGATGAGAGCCCCGGCCATGCTGGGAGTGCTCTTGGCTTGCCAGGCCCTGCTCTGGTGCTGGCAAAGAGGCTTGGGAGGCCCTAGCAGGCGCTGCCCTTGGGAGGCCACAGCCTATGGGCCAGAGGGAGAACAAGGCCTTACCAGCTGAGGCCTCACCACATCTGAGGACATCGCCAGTCTTGCTTCATGGAAGCCAGAGTAAGAAAGGCTTGTGGGTCAGCTGGCTCTTGCCCCTTTGACTGGTTCAACTCCAAGGGCCCACAGAGGAGGGTTTAGAGAAACCCTAATGTCGTTCCCAGGCTTCTGAAGGAGAAGCAGGGAGCGTGGGCTGAGACGAGGAGACAGAGGGCTGGTGGGAGAGCAGGGCCTCAGCCTGGAGCCCTGCCCATGGAGTGAGCCCCATCCTCATCCTGGACAACTGATGGAACCTCTTCATGGTTCATTTTCCCCATCCTCGAGGAAGGGTGGCGACACCCTCTCTCACTGTGTTAAATGTCTCATTAAATGAATTCATTTGTATGAAGCGCTTGGAGCTTAGTTCTGTGTGCCCAGGACACGTGCTCAGTAAAAGTTGGCTGCCATATTGGGAGTCACACTTTAGGAGTAAGGGGAGAAATTTGGCAAAAGGAGGGGCCTGCTGCTCATCCAGTGTGAACTGTCCTCCCCTCAGGAATTCTTTGTCTCTGCAGCGCTGAGGTGCTCTGCCGCATCCCTGCTCCCCAGAAGAAGGCCTCACCTGAGGGCGCAGCTGAGTTGTTGAGCGGTGCTGCTGGGGTATGAGTCCCGGGCTCTGTAACTCTGAGGGCAGGGTTTTGCCTTATTGCCACGTGGTAGAGGCCTCTCATATCCTAAGGGAAAGAGAGGTGCACTGTCGTTGGAACACAGCTGCTGTTGGAGTCAGAAGAGCTGGGTTTGAGAGGCACTCTGCCACCTGGCTGTGTGGTGACTGTGAGCCCGTTGCCCTGCTTCTCTGAGCCTTGGGTTTCTGACCATGCATGCATCTGCCCAGGTGTAGCCATGGGCGTCAGGTTATCTGGGAAGCCAACACACTGCAGGTTCCTAGACGTTGTCCAAGAGAGTCTGAATTAGCAGGTCTGGGGCAGAGCCCCAGTACCTCGGGGTCCCAGAAGCTCCCTAGGTGAGTCTGGGGCTTGTGGGGGCAGCAGAGATGGGCACATTCCTAGCCCAGTGACTCCACAGATGCCCAGGGACTAGTTTTGTGTCATATGGAGATGGCATTGAGAGTTCAGGTCCCTCAGTCAGGAGGTACCAGCTCAGCCTGGATTAGGAAGGGCCTGACCTGGAGGAGGGATCCAGGTCCTAGGGCGAGTGCCCACTGAGCTGCTGTACCCAGCAGAGCAATGGTGTCCCCGCCTGCCAATGAAACTTCCCATGCAGGAGGGCTCGGGGTTAACTTATGCTGAGTCGAGTACAAGGCGCTGCTTCAGAAATGTCTGGAAAGCCTGTTCTAGTATATAGGGTTGAACGTTTCCGAGGCAAGTTCTCATGGGTGGGTTGTTAAGGGCAAGTTCCACACCCTGTTTGATATCCTGCCTTGTGTGCAACGGCAGAGTGAATGAATGACAGGAACCCTGAGTGCAGAGTAGAAGCATTAGAGGGTTTTAAGCAGGGGAGCAATAGCACCCCTTAAAAAGCTCCTTTGGGACAACAGTGAGCAGCATGGACTGTAGGTTCTGGGGGAGGTGGGGAGGCCAGGCAGGAGGCTATTGGCAAACATGAAGGTGGGCTAGACAAGGGTGGGGGCAGTGGAAGTGGTGATAGGCATAAGGGGCTCAAGAAATGTTCTCGAGGTGAAAGCAGCAGGGCTGGCTTCCAACTCACCCTAGTCATAGGCCTCACTGGGCAGAGAATCAATTATCCTAATCCCCAAAGGTGGCAACTTTCTTTAAGCTACCCTGTTTAGTGTGTGCTCATTGTAAGTCCCTCTTGTTATTTAACCTGCAGCCCTCACTTTGACTGTATTTCTTCTTGATCTGTTCTCAGTAGAACTGAAATCCAGTGGATCACCATGACCTATTTTGTCTCTGTATGAAGGTATCTATGGGACTGTCTTACCCCCCAGTCCTTGCACATCTGTGATTTGCTAGCCCAGCTGCTCCTTGCCACTGGGGAGGCCCCATTCCTTACCCTTTCCTGTCAGCCCTCAGTTTGCAAACCTCTGACTCCTTTGCCCAAGCTTCTCTGTTCTTGTCCATTTGAAAGTGGCTGCGCATTCTGAACTCTGGGCTGGAGAAGGGCTGGGGGCAGCTTAGGGCCACAGGAGGATTCTTTCATGGTTTCTAGCGCTTGTCACGCTGGATCTTGTCTCAGCTGTGCCACATCTGGTCAGTTTACAACAGCTGGGACAGCAGCTCCGGGAAACAAGGGGCCTGTGATGGCCTCCTCGATTCTCCTAATGAAGCCTAGTAATCCCCAGCTGGGCCTCAGAGGATGCAGCGAAAGGGAGGCCTGGCCAACCCCAGGAGGATTTCGGCATTCCCTGCCTTATTCCTGCTTCCTGATCCGGGACATCAGGAGAACGCCTCGTGGGAAGCCCCTCCCAGCCCGAGGTTAGCATGGTGCCTGCGGGCTGTTGAGAGCCCAGTGAGGGCCAGAGCAGGAAGCACAAATAGGTGCATCACGGAGATGGGTGTGGGATGGAGACGGAGCTGTGCCCAGAGCCCAGCACGGCTGGTGCCTGACCGGGCCTTTTCCCGACACCATGCAGGCTGCTGCCCTTTGTGGGTCCATCAGTGTGAAGCCTTTACTTTAGCCCACTTCGCCTTTGGCAGCATGAGCCTCTGTCGCCCCAGGCACTGCATCAGTAGAGAATTTCTCCTGCTGACAGGAGCCCATTTATGTACCATTTTTGTGGTATCAGCCATCCGGAATTACCACTCTTTCTTGCAACTTCAAGCCACAGTCAAGAAATCAGAAAGCAAATGCCACACGAAGAACAAACCCTTTGCTGCAGTCCCCATGCTGGCGGGAACTTGGTTTGACTAGACTCAGAGTGGGTGTTAATTGCCTATTTATGGCC
Source organism: Homo sapiens (assembly GCF_000001405.40). Classification (NCBI taxonomy): domain Eukaryota; kingdom Metazoa; phylum Chordata; class Mammalia; order Primates; family Hominidae; genus Homo; species Homo sapiens. Next base: position 124,671,866 of record NC_000010.11, on the reverse strand, counting down.
AAAAGATTAACAATGCCTCCTTTGAAAGTTAGACATAGTAGAGCTCTTGGATAATTCCTTTTTGGGAGGGGGAGGAGTGGCTTAAAAAAAAAAACTCTTGGAAAACAAAAGCAACAGTTGGTTGCAAAATATAATGCAACCACCAGAGGCTTAGTTTGTGAGCAGTAACGCGAGCTCACATCAGTAATGTGTCACCAGAGGTCATCAGGCACCCCACCCTCTCCCTGAAGGGCCACAGACTGCATTTACTCCTCATGGAGTAGTGGTGGCGGTATGGAGGCCCCCGCTGTTTCCCTGCTGGAGCTCTGTGGGTGGAGTGGGTGAGGCAGGCCTCCTGGATCAGCCAGGGCCTGTTGGGGACAGAAACCAGCCCGTTAGATCCAGGTGAATTCACTGTGAGCAATGGTTAGCTAGGTTTCTGAAAATCTGAAAAGCCAAGAAGAGAAAACGAAGTATTAATATCATGCAGAAGCAGCTACAGGAAGCTGCTCCCCACCTTGGGCTAGGGGACCCCAGGGCAGAGACTGCACTTCTGAAAGCTTGGCAGCGTGGAGTCCATTGGCCGCACAGGGCTGGGGCAAGACCTGAGAGGCAGGGGCGCCGGCTAGCTGGTCCCGCAGAAAGGGAAGGTGATGAAATTGGTTCTGTGAATGTTGGAAATGCAGCAAATGGGAAGCAACTGCTGTGAATGGAGCAGATTGCTCCTGCAGGTCACGCGGCATGGCTGGGTGACGGTGACAGCACAGGAAGCAGACGGGGAGATGTACGGCTGCCTCTGTCCCCCAGCCTGGCTCTGCTCAGCATCCTTCAGTTAAGCGCTGTCTAACGTTCTCCAGCGGGGCGGGAGATCTCTTCTAGCGCGCATCGCAGCTCCGTCCTAGTTCTTCACTCAGCAGATCCTTGCCTGGAGTGTGCTGGCCACCTGGCATTCAGCTAGGCCCTGGGGATGTTTCTGCAATGCAGAAAGGGGGATGGATGTCATTCAGGCCTACAACAGGCAGGCAGGGCCCTTTCTGATGGCAATATTTGTGCTAATGAGAATCCAGCAGGCCAGCGTGGTTTGGATCACCAGGCAGGATGAGAGGAGGTGGAATGGGAAGTGGCCAGCTTTAGATTGGAGGGACAGGGAGGCCTTGTTGAGGAGGTGACATTGGCACAAAGTCACAGATGATGAGATGTGTTCAGCTTTGCAAAGATAATCAGGGAGAATGTCCTGAGTAGAGGGAAGGCAAGCCCCAGAGGTGGGAGTGGGTGTGGTGAGTGCAGGGCATGGCGAGGCTGCGGTGACTGGGGTCGGAGTGGGCGTGGTGAGCGCAGGGCACAGTGAAGCTGGGGGGACAGGTTCCTGAGTCGGGGGTGCAAGGGATGCTTGAGATGTCGGCAGGGCCATCACGGTTGGCCTTGCAGGCTGGGGTGAGGAGCGGGCTTTTTGCCTGGAGCGCAGGGTTGGAATGCCATCAGGGCTCTGGGGCCAGGATCTGATGGGATACTCAGTCACCTGCCTTACCTGACTGCTATGCTTATCTTCCACCTTGGGGGTTCGACCGCAGACGGCCCCAGGGAAACCGGTTCAAGGAGGTCACGGCAAGAAGGCACATGAGGGTGAAAGCATACCAGAGAGATGCTTAGGCAGGGCCCCAGTGTCGGGGACAGGCTCAGAGGAAGTTAGTCAGGCACCTCTGCAAGTGCCTCTCATGGTGATGAGTGTCACCGCCCGCCCTCTGTTGCTGGACAGTGGCAGCGAGTGGCCTGAGGCTCACAGGGGTGTCTGAGTTCTCCCCTCCCATATCTGCACACACATCAGCCTCACCCTGGCTCTGGGAAGTGGGTCACTAACTCCTAATCCACGGGCCGGTGTTTGCAGGGCGTCCTCCCTCGGGTGTGTGGTCCTCACCCACCCTGTAATCCTCACCCACCCTGTAATCCTCACCCACCCTGTAATCCTCACCCACCCTATGGTCCTTACCCACCCTGTAATCCTCACCCACCCTGTGGTCCTCACCCACCCTGTGAGGGGCTCCTCCTGTTCTACTTTCCAGGGAAGAAAAGGGAGTGCCGAGGCCATGTACTTGCTGGCTGCGTGGCAGAGCGGTGAGTGGGATCCACTCACTCTTTGGCCCCGACAGCCCGTGGGCCCCCATGTCTCCATAGGGCTCCCTTCCTGGGGTGAGCTCCCCACCACTTGTGAAGCACAGGGCCCCGGGAAGTCTGGGATTTGCCCTAGGCTTTGGGTTCCCTGACGGTCAGGTAGGGATGGTGACATCCTCACGTGGGGCTGCTCCCAGCCTTTGGCCCAGGACCTGGTGCTCAGGTGGTGCTCAGAATGTGTGGCTGTTACTTACCACATCCTCCGGGCCCATCACCTGATGGATCAGTGAATCCCCGGTGGCCCTGACTTCTCCTCCCAGCCCTTGAGCAGACTCTGCATTTCTTGAGCTATGAGCAGGCTGGTAAAGCCGGGCACGGGGCTCAGAGAGAGGCTCTGTGGCCAGCACCATGGCCTCTCTGGAAGAGCGCTTTAGTTCTGCCTGGCACTGCGGTTCAGCTGTCCTGTTGTATAAGTCCGGGACACGAGGGAGAAGGGCCCAGTGATCTGGTGCTCTGCCACACTGAGCGGAGGTGTGTGGACAGTGCGCGTTACATCCCTCAAGTGGACACATCCAGAATGTGAAATAATCCTCTTACTGCCCAAAGCAGAACGTTTGTGAACCATTTTTTTGGTGACTTTGCTGAAGACCTCTGAGCCCTTGGCCACTGCCTTCTACCCCCTACACCCCCCAAAATGGCTTGTCTTGAATGGCGGGGAGGAGGTCCAAGCCAGCCCTGCACTTTCCCCAGGCCAGGGGCCTGGCTGGCCTCCGCTCTCGGGCCTCTTGGCAGCTGCTCCGGAGGCAGCACCGGATGCCCTCCACTCACTTCCCTCCGTGAGAGGCGCCTTTGGCACATCAGGCCTTGGGAAGGAGTGGCAGGAAAACCTGGCATTCTGTGTCCCAGAAGGAAAAGGCCTATCAGTGCCCATACTTGAAACTTGGCACACAAGGGGAAGGTGGTTTGAGGGCACACTGTAACGGTGGCTGTGCCGTACCGTGCTCCGCCAGGCCTGTTCTGTGCACACTTGCTGGGCCCACTCAGCCTCCATGAGGTCCCCTCTTGCCTCATGACCCCTGGCCCCACTTATCAGCTGCCTCTTTGCTCTTGTGCCTCCCTAGGAAGATGAGACAAGGAGAGCACCCTTGTGGGTTGCCTGGGTCTTGTCGTGCCTTTCTGGCTCTGTACCTTGTGTCCCCTTGTGGAAGGACAGGTCCTGCCTGGCATGGGCACAGTGCTGTGCTCTTGTCTGCCAGGCAGTTCTAACTGAAAGTGCATTGCCCGTATCCCCCTTGCTAGTTGGTAGCCAGCTTTAAACAAGCCTGATTCACCTAGAGAGTTTCCATCTCACTGTAATCTAGAACAGTCTTGGGCAACAGAATTTTCTGAGAATTGATGGCAAATAAACATGGGAATAAATACCCTGCGGCAGGGGAGCCGGTGGCTAGAAACACCCTGCTGTGGGGGCTGTGGTCCTGCTCAGAAACAGCTTAGGCCAAGGGGCGAGATGGCCGTGTGTTTGGGGAGAGCATTTCCGCAGATGTTGGCTGATTATGCAGCATTAACTGTTTGGCAAGAAAAAATATCTCATCTGAAATGGTGTGAGGTTAATTGTCACTCAGCAGAGACACCAGATCTTCAGCTTGATTCACGCAGGGAAAACTACGAACAAATATGCATGCCGGCATCTGCTCCAAACCTAGGACAGCAGGAAATGGAAGGCAGTGTCTGGCCTGGGCTCCCCTGCTAGGAGGAATCTGGGCTCCAGAGATAGGTGGGCCTGGTGTGGGGCTTGGTGTGCCCCTCACCAGCCGAGTAGCCCTGAGCAAGTCGCTGCCCCTCCCTGGGCCTCAGTGTCCTCCTCCCCATGTCGTGGGAGTGAAGCAGCCTGATGAGGGAGAGCTCCTACAGCAGGCAGCTGTGCAGTACCCCCTGGAGAGGCTCAGCACCAGCATGGTGTTCTTGATCTTATTTTGTTGCTGCTTGTGATCTTCCAGAAGGGTCTCTGCTTCTTATGAAATCTTCCATTTGAGGCATTTCTGGAGGCATTATTCTCATTAGCTTGAGGGCAGTCCAGTGAGGGAGAGAGCAGCCCTCTGCCCTGTGACCCCGGGCGGGGCTGGGAGGCTGTAGTGCGAGAATGGGGAGAGTCAGGTGCCTCGCACCCCAGGCACCAGGAACAGGAGCCTCTCCCAGCCCTGCCCGGTCCTCCTCAGCCCTGTGGATGTGGAGGCTCAGAGGGCAGCCTCTGACCACACAGGTGGAGTGCCAGGCCACAGCTGTGGGCTGCTGACTGTTGGCAGGTGAGGTGGGGGATGATTTGCAGAAGAAACTCACCTGTTGTATTTTCTCCTCCAGATAGCCCCATGAGGAAGGCACATCGTTATCCATTTTACAGGCGGTGGCTGAGTCTTAGAGGAAGCAGTCCAGTGAAACCAGAACTCAAGCCACATATATAATTTAAAATTCCTAGTAGCCAGTTATTAAGAGAAGAAAGTGAAATGACTTTGAATAGTATATTTAACCCAGTATTTCCAAAATACTATCATTTCCACATGTCATCGATGTAAGTAAATCATGAATGCACTATTTTATGTTCTTTTTTCTTACTGGTTTCAGAGATCCACTGGTGTGTCAGGTGACAGCAGGTCTCAGTTTGGCCTGGCCACTGCTCCATCATTCAGTGACTGCATGTAGCTTTGCTGAGTGGGGCTTTGGGGTACGGGTATAAGAGTGTGGGGGGGTTGGGGGTCAGCCTTGGTTCCCACTTGGTGCTGCCATAGACCCTTTTCCTCTGGAAGGGCCCAATGCCAGCTGGTAAAGGAGGGGCTGGGCAAGAGGCCCCTGCCTGAGGTGCTAGGTGCTCTGGGCTGTGCCCTCTGCCTCGGGTATAGCAGGCCCCAGGAGACCTGAGGACCAGAGCGTCTGGTGCCCACAGGCTGTCCATGGTGGAACTAGAGGTTCCTGGGCTCACCTGCTCCACCCTCCTCGTGGGGCTGGTCCGGGAGGCCCGGGGAGTTCACTGTTTCTCTGAGCATCCTGCCCTGCTCTCTGAGGCCTCTTTTCTACTGTACCCGTGCAGCCCTGCTTAGCCTGCTGTTCCTGGCGTGTGGCCGGGGCAGGGCTGGGGAGATGGGAGGTGGTGGGAGACGGGGTGATACAGGAAGACAGGGGCTTCTCATCAGGGGGTGCTGAGAAGACAGCTTTGCAGCATGACAGGCCCTGGGCCATTTTTCCACGGTTGTGGTCCTGCATTTCATGACTGGGCTGTGCCTTTGTCCCCACATGTCCCCTGCTCGAGCCACTCGCGTCAGGTTCTACACAGCTGGCCAGCTGCAAGCCCCATCCACAGGGAGCTCTTCGGGGTGAGCCCCCATCTACCAGCACTCTGGAAGTGAGTGTGAGCCTGGAAGGTTGCAGTGGCAGGTGGAGGGAAGGCCCCAGAATAGAAGGAATGTGGCAGAGGTGGCCTTGGACCAAGCCGAAGGTTCCAGAGCTATCCTGTCTCTGGGGCTTGGCAGCCTCTTAACCATAGTTTTCCTGGAAAATTGCATTTGTGGCTCTGGTTTGCCCCACCCTTCTGGGAGGGATTCACAGGAATGTCAGGGCATCTAGCTTATCAGCCTGGGAGCTTCAGGAACGTGGCCCTGCCCACCAGGGGAACTTTCTGGGCCCTCAGAGTCTAGGCAGCCAATAACCTGGGAAGCTGGTTCAAATCAGCATGCATTGATTGAACACCAGCTGTATACAACTGCCTGTGCCAGGGCTCAGGGAAGACTAGCGTGTACAAGACCCCATCCTTACCTGCAAGGTAGGTGCAGGCTACAGGGCTGGGGTGGAGACAGCTGTGTCTACGTAGCCGACTATAAGCCGAGTCACAGTAAGATGAGCTAGTCTTGTCCTCTGAGGATCGAGATTCAATTCTAGATTAATCTCTTTGTTCAGCCACTATTTATTTACCTAGCATTTGCTGTGAGTCAGGCCCTTGTAGGCACCAGGGATGCAGCAATGGAGAGGACAGTTAGCCCTGGCCTCCTGGAGGTCACAGCACCAACAAGTCATCACTTAGAAACGTGGAAAGGGCCATATCACCGGCCCACGTGACCAATGCCCAGGGCTGTATCCTCTGAGCCTTGGTTTTCTCACCCATCTAGCAGGATCCATAATAGCAGTTGCCAGGACGAAATAAGATGATGGACACAGGACCTCCATGTATGCATATGGGATTGTTCTAGGAAGCCAGGAGTAGGAAGCGAGGGGCACGTTTTGAGTTCTGCCTGTCATGTGCAGGGCCTAGCACTGGCTCCTTTGCAGGGGAGCTAAGAAGCTCTCTAGTCAGGGGAACAGGCTTGGGCAGCCCATCAGTTGGAGTGGAGAGGAGACACAGGCACATAGATGTTCCTAAGACCAGGAGCAGACAGTTGGGCTGGAACTGGGGTTGGGAGAGCCACCTGGAGAGTTGAGGCTTTATTCTGTGGGCAGCGAAGGATGGCCCTGGGCAGGTGGCCAGGGACTTGAACCTCACTCAGGTGATAGACAAGTTTGGGGCAGTAAGAGAAGGCTATGCCCACGCCTTTGGTACCCTTCAGTGGAGAAAGGGGGCTGTGGAACTGTGCAGAGCACTGGAGGCTGTGAACTGCTGGGGCCTGAAGCCCTTGGGAATTTCTTGCCTGGTTCTCAATGAGGGTCCAAGAGCCTGGTGCACACAAGCGAGGGCCACTGGCTGGGGCTGGCCTCTGTAGGGCCAGTCAGGTGGGTTCTCCCTCTACCTTACCAGGAGGGGAAAGTTCATCAGGGAAAAAGGAGCTTTGTCAGGTTTGTCCTTGGGGAGCCAACCTGAGTCAGAAATCAGGAGCCGAGAAAGCCAGAGGCAACAGTCCTGGATCGAGCAGCAGCAGAAAGAAGCTTTGGGACTTCCCTCTGGCCCCACGCAGTGAGAGGATGGGGACTTCTGCCCTGGGCAGCTACTTAACCTCTCTGTGCCTCAGTTTCTTGGTCTGAAAATTGGGTAAAAGCAGTGCCTACATACAGCAAGTGCCTAATAAATCATTGTTTTGGAATACGGGACTATCCCATTTCTGTGGATGGCTGGGGTAACCACTGAGCATGAGTACTGAGGGCCTGGCCTTGGGCACAGCCAGGTCCTGTCTTTTGCCGTCCTTAGGTGACTTGCTGAGGGCCGGAGAGTTGGCTAGCTTTGTGCCATCTGCGCAGAGTTCTACCCTCAGAGCTGTAGCCCTGCGGGTTTTGAAGACTTGGGGGCCTTGTAGCCCCTGGTAGAAAGGCAGATTGTGATGGCGGATCTGGGCTTGGAGCCCAGGTCTCTGCCTTCCCGGCCCAGTGTTGAAGCTCCCCAAGCTGACCTGTTTCCTAAAGGCGAGCAGCATGCCAGGGTGCACCAGCCACCATTGGCTTTTGGCCCCGGAGGCCTGCTTTGGCTGGGGTTTTGCCCACTTCCCATGCCTGGGGTAAGCGGGCCCCAGCTCTGAACCTCCCTTCAGGGACTCCATGGAGGTGCTGGAGGCTGCTCTCTGGCAAGTCTTGTGCTTGATCTGCTGGTGTCAGGCAGCCCTGGGGGCCAGCCCTAGGGGAGGTGCCAGTGTGTGCAAGCTCCATCCCTTCTCAAGTGGAGACCGGCACCTGCTCACCACAGGTGTGTCTTGGCCAGGTGAGGCCTGAGCCTCAAGCTCCTCAGTGCCTGGTGCTGTGTGAACCTGGTACCCAAGCTCCCTGGAAAGCATGGAGGCATCCAGGCAGCACTGACCGCAGGGCCTGGCACGGTGTTAGCTCACTTAAACCTTGCAGTGTTCATGGGGTACACTGACGAACAGGGAGGCTGGGCATACAGGTGTCCCGTGCCAGGCTCGGGAGACCTGGGAGATTTGGCCCAGAGCCTCCTGGGTTGGTGGGAGGAGGTGAGGAGCAGTAGCATCGGTCTCTGGAGATGCCCGAGGGTAGAAGCACAGGGAATATAGGCTGCTGGTAGGCGCCCTGGAACAAAATGAGCCCTGGGGTAAATGAAGGCCCATGACGAACCCTTGTTAAAGGCCCAAAATCACCATGGAAAGCTTCCAGCTCCCAGAGTGCAGTTCACCTTCCGGCACGAAGACATCACCTGGCAGCACGATGGGACTTCAGAACCTCGGTGCCCACCCCAGACCTGCCGGATCAGAGTCTGTGTTTTAACAAGACCACCAAGTACATCGCGAGCTCCTTCAATATGGAAAGTGCTGAATATGGGAGATGGGCCCTCTGTGGGAGGCCACCTCTGGTTTGTCTTTGGTTTGGGCAGCCCTCCTCTGGCTCCTCTTGCAGCTGGGGACGGATTGGGCCTGTTCTGCAGAGGTGGGGCCGGAGCCTTACTTGGCAGCCGCTCCAGTGCTGGCCTTTCTCTAGCCTCTGATGTTGGTCTCCTGCTCGCATTGTCTCTTTTCCTAGGAACGAGGGCAGTGTGGTTCATGTCAGGAACCTTAGCCAGAGCTCTGTACCTCCTTTGGCCTAGGCCCCACTCCTTGGAACTTTGGTCAACACACAAATGACAGCACTGATGGCTTTGGTCATGCACAGGCTTGCACTTTATGTGTGTGTCCTGTCTACCACTGCAGCTCTGAGAGGCAGGGATGAGGCTCTGGGAGGAGAAGCAGCCTGCCTTGTGGTCTTCTGGGGTCCACACTCACATGACATTGAAAGACAAGGACAAGAAGGCACAGGCTTAGATTTGAGACTTGCCCCTCAGTGTGCAAAGGACTCAGTGACCGTTTCTCGTTCCTGCTCTGTGTGAGACCCTGTTTCACCTGGTCTAGGCTTGTAGACAGGTGGGCATTCCAGGCTTGAGGTGCGGTGACCAAGCAGTGGTGACAGCTGGCCCTTGAGGCCAGGGCCTGTACCTGTCTGGTTCTTTAACTAGACCTCTAGCACCTACCAAGGTGTGAGTGGTTTCCCAAAAATCGATTGATTGACAGGATCTTGCTCTGTCACCCAGGCTGGAGTACTGTGGTGTGATCGTAGCTAACTATAACCTTGAACTCCTGGGCTCAAGTGATCCTCCCACCTCAGCCTCCCAAGTAGCTGGGACTACAGATGCATGCCAGTATGCCAGGCTAATTTTTAAGTCTTTTAATTTTTTGTAGAGACAGGGTCTTGCTATGTTGCTTAGGCTAGTCTTGAACTCCTGGCCTCAAGCCATCCTCCTGCCTGAGCCTCCGAAAGCACTGGGATTACAGATGTGAGCTACTGTGCCCACCCTCTAAAAATTTATTGAATACATGGATGGATGGATGGATGGATGGATGGATGGATGGATGGATGGATGGATGGGTGGGTGGGTGTGTGGGTGGGTGGATGGATGGATGGATGGACGGACGAACGAACTCACAAACTGAGGCAGGAGGCCTGGATTCTTCCCCATTGGGCACATCAGCTCCTCCATTGATGATACTTAGTAAGCAAGGATGACAGCATTGTTTACTGGGGACAGTGTGGCAGGCACTGTGCTAAGCGTTTGTGTAGCTGTGGATTATCTTTATTACAGCCCTGGAAAGTGGGTATTGTTGTGCTTGTTTTACGGAAGAGGCTGAGGTTCAGAGTAGCGGCCACGGTCACAGGACCAGCTGTGGCCATGAGGCCCATGCTTGTTCCACTCCCCAGGAGGGGGTCTGGGCAGGGCTCTGGGTGCCAGGCCCCTCCCATCTCAGGTGTTGTCCACAAAGGGGTCTGGTCCAGTGAGGGCTAGAGTCATGGAGGTGAGGGGTTGGCTAGGCCTTCCTGCCTTGCCGTGGTGGACACATGAGGATCCCTGGTGTGAGGCAGCCAAGCAGCCGGGCTCACCGATCGGAGCCCAGACCTGGGATGGCAGCAGGGATCTCACATGACGTCATCTAGGGAGCTTGCTCTGGCCCCTGCTAGGCCAGCCGTCAGAGCCATGTAAGACAGTCTAAGATGACAGTTGTCACTGTTGTGGATGAAGCAGGCTAAGATTGGATCATTACTGAAATCTGAAACTTGAATTTAAGTGGGGACAACGAGCAGTGTCCAAACGGGGGCAGTAATGGTGGCCTTGGTAGAGCCCAGGAACCTGTTGAAGGAACCCCCTCGTGCTTTTGACAGGGCACCAGAGGTGTTGGGGTGGTGGTGGCAGAGGACAGTAAAAGGTCCCTTCCCTCCTCCCCACTGCCCTGGCCTTGAGGCCTAGAGAGACCTCGCAGTGCGGGACAGTGGCTGTAAGATTGTCTCAGAGCCCACCAGCTGGGAGAAGGAAAAGCACAGGACAGGCGCAGCTTTTATTCCAGGTGTCAGATCCTGTTTGGGCCCTTTCAGGAGGCCTGGCTTACAAGGAGAGCTAGACTCTGCCTTTTTCCTCTGCAGTTGAGGTGGGTTAGAGGGCAGCCATGGGCCCTTCTGCTCCTGGGCCTCTCTCAACCTTCTGGGGACCATTCTCATCACAGCATGACCTGGGGAACACTCACAGAGGACAGAGGTCCCAGTGTCTGTTGAGTTCTGTGTGGGATGCGACACACCTCCGTTTAATATGCTAACTATAGATCTGCTGAGTGGACAGACCCCTGGAACCTCCTGATTCAGGGGACATTCACTGTACTCATGACTCCAGTTATGGCCATGTCTTCCAGGAGTGGTGACAGCTGTCACCTCAGAGAAGGGGTCAGCACACCATAGCCCACAGGCCAGATCCTTCCATTGCCTGTTTTTTTTTTTTTTTTTTTTTAATTTCAGTAGCTTTTGGGGTACAGGTGGCCTTTGGTTTCATGGCTGAATTGTATAGTGGTGAAGTCTGAGATTTTAGTGCACCTGTCACTCAAGTAGTGTACATTGTACCCAATATGTAGTGATTGCCTGTTTTTATAAATAAAGTTTTATTGGTACACAGCTCTGCCTGGATACATACATGTTGTCTCCAGCTGCTTTCATGCTACAACGGCAGGGTTGTGTAGTGGCAGGGCTGGGTCATTATGACAGAGCCCGATAGCTTACAGAACATAAATATTTACTCTCTGGCTCTCTAAGAAAAGTTTGCTGGCACCTGATCTAGATGACCTTACGTCTCGATTTCCCCATTTGGAAAGTCACTGGATTTGCTTGGCAATTTCTCACCAAAAGCTAAAGCTGGCCCTCGATAGGGCCCAGGAATGTGGCAGGGCTACAAGGCAGCTGGCTCGGCTGTCTCAGGCTCTGCCGTGCTCACCGTTGGCCTCGAGTGGGCCCTTCCCATGCCCCCCCAGGTGATAAGCAGGCATGCTGGCGAGGGGGCTGTGGGAAAGGGGCACTTAGTGCTCGTGAAGCTTGGCTAACTGGAGCCTTGGTATCAGGGTGAGTTGTATTCAACGGATCTCAGTGCACAAAAGTGTAATTTTTACAATGAAAATGGCATTACTCTGGGGCATTCCTCTGGACGTACCAGCTGGGTTGCTTGTCTGGTCCCAGTGAGATGTCTTTTCCAAGCTGTCTTGTGTTGCCCTCATGCTTGAGACAGTGTGGGCCAGAGCGAGGATGGATCGTTTGCTCTGCGTTCGTTTGCTGCCTCAATTTCCTCTGTCTCCTGAAGCATTTTGGTGGGGCTCTTCCGCTCCATATGGTGGAACGAAACCCAAACGTGAACAGCGAGGGCAGCACTGGGCTTCTCGCCACTGAAGACAAACCCCTAGAAAGTTCGCTCTGGGCCAGGCACAGCGGCTCATGCCTGTAATCCCAGAACGTTGGAAGGCCAAGGCGGGTGGGTCACTTGAGGTCAGGAGTTTGAGACCAGCCTGGCCAACATGGCAAAACCCCGTCTATACTACAAATACAAAAATTAGCTGGGCATGGTGGTGCACACCTGTAATCCCAGCTACTCGGGAGGCTGAGGCGGGAGAATTGCTTGAACTCGGGAGGCAGAGGTTGCAGTGAGCTGAGATTGTGCCATGGCACTCCAGCCTGGGTGACAAGAGCGAGACTCCGTCTCAAAAAACAAAACAAAAGCAAAGTTGACTCTGGCCTGGGACCCAGAAAACTCTGTCAGCCAGATATCTTCTGGCCCCTTAGGTGGACAGCCAGCTCAGAAGTTGCTAGAGGAGATGAGCTTGTGGTAATGGAGCTTGGCCCGGCAAGGTGGTTTTGCAGCCACTCTGTGAAAATAAGGGTGGGGATGGTTGGCTCAGATTTAAAAGCCTCAGCTGGCTGTGGTTTTATCCTGTGCCCCACCTCAAAGTTAGGCAGTGGAGGCTGTCCCAGGGCAGATGCTGCCATTGTCTGAGAAACCTGCAGCAGCCAGCCTGGAGCCAGGAGGCTGTTGCGTGGGCTGGAGCATCTTTGGGGACCCAGAAATGTGTTAGAAAGTTCTTACTGTAACCAAGACCACTTCCACCACTGCTATTAGCTCTGGCCCTAGCACTGGCCTGTTTTGAAACTGACAATGAAAAGATGAGGGGCAAGGAGGAAAAGCTGCTGATCAGTTGTATCTCTCCCTTTAAATAAAGCTGCTCCTTGTGGCTCCTCTTAGTCCTTCCTTGGTGAGCAGCTCTGCTCAGACTTTAGGCCTATCATGGCTGAAAGCAGGAAGGCTAGAGGTGGAGGGAGTCACGATTCTCCAAAGGGTAGTTTAGCTTCAAAGGCTGTATGTGTCCTGCAAGTCCTGTCAGTGTACACTGAGCTCCCATGATGTGCAAGATGCTGGCAGAAGGGGTGGGTGCACGTCAGCCACCAAACCTGCCCATCCCCACCATCGCCATCCCAGTATCTGGGACACAGCTACTGTTATTGTCATGCCAGGTTACCACCACAGACACAGAAGCACAGACCTAATTAAATAACTCACCTAGGGCCATGGTGCCGGTTCTAGGCAGGTAAGGGATTTGAACTTGGGTGGTGTGGCTAGCAGTCTGTGTGCTGAGCCCGTGCAGCGCAGCCTCAGTGGGGGCACAGGGAGCAGGGTTTGAGGACCAGCAGGCTGGAGAAGCTTTGACAGGCGGACACGGGGAGCATGGGTGGAGGCAGGGAACGTGGCCTTGGTGTTCCATCCCCAGGCTGTGGCCCTTTAGCTCACTGCACTGCAGTTGTGGCCTGGGTTGCCGGGGTGAAGTGCAGGGATGTTGCTGGAGGCACCTGGCCTGCTCCTAGGATCTCAGCTTCCTCCACATGCCGTGTGCACCTTCCTCCCTCTCTCCCACGGTAGTTTGCTGTTCTCCAGGACTTGTATGGATGGTTCTCAAAGGTCCAGCACCATTAAATAGATCTCACTAAGGTGACACTTCTCCAGGTCTGAATATGCTTGTGTCTCCTAGAAGGGGTGAAGAATACTCCTCTTAGCCCATTTTGCATGTATGAGTGGGGGCCACCCACTTGGCAAAGCAGCCTTTGAGAAACACCAGTAACATGTAACCAGGGTAGGGATGTGGCAATGGGCAGGAGGGTCCCCCTTGACATCTATTCAGAGGTCCATAGCCTGGGACTCCTGCTGAGGTGACCTGGGGCGCTTCTGGACCTGAAACCTCCTTGGGTGGCATTGTGTATGGCAGCACCGAATATGGCCAGAGGCCTCCGCATTTGCCAAGCGGGATCCCTATCCCCAAGCACACCAGTGTTTTCCTTAGTTTCTTGCGTAGCAAAGCCCCTCCCCTGGGTTCTTGCTCGCTGCCCCTGTCTCTGCCCCAGACTGTCTGCTGGGTGAGCCTGGGAACTGACCTGGTTCTTTGACTGTGGGAGAAAAGTCACCAGTCACAACCAAGATGCTGCCAAAGTGCCCACCCAGTTCCGTGGTCTTGGTAATATTTGTGGTTAGTATGACCTACATATCGTCACAGCTGCTTTCAGTGGCCGCGTAGAAAAGCAAGCAAGCAGAAAGGAACCTTCCTGGCTGCGGAGAAGCTGTGGAGTAGGCTGGCTGCAAGCAAGGCCTTTGGAGCAGATGGAGCTGGTTGCGGCTCTAGCTGTGGGACTTTGAGCAAGTCATTGGATTTCTCTGATCCTGTTTCCTCATTCGTAAAATGGGCATGAAAAGAGGGAGTTAGGTGAAATGTCTGTCTCATGCTCAGGGCTAACAGCACACAACAAATGCTCAATTCATGGTAAATGGTAATATTCTTGTTAGTAGAGGGCACAAACACTTGTATATCAGCTCAGGAGTATGTCAGTTTCACATTCATTGACATTTACTGTTTCTACTGGTTAAAAAAATTAATGCATACTTGTAAAAAAGTTTAAAGTTCAGAAGAGAAAAAATATAGTTTGGAAATGTAAAAGAACAGAAATTTAAATTCCTCTGAAATCCACCTACAGAGATAATGATCTTTAAATATTTGGTGTAGTTCCTTGCAGTCCTTTTTCTGAGCAGTTATAACGCTGAGAAGTGACTCTTGACACCCTTTCTAGCCCCAGGAGTCCATGGATTCCACAGGTGCAAATACAGATTTTAAATCATCATTTACCAATGTGTGGAACAATGACAAGAAATACGAATTTGTTGCTTTAAAAAGGGGAAAGAAACATGAGTTAAAACAAAATATATTAGCTTAGCACTGGTTTCTTACTCTATCCAATATGAAAAGCAGACACAGTTTTTTTTCCTTTCTTTTAATCTGTATACTGCCATTTCTTATATATATATATATATGTACATATATATATACACACATATATACACATATATATGTATATACACACATATATATACACACACACATATATATACACATATATATACACACACATATATATACATATATATATACATATATACATATATATATATATTTATACTTTAAGTTCTAGGGTACATGTGCACAACGTGCAGGTTTGTTACGTATGTATACATGTGCCATGTTGGTGTGCTGTACCCATTAACTCGTCATTTACATTAGGTATATCTCCTAATGCTATCCCTCCCCTCTCCCCCCACCCCACAACAGGCCCCGGTGTGTGATGTTCCCCTTCCTGTGTCCAAGTGTTGTCACAGTTTTTAAAAAAACTCCTGGCTTGTGCAACATAGAATTGAATTATTTTAGGCTGTTCAGTTTCAAAGACTGTGAATGTTGATGCTCTTGTATCCTTAGTTTGTAATAATGCTATTTCCTCTTTAACACCACAGAACACACTCCATCAGTGGGAGGGCAGCACATCACCTATGATCTCATCAACCCTGTTGTCCCTTCGGGAGGGTCGTGTTGTCTGGCCTTAGGGGCTGGGCTGGCCTGGCCGCACCAAGCACAATTTGACCAACTGTTTCCAGCCTGTCCGTGAACAACAGTCGTTTCCAATATTGGTCTGTGCCATGGACACTGGAGCAACGGTGCTGATGGAGCAGTGCCCTACTATTAGTTTGGTTTTGTTCTTAACAAATAGTCTATATGTGAGTTCAGGGGGTCTGTGTTCACTGTGGCATTGTACCCAAACCAGCCCTCCATTAGGGCCATGGCGTCGGGGAACACCTGCGCTCCCACTACAGCAGGGCTCCCTGGAGCCTTTGGCTCTCTTGATCATTCAGAGCATGCTTATCGTGGGGCCTGGGGTGCCTCCAGACTGCGCCTCCACAGTGGGAGTGCCTGCTGTAAGTGAGCAAACCTAGACGCCTCTTGGTTGTATGTCCGCCTCCCAGATCTTGGGCCTTGCCCTGTTCCAGTGGGCAGAATCCAGGCCTCCTCCTCATTTCCTTTGTACTCATAAAGGACCCATGTTCAGGTTTCTCTTTGCCACCTGTTCAATGTGTCTTTCTGGGACCTACTGTGTGCTGGGTACCGTGCTGGTACTGTAGAGCAGGAAAAACAGAAGCAATGCCCCATTGCCTGCTGCTGGATGGATCCCGTTCTGGGGCTAGTTCTGTTTGGTACGTACCTGCTGTGTGCACATACTGCTCTTGGCACTGAGGACTGTGTGGAGCAGGATGGCCATGGGCCCTTCTCTCTGGCAGCTTCCATCTAGTGTAGACAGATAGACAATATTAAGAGCAAAGCAGATTGTGTTGGACAAAGTAAGTGCTGCAAAGACAAGGAGCATGGGTAGTGGGACAGAGGCGACGAGCAGAGAAGTAGAAGGATCTTCTGCGTGGAATGAGAGACCTCCAAGGCTGGCGTGTGTGGGAGGAGCTGGCTGTGGCTGGGGCAGAGGGACCCCAGCAGAGAACAGGCTGCTGGATATTCATCTGTGCCTGCTGAACCCCTGCTGCAGTCAGGAGCCCCAGCTCTGCCATTAAGCAGTCCCTGGATGACAGTGGGCGTTACCTGGAGTGGCCACGCTCACCCCAAGGAGAGGCTGTCTCCAGAGCCCCAGTGCTGGGCAGCTCTTCCTCATTCCTCGGCATCCCGTGTTTCCTGCTGGTATCGTCCTGAGAAGCTTCGTGGGATGAGATGTCTTGGTGGGGAAAGCCAAGGAGGTAGCAAGTTCAAGGAGCCCCTAGTCTTCCTGTTGACACCCAGGAGGGTGTGGCTTTCAGGCCCCTCCCCAGGCCAGCAGGTCCTGACACCTGAATTCATGTGGAAATGCTGAGCCTCTGAATGGCCTCCTGCTGTGTGAGACTGGGTGGTGTCCAGGAGGTAGTCCCAGGGTGTGGGTGGGGAGATGGGAGATGAGAATGTCCTGAAGCTAGCCTTGTCACCTGAATGTGACAGGACACTGTGGTCAGTCCACCCTCTCCAGCCAAGAGTGTCCAATGTGGAGTGAAGTTATGAATGGGCCCCTAAGCTGGGCCTGAGGAGGCAGCCCCGGGCCCTGGAGCTCAAATCTGTGTTGCCATCATCTAAAACGGGATTGTCCAGAAGCCCATCACCTGTGTGCCCCTGGGGCTCCTGTAACCTGGGCACGCTTTGGGACCTGTGGCTCACTGCAGTCTTGGCTGTTGGCAAAGCAATCATTGTGCATTTCCTGCCTGTCTTGCTTTCAAAAGGAGCCCGAGGGGCCTGGTGTGACTTCCCCCATGGAGCTCCTTAGACCAGACACAGACAGGGCGAGCAGAGGCACGCCGGGGCCTCCTTACCTCCTTCTGGAAGGGGCCTGCTCACAAACCCAGGGACTCAGAGCTGGGGGAGCAGAAGGTCCCAGGCCTCAGGAAGGCCAAACACCTACAGCCCTACCCACAACACCACTCATGTCCGCAGAGATGTCCCTTCCTCTGTAGTGGAAGGGAGTGGGTTCTGCCACCACCCGAGCTGGGGGTGGGGACCCTGGCACATGCCTGGAGTCGGGCTTTCTACCCTCGCCCTGGGCAGGGAGGGCCACGGGGAGATGAATCAGAGGCGGATTCTGCCTTCCAGTAACTCCTTCTTTGTTCTGCTGTAAGTGGAAAGTCAGCCCTCACCATCTCTGCTGCCATCCGCATGACTGCAGACCTTTGGGAAGCCAAACACCACCTCCCTGGGAGCGCTCTTCCTTCCCATCCTTGCCAGCATGGCCACAGACCGGAAGTGGCCCTTCCCAGAGCTGATGTTCCAGTGTGGTCCAGTTTCTGTCCTGGTGTGGAGAGAGGAAGTCCGCTCAGACCCAGGGGTTGGGAGGGCCAGGCCCTAGGCTCCAGGTCCTTTGTTTGAAGATTTTTTTCTGAGCACCATAGCGTTGCATGACGATGACAATCGCACTTCGCATGGCTGGGCGCAGCGTTTCATTCACAACATGCATTTTTCTCACAATGCTTCCTAATTATTTCCTTTGGCAAGGATAGGAGCCTCTTTCTTTAGGATAGCACCTGAGTTCCCAGAGCCACAGTTTTTCCAAATAAGGAGGCATGTGGCTGGTGTCCAGCAGATCCCTTAATGGCTCTGAATGCCCCTCCTCCCTGCGTCCTCAGCAACCTGGCAGACTTCAGCCCAGGAAGGGTGCTGATTGGAGCTGCCTGGTCGGCTTCCAGAAGGTTACCAGGTGGGACCGGGCTCCTGGGGCTTTCTAGCTGAGTTTCTGCACAGCACTGGTCAGTATAAAGAAGCTGGAGAATCCAGCTGGCATCAACCCTGAACTGGGCAGCAGGTGTTCCAGACCTGGCCACACATGGACTCCCCCATCTGTCCAGCACCTTGGAGGTCCCAAAGTGCGTTCTTGCATCCTGTTCATTTCTTCCTCACAGGATCCCTCTGAGATAGGCTCTGCGTGGGCCATGTGGACAAGGAAAGCGAGGCTGAGACTGGGAGGGTCCTGGCCAAGGTTACCCTGAGAAGATAGTGGTTAAGAGAGGGCTTTGACCCAAGTCTGGCTCATGAGTCTGACCCCACTGTGCCAGCGAGACCCAGCTGGGCCTCTTTGCCCTACAGATGAGTGCCGTCAGCTGGGCCAGTGTCCTGGCAGGGGCCCGCAGCCCATCTTGTTCTTGCAAGACCTCTTGAAAGTGTAACACGGAGAGTGAGGCCTGGCCATCCGGGACCCTGGCAGTGCCTGGGTATTTTCAGCTCTGTGAGATGCCCCTGTTGAGTCCATCAGGGTCCCCACGCCAGAGCCCTTCTGGCAAGCCCCTGCTTTACTCCAACCCTCCTGGCATAAAGGAAGCTGGTTGTCCCAGCCTCAGGCACAGCTCTTCTGGAAATCTGGAGGACATTACCTCCTGGCTGGCCTTGAGCTTGGGGCTGCATCTGAGAAACATATCCAAGCCTATGGGCTTCTCCCCATTCACTGAGCAGGGATAAAAATCCTATCAAAATAGTTTTTGAAGAGCAAGGCCCTACCAGTGTCATTGGGGCACATGAGGTGAGGCAGGCAGCCCTCAAGGCTCTGTTTAACTTAGTTATCTGCAGAGCCCTCCGGGACCTGGTTGAAAAATGCTGTCCTGGCCTCAAGGGCACGTGGGTCCTACCTCTTAGGGCCTGGCAGCACAGTCTCCTCCTGGCCAAGGCATCTGGGTGCACAAGGGAAGGTAGGGCCATTTTGTCTACAGCTCCTTTGATTGGTCGAGCACACACCAACACAGGGCGTCGTCTGCCTGTGTGGGCTGGAGAGGCAAGAGGCTCCTCTGCCCTGGGGACTAGCCTGAGGGTTCCAGCTAGTAGATTTTTGCCTTTCTGTGGTTTGCTCGGCCGTTCCCTGGGTACTCTTGCTACCTTCCATATTGAAGGAAGTGGACCCCGAACTGGAGCCATATAGGACAGATGGGGAATGCTGCTGCTTCAGGCCCTCCACCACAAGGCTTCCTTGTGTCATTAAAATACATACTGTCCTTTCCCACTACCTGTGGGACTGGTGTTTGTGATAGCCCTGGAATGTGAGCACCAGGAAACACTGAATGTCACTCACCTCCTTGGACCCCTTGCCTCTGCAGGTGAAGCCACTGAGGCCAGAGGAGGGAAGTGGCTGGCCATGGTCACCCAGGGTTATCACCGTGGGTGACAGGCTGGGACCAGATGTGAGTGCAGCTGTGGGCCGGGCCCCTTCTTCTCTCTAAGGCTGTGGCCACAGCCTCCTCTGACACCTGACAACAGCATGAACTCAGCCCATCCCGGTGTTGCCCAGGGCCTCAGTTTCCTGATCTGTGAATTGGGCATGAGTTCCTTGCTCAGTTCACCCCTGGGCACGGCTGGATGTGAACGTATTGTGCACATGGTAAGACCCTGGCTAGTCCTAAGCCCTGGTATTATGGTTGACACCTACTGAGTAGAAACAGTTGGGAATTGATAGCTTTTCCCTCTGCGGGTTTTCATAACCATTGCTGGACACCGGCAGGGACAAACTTGGGAAAGTCTTGGGACCCAAGTGGAAGAGAGGACTATAAATGAAAAACTAGAGGGGATAATTCCAGCCTCAAAAGCATGCTCGTGCTTATCACACTTTGATGTTGGCTTTGAAATTCTCCAGGTATGCCCTTTGGAAAGGGACTCCTGGAGGGCAGGGGCCTCGCTTCCTGGCCCCTGAGTTCACATTGCTCAGGAGAGCACCTGGTGGACCACAGATGCTTCACAGATGGGGGACAAATAAAGGAACCAGCAAGCAAAGGCTGTCTGGGTTGAGAACCGCCCTCAGTCGCAGTTGTCCTGACGCTGGGGCTGGCGTGAACGTTCCAGGCCCAGTCATAGTAGACAGCAGGGGTGGCGTGTCCCCGCCATGTGCCAGTGCCCAGTCACTGCCGACCTGAGGCAGGGGCTAGACATCTGTGGGGCTCTGCTGACCTTGACCCTCCAGAGCAGGCAGGCCCCAGGGTCGGAAGTCAGCTGACAGTCTCCACAGTGCTCCCCTGAGGAGGAAATGAGGAGGCCGCTGGGCCTCACTGTCTCGGAGGTGGGGGTGGCAGGGGAGAGCAGCAGGAGGAGTGGGGTGCATAGTCCAGGTCCCTGGTGCCGTGTGTGGGATTGTGATTCCGTCCAGCGGCTGGGCTCCCTGCTACAGTGCCTGCAGTTCAGCAGTGAGGGGCCACAGCATGCCTTTATACTGCCTCCCCTGGCAGCCCTCTTAGCTTCATCCCTGCCTGTCCTGTGTAGCTGGGAGGACAGAGCAGAGCAGGCTCAGGAGGATGCCAGGCAGCACCCTCTGCTCAGCCGCACCCCTCCAGCCTCCTTCTGCACCTTTGGGAAGGTGCAGAGGGAAATGGAACACGAGGGAACTGAGTTAGGGCCCTGGGGCCTCAGCTCCTGGAAAAGGCTAGCAGCAAGGCCACAACAGAGCGTCTGAGGGCAAGGTGGTGGCCACCTGGCTCTGTCTCCCTGTGGCACAAAGGGAGAAACCGAGGCCGGCAAGGACAGAAGGCTTGGCTTTGCCCCTGTGCTGAGTGCAGCTGGCCCTGCCTTGCTGCCACCTTTGCTGCAGTGGCTTTGGCTTTGGGGTGGTTTGGGCAGGAAGTGGCCTCTGAAGGGAGATTGGGGGGCTCCCAGTGTCTGGCGTGGCTAATTCACATGCGTGGAGCCTCTCGGTGTGACTCAGCGCCCGTGAGTCCTCGCATTTCTTTTTTCTTTGTTGTCTTAGGTTTGTTTTCATTCTCGTTGAAGGCAAGAGGGGGGTTTCAGAGTTTAGGGCACAGAAAATCCACTTTAGGATGAACCCTTTCTTTTCAAACACATCTCTCTCTCGAAACAAATGGCTGATGGCAAAGGAATATTGGCCTCCTAGCAGGGCTGGGGACATTGTACTGGGGAAATAGTCTGGAAATTGGTCATCTGCAGAAGTAGTTTTCCTTCTGGAGGAGGAATGCCTCACTCTGGGAGGCATTAGGTGGAAGAAAACAGCGCCTCTGGAGTCCTGGGGTTAGGGTTCAGCTCTCGGCTTCGCTGTGCTCTGGCCAGGTAAACTCTGAGCTGCAGCGTCCTCATTTGTAAAGTGGAGATGAGAAGAATAACTTGCCTCACAGGGTTGGTGTGAAGATCACATAGGCCAAAGGGTGTAGAGCGCCTAGCACATCTGGCCACACTGTGCGTGCTTGGCAGATGGCAGCTGCTGTCATCACCATCATCACCATAACCACCGTTACTTTCAGCGTCACAAGCACCACTGCCAAAACCACCATCATTGTCATCATCCAGCGTGGAGGGTCCAACTGGAACGCTTAGAAGACCTAGGCTCATGCCTGGTTCTCAGATTCAGGGTAGACGACACCTGTCCCGCGATGACCTGGGCCTCTTTTACCTTTGGCCTCCTCCAACCGATAGAGAGTCCTTCCTTGGAGGGAGAGGTCTGCCTCCTTAGTGCTTACTCTGGGAGCAGGGCACAGCCTACAGTATTGTAAAATTATCCTATACTTAATTATATTACTAAGAATATCCCAGCTCCATTAGGGAGATAAGTCATCTGATCGATAATTATGTCATCTGTACCTGTCGCCAGCTTGTCTTGTTATGACGTTAGTTTTACTGCTAGAAATATCTAGTAGATGGCTGGAAATCTGCAGGCAAAGTGCAGAGGGAGTGAGCCTGCGAGGAGAGGGCCTGGGCAAGTGACTGCCCTGGGCCGCAGAGTTCTTATCTAAAAAATGGGAACAGTAGTGTCTTCCTAAAGGCACCATGGACTTAAAATGAATGGCGCGTTTCCTGGGACTTATGTATATTTGGTTGCTTATGGGGACTTACGTATATTTGGTTGCTTTTGGGGACTTATGTATATTTGGTTGCTTTTGGGGTCTGAAGGAGTACAAAGAATCAAGTGCACACTTCCCAGTGTGTGAGGGAGACCAGGGACACCGCCAGCCTGAGTTCTGGGTAGGGCAGCTCTCTGGCAGTAAGCCCTCCATCTTACAGGGGGACACTCTGCATGGAAGGCGGCCTTTATCCAGCTGTGAGAAAGCAGACTGAGGCTTGGTCTGGAAGCTCGTTTAGAACAGGCATTGTCCACATCCTTGCAGTGGCTGGGATTTTGGCAATACCTTGTGTTATGCGACGGAGGGCAGACATGTTGGGAGAAACAGCTGCTGACTTGCCTGGAGGTGGGGCCGGCCAGGCCTGCTGTTTCTCTTTCCCACCATGGCTTTGTTGCCTGGGCCAGCCTGCCCTGTAGCACCCTCTCTACCCCATCCTCCATTCTGCTTGGTCAGATGGGTGGTCAGAGGGTGCCAAGCTGGTCCAACAATAGCAGGAAGGCCTCTGCCAGGGTTAGTTTGCTGCCATCTACTGAGACAACAATATTTTTTCTTGGAAGACATGGAAACTTCGAAATAATCCAGGCTGGTTTCCTTACTCCCAGGTTAGAGGTTGAAGAGGTAGGTGCAGAAGGTTCTAGCTGGAGCCTATACGTTTCAGAACTGGAAGGGACCTGTCATTATGTACCTGGTGAAACAGGCCTAGAGAGTTGCAGTCCTTTGCCCTGGGTCACTTAGAAAGTTAGCTGATGATGGGGCAGTGACCAGACCTGGCCTTCCACTGCTGCTGTTGCCTGCCTTTGGCAGTCTGCCCAGCAGGCCTGCAGCTGCTTCTGCAAGTCAGTAGGATACAGCTCTCATCCCCCACCAGTTTCATCCTGTCTCCCGCAAGTGGCTCGCTTGTTGTGGCAAGCACTTTCCACCACCAGTCTCTCCAGTGACGCTGCACATTCGTTAAGGGCTGGGACGGTGCTTTCTCTTCTCAGGGCGGCTTCCCACAATTGCTAATCCCGGCCAGACCCCTTAGCAGCAAAAGGAGCCCCGAACAGGCGGGACAGGTGGACTAGCTCTGAGTTCTGTTTCATCTGTAGGACCTTGGGCAAGTTACTTAACCTTTCTGAGCCTGTTTGCTCATCTGCAAAGCAAAAAAGAGCACCTTTAGGGGCTTGTTGGTGCACGCACCATGCCTGGCCCATTGTGAGGGCATGGTGGAGGGCTCTGCTGTTGCATTTCTAGTGGGTTCTCCCTCGTGAAGCCCCATGGCAATTATTCTTGAGGTCTCATGGCATTCCTATGAGGCAGGCAGGACGAGGTCATTATTGCCATTTTACAGATGGGGGAGGCTCCCAAGGAGCGGGGAGATGTGTGATGATGTTATGGCAGGTGGTGGAGAGCCAGGCCAGGACACAGCAGGCCGCAGCCCATCCTACCCCAGCTTCCCAGACCTTCCCCTCCATGGAGACTGCAGGCTCGTGGGCACCAGGCACACTGGGCTGGAGGCACCCACTGCCCATCTGTCCCTCTCCATCCTGGAGGTTTCCTGCCCAAGGCTTGGCCCTCTGCCGTGCCCAGGCCTGTGGTCTTGAGCGTGGGGTTTTCCAACAGACGCTCCCAGAGCCTTGGATCCTCGATGTGTCTTGGTTTCCTCCCAGAAGCTTGGCTGCTGCAGTGTTCTCAGAGAGAGGGTTTTCTGGAGGAGGCAGGGTGTGCCATTGTGCCCTGCAGGGCCAAGCAGATTTTCAGCATCCTAGGAAGAACCAAGAATGCAGAAGTCTGGGGGTGGTGAGGCCTCAGCCAGCCCCATGGCGTCCCCAGTGCATTTCCTGTTGACTCTCCCCGTGCCCACACCCACTTCCTTTCCCATCCCTGGCTCCACCCTGAGCCCTCTGCTGGCTGATAGCTCCATGTGGCTACTGACCTGCTTCATGCACACGGGGCTGTTCTGGGCTTTGTAGGAAACAGTGACCACAGGCCAGGGTCATCCCTTGAGCTATGAAGCTCCTCCTGTGTCTGGTGAAGCCGAAGACATTTTCCTCGGCTCATCTCAAGCAGCCATCTTGGGTCTGCCCTCAACACTTCAGTGAGGTGCCCTGGGGGAGGGGGTGACCCCGAGGGAGACATAGCCACCCCACCCCATGGGGTGACATGGAAAGGGTACAGGCCTTCCCTGCCCTCTGCTGCTTCCTAGCTGTGACACTGGACACATACCTGCCTCCCTGAGCCTCAGCTGCCACACGAGTGCATTGGTGACATGCATCTCTGCTCACACTTGTTCTGAGGACAGTCCTGCTAATGGAAAGCTCCCGCATGTGGTGGGGTCTTGGCGACAGCTTTCCTTTTCTTCTCTTGCCTGCCTGTCTACAGGGAGCTTCCAGTTCCTTTGGAACTTCAAAATGTACAGATCAACACTCTGCTTGAGACCCTGAAAAATCTGATTGTCGCAGCTTGGGGAGTGGGGTTTATGAGCAAGAGAAACACCCGAGGCCTGGAGCCTTGGGGCCGCTCCTCAGAGACAGGGAGATTTGCCGTGGCTTTCTGCGCCATTCATCCAAGTCACTTAGACTCAGAGTCCCCATTTATGAAATGGGTCTAGTAATAAACTTGAGAGCTTCAGGGCAGTGATACACATTAAATGAGATGATATTTTCCCCACGTGCTTGGCAGAGTGCCCAGCACAGCCTGACCATCAGCACATGCGGCCCCGATGCCTCGCTGTGCATCCCTTCCCAGTGTGTGCCGCTCACCAGTCCTGCCTCTTCATTGAGTTTGGGCTTCTCTGAGGTGGAGGCTGTTCTCCTTCTGCTCCCAGTTCCCATCGCCTGCTGCAGGGTCTGCCAAGGGAGGGCTTGCTACCCAGGAATGGCCCGGCCAGGAGGCTGGCTGTGTGAGATTCCAGGGATGGGGCCTCACTTAGAACCTGGAGAGGTCGACACCCATACACCCACATTTGCCTGTTTGCTTGCCTTGGGTGCTTCTGCAGTGGGCAAGAGATGCCAGTAGTTTTCCCAGACTCCCTGGCATCCATCATGGCTGCTTCCAGCCTCCCCTTAAAGTAATGGGATGAATCACCCCAGTATTGCAGGCTCATGAGTTAGATAAGAAGGGAAGTCAGAGTTCACATAAGGGGGTTGGCTGGAGGCCAGGTCTCCCAGCAGCAGGAGGAGACTGGGCAAAAGAGCGTCACAGGGTGGCCATCTGAGCTGGAGGGCAGGGATACTGAGGGAGCCGTAAAGCCCTGCACCTATCGGGAACCTCGTCTCATGTATTCCAGAGGCTCCGGGCTGGGAGCAAAAAGACCAGGGAGGAAACAGAAGGCGCCGGCACAGCAATGGGAGGGCCTTGGCCTGTGGTAGATGGTAACAAAACGGTTCCGTTTGTTCTGGGATTCCTTACACGCTTGGCTGTAGAATGGCACGTTTCTCCTCCTCTCTCCTGTCAGGCATTAGAGGCCTGGGGAAGATGTTTGAGCCCATTGCGGGGCCAGAGCAGATACAGCCCATCTGTATTGAAGCCACGATGGAAACATTCTTGAAGGCACATAGCAAATGCCTAAAGAAAGCGAGCTGCACTCACACAGGCAATCAGAGGGAGAGACGCTGTGATGTGGAGTGACATGGGGCTTGTGGGTCTGTGGAGAGCTGTCCTTCATGGGAGGATCCCTGACTCCATCCGCTAGATGCTCATTGTTCCCCCTCCCGCAGTCATGACAAGTGGTCCTCAGCTGGGGGCAACATTGCTGTGGTCGAGAACCACTGACTGGAGTAAAAGGCCTTGACCTCCCTGGTGTCTGCAGTCCCTGAGGCCCTGTTACCTGTTTGGCCTCAGACAGGAAAGCTGATCCTTCTGAATTGGGCAGTGGCAAAGGAGACGCACCTTCTCGGTGCCCACTCAGCTCAAATGCCATGCAGTGTGGGGTGGAGCTGGGCGGCAGGGCATCCTGTTACCTGTAGACACAGAGGCCTGCTGCCCCCGGGACAGGCTGTTTACCCTTATTGGCCCCAGGTTTTCCATCCTGGCTATCCCTGAGTCCAAGTCCCTAGGAGCTGGGAAGGATGGTCACATGATGGTTTCCTGGCGCACTTCTGCCAGCTCCCGGGTGATGCTGGGGTCTCCTGAGCCCCTCGAATGAGGCCAGGCAAGCAGGCGTTATGCCAGACAGCCGCCAACAGTGTGCGTCGCTGCTTTCCATAAGAAAAGGCGCCTGAGACCCACTGCCAAAGCACAGAGCCATCTTGCCCATTAATCAGGATTTCAGGATTCTTGGAGTGATCTTAGCAACTGCCTGGCAAAATCCCTACTCAATTTACCCTCACCTGTCTGCCTTCAGCAGAGGCTGGGAAGGCTGTGGGTGGAATGGGGGTGGGGTGGGGAATGCTGCCGGCGTGGGCCCATCTTGGGCCCCTAGAGCCTGTCTCAGGGGCTGAGATTTTGCATCTCTCAGCAGGGCCTGAGGGGGCACTCTGAATTAGTGTTATTGTTATTATTGCTCTCAATGATTACTGTTCTCCATTTTCAATTTTAAAAAATTAAAGAGAAGAAGGGATTTTCCCAGTTACTGTGTTGAGGAAGAGGCTGAGAGAGCAGATAGGCGGTCTTACCACAGAATGGCGGTGATGGCAGGGCCCACTCTGCACCTGAGGCCTCCAGGGAGGGCCCGAGTTGCCCCGGCTACCCCATCCTATGCCGAGGGCTCCAGCCAGCTCCTTGTGGCCACAGGTACCCTGGGCCCTTGCTTGAGGCTAAACCTGGTCATGACTTTGCTGCGGTCCCCAAGGTGACCTCTGCTTGGCGCCCTTGCCTTGTGGCCTGGCTTCAGCCCTGCAGGTGACAGTCATGTGGCTCCTCCCCCTGGCATTCAGGGGGAGAGCAAGAGGCAGGCCCCTCAGAACTCTGGATGTGGAGGGGCCACCATCACCTACTTAGGGACAGATGTTCTTGCAGCACCGAGTCCTGCAGCAGAGGGACTGATGCGCCGTCCCCTTCCATCTCCCAGCCTACCTGTCAGAGCAGGCTCTGGCTGGAAAAGCCAGCCCAAATGGCCCTCTTCTGCCTCCCTCCCCCATGCCCATCCCTGCTGCCACCCCCAGGACCCATCTGCACTCTCGGGTTCCCTACCCACAGCCATGTGGGAAACTGACATCCCAAGCTTCTCTGAGCACCCCAGGAAGGTCACCTCTCAGGCCTCCCTCAGTGGCAAAACCCTTTGAGTGGTACATTTCTGAGCTGTTCCTGCCAGGAGGAAACCCTGGTAATTTGGAGAAGGGTTGCTGAGTGCCAGGCAGGTCAGCCAGAAGTGATGTGCATTTCACTGAAAGAACAGAGTTGCCACCCACATCTTCATTTCTAGGCTAGGAGCTGTCCTGGAATTCTAAAGGGAAGGAAGGAAGGAGGGCGGGCAGTGAGCAGCCCCAGCCCTGTCTCTGGGGGTTCTAATTGGCCTTTGCAGAGCCAAAGCTCCTAGGTTTGCTGGCAGAGGACGTGAAGGGGCTGTAGCCACTGGTAGTGCTATGAGTTGCGGTCTTAGCTGTCACTGGGTAAGGGCTGTGTGCCATGACTGTGCTAGCCCAGCTAACTCGGTGAGCTAGCTCTCCTTACCAGCATTTTCCAATTGAGGCAGGCTCGGTGGGGCCAAGTGACCAGGCGGTAGACAAATAGCTGCAAAGTGGCCAGGCCTGGGTACCCTCTTCCCCCAACTATAAGCAGCTCAAGGCCTGGTGGCTTGTGGCCCACCAGGTGCCCTGGGAGCAGGCACCGGGTGGTGAATTTACCCTGAGTCACATCTTCGTTGGAGCAAGGCCAGTTTTGCCCTTTCTTCCCGAGCAGGTGTGGAGGCCCCTGGCATGAGCAGGAAACACTAGAATGTTCCAGAGACCCAAGGGACCAGCCTTTTCTGGGGGCAGATGCCATGTACAGATGGGCATCTCCAACCTCTGGATGCCCTGTGTCTCTCTGAGGATGGGGCGGTGGTCAGAAAGGGCCCTGTCTTCCTAGCCTGCTGGCCGCTCCAGGAGCCGCCCAGCGTGCACCGCTGTGCCTCATCTTCTGAGCCTTCCATCCTCACTGCTCCTGGGGGCAGCCCTGTGGGGGAAATCACGTTTTTAATTAGCCTGGTTCGGGATGGCGGCTCTAAAGCTCCGGGCCGTGAATGCAGCCTCTTCGCCTTTGGAATCCGCTGCCAGTGGACACAATGTAGCTGTAGGAATGAAAACAAGAGAGAGAAAGGCCCACAGGCTCAGATTTTTAATTGGCACTGTCCTCCCAGCCCTGCACCCCCCCGCTGGCCCTCCCGGGGCTCTGTTTGGGCGGCCGGGCCCGGGCGACGAGTGATGGAGGCTTTCACAGCTTCAGACTGATTTAAGTGGACCTGTATAGATTCCTGCAGCCACGCTGAAAGAGCCAGGCGCAATCACCGCGCCGAGAAACCCTGGGAAATTTATCAGCCACCTGCGCGTCGTGAATAGGGAGAACTGCTGAGGGCCCTGCCGAGCCGCCTGGGCTTCAATGGCCCCACAGCCCAGCCTCACAGAAGAGATTTTTCTAAAGCTGCAATTAATTTTTTTCCCCTCAATCAATTGGAAGTTGCTTTCTTGCTTTCAGCTGGGTGAGTGTGATCCTTGATTCTGTGATTCTCCCTTAACCTGAGCGTTCCAACAATTGACGTTTCTCTCCAGAGACAGACAGCTTTATTTCCTGTCGGCCATCTAGGAAGAGACATTTTTGTTTGTGTTTTGTGTGTCCTTTTCGTGCTCTTTCTTTTCTTTCTTTAAGATCATCTCAAGCTAACAGTGAGAAAAAAGGCATATGTGAGCGATTCTGCCTCGACAGGTCCCACGATACCGTCAGGAATGTCCGTTTTTCTTGCTTTCATGAAAACACTGTGGGGTCTTACTTAGAGGAGACAGTGGTAGAGATGAAAGAAGGAAGGAGAGGAGTGCATGTAATGCGGAAAGGAGAAAGGCAGTCTTGCCGGACTGCCAGAGAGCCGTGTGCTGCAGCTTCAAGAGGTTTCTCCTAGACCGACCTCCACCCTGCAGGAACAGTTATGGGGACAATTCTTGGCTCCTATTTAATTTTACAATGAGAACCAATTCCACTGCATAAGAAGAGAAGGCCACCCTTTCTGCCTGGAGTCACTGTCTGAAAGCTTCTGTGATCGGCAGTTGCACGTGCCCCTGTGTCTCGGGGATCCTGACTCACGGGGATTTCAGGTTCCGTGTTCACTCAGGGACATTGCTGCCGAAGGATGGCAACCATTCTGGCTGCTGTGGCAGAGCGGGACACCTGCAAGCCAGCCTGAGCACCCATCTGCCTGTTGGGCCACCGGGCAGCTTCTGCAGATGGGAGTCATCAGGCTTGAGAAGGTGACATCTGGGCTATGCCGGGCTGCCCTTCTGTTTTGGTAGAGTCACTGCCTTCACTGCCCCACCCTTGAAACTGGCTTGCTTTTGTCACAACCACCGGAGAGGCGTTGGTGTGAGAGTGAGACCCGTCACTGTGGACGTGTTCACACGCATGGCGCTCTGGCTGTCCTCTCCTTCCCTGGAGCCCGTGCCTTTGTTAAGATCTCTAGGACCTGCTGGCATGGCAGCTTGCCCGTAAAGCCTCTCAGCAGGGAGGGCTACTGTTCTTGAGGGTGAGAGACAGAAGTGGCCGCCCTGTGGTCTGAGCCTGCCCGGCACAGCCACTGACTGCACTTGTGGTGACTGTCAGTTAGGGCTCCGATGGCTTATTCTTCCTCGAGGAACACTCACGTTCTCAGGGTGGGCATGTATGCACACGTGTATGCACGCACGCCATTTGTTCAGTTGTGTACCTGCTTTAGGCTTCCGGCTCTCCAGCTGGGTGACCTTAGCAGGTTCCTCAGCCTCTCTAGGCCTCTGTTTCCTCAACTATAAAATAGTATCACTGGCACAGGCCTCCTGGGGGTTCTGGAGGAACCAGCGAGTCGCGGTGTGCCAAGTTCCTTTCGCAGTGCCCAGCACATAGTTAGGATCTAGTTCATGGGACCTGTAAGTCTTATCAGTGCTTGCCGTCTTAATAAGACCCACCTGTTGACACCTGGGACCGAGGGTCAAGAAGGGGCTCCTCTCCTCTCTGGCTCCCAAGGAAGGGGCCTCTTGCAGGCACAGTGGATCCAGTGTGTTGGGGGTGGGTGGTGCTTTTCCCCTAAGGCCATGGTGGTTGCTCCCTCGAGGATTTTAGAATCTTATCTCTGAGTTCCCCGTGACTCTCGGCTCCTGTTTTCTAGTGAACATGGGCCTCAGTGATGACACATGGTTGTCTGGCAGTTCCTTTTTGTGGTAGCCACTTGCTGATAGAAGGAGAGGCACCTCCCCAGTGGGTTCTGTGCTTTCTCTGAAGCACCAGATGTTGGTGCCAGGACAGAGTTGGCTCATCTCCTAACTTGGGCTGAGCCAGTGATGGTCTCAGCCAGAGGCTGGGGCCCTGTCCTGAAGCTGGTCTTGGGGTAGTGTTCTCACTATTCCACCACAGCTCACACTTCCCATCTGCACTGGAAGGGTTACTGGGGGCTCAGAGTTAAACTGGCCCCAGCATTATTGGTCACTGTAGAAACTGCAACATGTTGAAGTGAATCCAACATATCGAGGAAGAGGTATGTGTGTGACGTGTGAGCATTTACCTTTAAGGGAAGGAACTGGATGAGAGCCAGTCGGGGTCCGTTGGAGGCTGCCCGGGACTCTGGACAGCCCCTGAGGGTGTCTGCTCTGGGCACTGTGCTGGTTTCTTCCTGTTTTGTCTTACTGGTTTTGTCTTCTGGGTGCTTTCAGCCTCTCCCACACACATCATTTGTCACCTAGGCGGGGTATGCTCCAGAGGAAAGTAAAATACCCACAGCCTTTGTCCCTTCCTCCCATCTGGCTGAGGGCTCTTCCTAGTGTGGGGTCAGCGGGGCGTGCCCTCTGCGGCCTTTGCCGGGCTGTTGCCTCACTCTGCTCTGCCGCAGCGGGGGCTGTCTTTTTCCTCCTCCTCTCTTCCTGCGCTCGGGGCTGTATTGCATGGTGGTCAGCGCCTGATCCCGGATTCAGACTGCTGGCACCTAGATCCTCCCCACTCACTCCCTGTGTGGCCTCACCAAACCTCTGATGACAGTAGCGCCCCCTCCCAAGGTTGAGGTGAGGGTTTAGTGGGGCGATCCCATGGAGCTCAGGGTAAATTCTTAGTAAACATTAGCTCTGCCATCATTCGAGGCTCTGCAGCTGCTAGGACACCAGAACGAACCTCCAGAAATGCCCTGCCTTTGTTCCCAGGACAAGACAAGATTCTAGGGGATGACGGACTGGTGGGATTCATGGCATCTCCACCTTTGGGTTGGTTTTCTGCACAGGAAGAAACACATGGATTTAAGAATGATTTAGGGTGGCTCCAAGCCCTGCACATTCTTCAGGGGCCATCTTGGTGTGCCCCCTACTCCCCTTGTTATCCCAGCCACTGCCTGCCCTTTTCTGGGCCAAGGCTTGGCTGCTCAGGAACACGATCCCTCCCCAACCTGCCGCGCAGAGCTGTGCAGGCTGAGGGTGCTGGCCGGAGAGGTGTGGAGGGCCTGAGGCTGTGCTGCTCCTCACACTCGCAGACAAGCCCACGGGGTGCACCTGAGAATGCACCTGTAGCAAGGTGCAGCCGTCAGGGCTCCCTGAATTGCCTTCTTTGCTGCTCCAGTTGGTGTGGTGGCTCTGCCCAAGGGCTTTCAGCCTTGTAGTTGGGAATTTTTACCAAGCAGCAGGCAAGGCTTGCTGGGGGTTCCTAGGGGTAGAAAGTGATTTTCTGCCATCCTGAATTCTGGTATTTTATGGTAGCAGTGAGGTGCAGCGTGGTGGTTAAGGGTGGGTGCAGGCTTTGAACAGACAGATCTGGATTTGAACCTGGCCCTGCCACTGCCTCTCGGTGGGAGTTTGCCCAAACCAACCTCTGTCTCTCCAGGTGTAAAAGGAGGCTGGCAGAGCCTGTCCCTTGTGCCTGGATGATGAGCTGATGGAGGTGAGAGGTCCCCCCATGCCCGCCCCAGGCATCTGTCTCCAGCACTTTCACTCAGACGCAGCTAGGCACTCTGGGATGCGGGCGCTGTGTTTGTATATTCTGCCAAGCATTTAAACAGTAATGAACAAAAGGGGAAAATATAGAAAGGGGGGGAAAAGCCTATCAGAAAATTCATAGTTATGTTGAGGTGTGTCCCTGGGAAAGTCAAAAGAACAGAGACCCACCCCGGCCAACCCTTCTGGAGCCTGAGTTGGGCCTCTGAGTGGGAGCCCCACCTGCCAAGCACCCTGGGCCTTGAGCTGGGTCTTCCCAGGACCCCTTCTGATCCAGCCTGCACAGCTGCCTCGAGAGGTCTGCCTCGTGATGCCCACCATGACCCGCCCAAGGCCACTCAGCTAGACAGAGCAGATTTTCTATTTCTGTGTCTGTTTGGTGGCAAACAGCATGCCCCGGGCTGCATGCCCACTGCTGAGGATGGGCCCTGTCCTCAGCCCTCTTGGGGATCTCCTGGCACCTCCAGTACTCTTTAAGGAAACATTTCCTGAGTGCCTGAACCTGGCACAGAATCCTGACCTCCTGCTGGGGTGGGTCTGGCCCGGTCCTGGTAGAAAATACAGAACCCAACCCCCCATGGCCCACCTCTGAATCCCTGTGGTCCAGAAGCCCTGAACTAGGGGCTCCCTGTCAGGTGTCACATTGGGTTAGAGAGACGGGACTTATATGGGCAAGAGGCTGAGCCACCCCAGGAAGGGTCCCTGGTGGGTAAGTCTGGGGTGAGTCTCCCCACATCTCCACCCAATAGCTAAGCCAGTATTTGGTTTGCCTCCAGGTGAGAAAAGCCTTAGCAAATGCAGTCTCCAGCAGGTCCTGTGGGGCTCAGGGAACACCAGGGCCCTACATATACTTTGTCCCCACCACTCACTTCTGGCGCTGCAGGTGGGGCCAGCTGAGCCCAGAGGAGCAGAATGTGCCCAGGAATGTCCTTCCACACCCACCACCAGCGGGCATGTCCATGGCCAGCTGCCCTGCTGGACGTGCTGGGATGTGCTGGCCAAGCCTTGCTGGTCTGCCACCTTGTCCTCGCCCCTGAAGGGCTCCAGTAGCCAGCGAGGGCCAGCATGGCCTCCCCCGCCCCAGCATGCCTGGGGTCTCTGCTTTCATGGACTGTTTGTGGGTGGGGTGAGGTGGTCAGTGGTCCTCCTTGTGCTGTGTCTGCCTGGGGCTGCTCGTGGGCAACGTGGGTCACTCCCTCTGTCGTGGTGCAGCTGGCACCATCAGGTGCTGTTCAAACCCCTCTGAGCCCCGAGCTGCTTGTGATCTCATTTCAACTCCATGCAGCCCCTCTAGGGCAGTTTTATTTCCCCATTTTACAGATGGGAAAAGAGAAACTCAGATTGCGTAACATGCCCAAGGAAGCACCGGTCCCAGTGTTTTGTTTTGTTTTGTTTTGTTTTTGAGGTGGAGTCTCTGTCACCCAGGCTGGAGTGCTGGAGTGCAGTGGTGCAATCTTGGCTCACTGCAAGCTCCGCCTCCCAGGTTCATGCCATTTTCCTGCCTCAGCCTCCCGAGTAGCTGGGACTACAGGCGCCCGCCACCACACCCTGCTAATTTTTTTGTGTTTTTTGTAGAGACGGGGTTTCACTGTGTTAGCCAGGATGGTCTCAATCTCCTGACCTCGTGATCCGCCTGCCTCAGCTTCCCAAAGTCCTGGGATTACAGGTGTGAGCCATGGCGCCAGGCCCGGTCCTAGTGTTGACAGGCAGGATCCCACCCCAAATGGATCATCATTTCAGTCCTTCATTCAGCCACCTGACCCTGTTTTTCCAGGCATCAGGGTTGCAGCCCACAGAGGCACTCAGACAGGGAGGGCCCACCAGCTCCTGGGTGCGGGGGGCTCCAGAATGGAGAGCGAAATTCCCTCTGCCTGCACAGAGAGGCTCCATGGAGGCTTTGATAGGGCTGGGGTGGCTGTTTCATTTCAGCTGGGCTATGCAATGGCAGGAAGAGTCTTTCGGGAGAGAGAGGTTTAGGAAGCGGGCGATCCTGGCCTATGGAGGGCACTCCATGGGAGGGGCTCCATGTGTCCAGGGGAGCCTGAGTAGGCAGGGAGGGTATGAGTGAGATTGGCCTGGAGATACCGGGCCTTTAGCCCTGGAGTGAGGTGTTTGCTTTTTATTCTGAGAGCTTGGGGAGGAAGGTGCTGGATCAGGTTTGAGACACATTGAGCTGAGAGGAGCGTGGGACATCAGCAGGGACATGCCCATTGGGTCTGGAGCTCAAGATGGGATCTGGCCTATGGTGGCCATTAGGGTGGTCAGCAGTACAGGTCTGAGTTGGATTTGGTGCCCGGTCGCAAGTTGCATCGAAGCTAGTCTCGGTGCAGTGGCTTTGCAGGGTAGGGCAGGGACACCCGGGGCTCAAGCCGAAGACCCTCATTGTGCAGATGGGCCCAGAGCAAGCAAGACTTCCCCAGGGCATGCCCAGCACAAGGCGGCTGGAGCCAAAGCCAGGCACCCACGTCCTGCCAGGTACGTCCTGGACCTGCGCTGCCTCATGGCATGTCTGGTTGTCTCCTGCCACCTGCGGACCCTGTGAGGCCCAGCACCAGCAAGGGTGACCCAGCCCCTGCTCAGAATGGAGGAGAGATGGAGGTCCCCAGAGGTGCATCTAGACCCCATTTCCAAGGGGGCCCTCTCGAGTGGGAGCAGGGAGCATTTTGTCAGAAAGGGCAGCCTCTGGAGGGTTGTGGTGACTGCTTGCTCCTGGAGTTTTCTGTGCTGAGGCCTCTTTGGGCAGATAAATCAGTTGTGTTTCTGCAGCGCTTGCCTGCCTTCTCCTTATGACTTCTGTTTTGATGTTGGGAGGAAAGAAGTCTCGCTCCCCCCAGATCGAGAGGAAGTCTAGCTGCACCTGACTCTGGGAACTCCGCCTCTGCATCTCTTCTGCTTGGTGGGTGTGAAAACACGGCCAGTGGGAGCGGGGCTCTGGCGTCACAGACATCAGAACTGCAGACACCTGGCCCAGGTGTCCGTGTTCTGTGTGTCCTGCGGCCACCGAGGCTGCTCACAGACATGAGAGGCCATTCCCCACCCAGAACCATTGGTGACAAACAGGCAGCCTCCTCTAACCTCCGCAGGATGGGGCCCGGCCTGGCAGCTGCCCCCAGTGGCCAACGTGGGCCTCTGTGGACAAGACAGGTGCAGCTAAGGCTGCAGGTGCAAAGCAATCCCAGGGTGGGCGGGCAGGGGGCCACCTGAACCTCTGTACAGCAAAACAGTGTTTTCCTGGGATCTCCCTCTTCCTGTTGTTCTGTGAAAGCACCTACCAGCCATGTGAAAAGCCACCCGGCTAACCACCCACATGCAGGCGTCTGGCACAGGGTGGCTCACTGGCCGTTCAGGGGTCGGCCCCTCCTGATGTTTGCATGTCCCCCTTGTGTGAAACTCAGATTTAATTTGGTGATTATTAAAGTGCAGGAACCTGGGGCTGGTAGAGGTTTTTTGTCCACAGATTTTGCAAAGTGCCGTTAAAAAAAAAAATTCATACGCTTTGTTGCTACCAATAAAGAGAAAAGGAAAGAAAAGAACTTTGGTAGAGAAACATCGAGAGATTTTAATATGGAGATGGGGTGGGAAT
Organism: Homo sapiens; assembly: GCF_000001405.40. Lineage (NCBI taxonomy): Eukaryota > Metazoa > Chordata > Mammalia > Primates > Hominidae > Homo > Homo sapiens. The sequence continues at coordinate 124,636,192 of NC_000010.11, read as the reverse complement.
TCGACCTTGGAAAACACAAGCGATCATGTGAATAGGATTTTGGCCTTTTCTAACTTAGTGTGTGCTCTGCTCTTAAGATAAATACACACACACAGAGATAGACATGGCATTTCATTTTCGGACAGTACATTCACGTGTTCGAAAATTAAAACAACATACAGAGTAAACTCTTGCCCCATCTCTCCCATCTCCCATGCCCTCAGATGGACCGCTAGTTTCTTGTGCTCCTTTTTACAATATAAGCAAATAGGAATTTCAATTCTTATTATAACAGAGGAGATAATAGCATGCAATACATACCTTGCTGTATCTTGTTCTCTTGAATAGTAAACCCTGGAGGTGTTCTCATGCCCTTTTTTTTGGCTGCACGGTGTTCCACTGCACAGATGTACCCACTTTGTGGGGTCCCCTGCCGACTCCTCCGGGCTGCTTCAGCTGTGAATTTCACGTGCATGAGTCCCTTTGGGCATGGGAGATCCGTCTTCTGCAGGGTCCGTTCCCATTGGGATTGCTTGGTCACACGTCGTGTGCCTTTGGCCTCTTGGAGGATGTCGCCAGGTTAACGCTGTAGGAGCCCTTCCTCCCTGCATCTCAGAGGGCCACGTTCAGGGTGGTTTGTTTCCCACCCCACCTCTCAGTAGAGGCTGGTCCAGCAGTTGACATTTTCACAACCAGATAGGTAAACGGTTTCTCTGTCATTTTAGTTTGCGTTTTTCTAATCAGTTGAACATCTTTTGTATATTTAAAGGCTATTTTTATGTCCTTTTCTGTGTTCTTTTCATTTGCCCTTTTAAAATAATTGTGTCGGCCGAGCGTGGTGGCTCACACCTGTAATCCCAGCACTTTGGGAGGCCGAGGCAGATCACAAGGTCAGGAGTTCGAGACCAGCCTGGCCAATGTAGTAAAACCCTGTCTCTGCTAAAAATACAAAAAGTTAGCCAGGTGTGGTGGCGGGCCCTGTTTTCCCACCTACTCAGGAGGCTGAGGCAGGAGAATTGCTTGAACCCAGGAGGCAGAGGTTGCAGTGAGCCGAGATCATGCCACTGCACTCCAGCCTGGGTGACAGAGCAAGACTCTGTCTCCAAAAACAAAAATAAAAATAAAAAATAAAATAATTGTGTCATTGGTCGTTTTCTTCTCAATTGTATATTAGGGAGATTAATTTTTGCCTGTGATATGAGTTACAAATATTTATTACTAATTTGTTCTTTGTTTTCTGACTTTGCTTTTGACATTCTTGAGCTTTATTGAGATATAATTCATATACCACACAGTTCACCCATTTAAGGTGTACAACTTAGTGGTCTTGAATATATTCACAGAGTTCTACAGCCATCACCACAATCAATTTTAGAACATTTTTATCACCTCAAAAGAAAGTCCATACCCCTTAGCAGTCACTCCCCGTCCCCTTCAGCCACCACCACTCCCAGCCACTGGCAACCACAAAACTGTGTTCTGTCTCCATGGGTGTATTAGTGCGTCCTCACGTTGCCATAAGGAAATACTTGAGACTGGGTAATTTTAAAGGAAAGAGTCTTAATTGACTCACAGTTCCACATGGCCGGGGAGGCCTCTGGAAACTTACAGTCATGGCGGAAGGGGAAGCAAACACATCCTTCTTCACATGGCGGCAGGTGAGAGAAGTGCTGAACAAAGCCCCTTATAAAACCATCAGCTCTCGTGAGAACTAACTATCACAAGAGTAGCATGAAGGTAACTGCCCCCATGATTCAGTTACCTTCCACTGCGTCCCTCCCACGAAACGTGGGGATTATGGGAACTACAATTCAAGATGAGATTTGGGTGGGGACACAGCCAAACCGTATCAGTGGGTTTCCCTATTCTGGACATTTCATATCAATGGATCCATGAAATATGTGGCCTTTTGCGTCTGGCTTCCTTCACTTAGCGTCATGCTTTCAAGGGTCATCCACACCGTAGCATGTATCAGTATCTCCTTTCTTTTTATGGCCAAATAATATTCTGTTGTACAGCTAGACCACATTTTATGTGTCCATTCACCAGTTGATAGACATTTGGGCTGTTTCTACTTTTTGGATATTTTGAATAACACTGTTGTAAATGTTTGTGTACAAGTTTCTACATAGACATATGTTTTCATTTCTTAGACATGGAATTGCTGGGTCTGATGGTAACTCTGTGTTGAACATTTTGAGAAGCTGCCAAACTGTTCTCCGCAACGACTGTACCATCTTACATTCCTACCAGTGCTTTTGGCATTTTTTGACATGTAAATGTTTTTATCAAATTTATTACTTATTTCTTTTATGGCTCTGGATTTTGAGTTTTAGAAAGGCCTTTTTTTCTCACGAGATGATAAAGGAAGTCTCCTGTTTTCTTCTAGTACTTTGATGGGTTATATTACACTCTTTGGTCTGTGTTGAGTTTATCTTGTATGTGGTGTGAGTATGGAGCCAGCATTTTCTTTAATGTAGCTGCCTGTCTGTTTCAGTACCATCTGTTGAGAATGCCATCTTTTCTCCTCTGCTTTGAGATTCTACCCTTATCATATACCAAACTGGGTCTATTTCAGAACATTCTGTTTCATTGGTCTCTGTAGGTATGCATGTACGTTCATACTAATATGCTGTTTTAGTTATGGAGGCTTAGTAATGTGTTTTGGCATATTATATGGTACGGGCTAGTCTAGGAGGGTTAGCTTCCCCACTGTTCTTTACAGAGTTTTCCTGACTAATCTCACTTGTTTATTTTTTCATTAAAAACTTGAAAATTAGTCTGTCTTAAGACCATGGGGATTGGGAGTACTGTTGATATTTTAGATTGGGATCATATTAGACTTCTGAATTAATTTAGGGAGAATTTACACCTTTTTGAGGTTGAGTCTTCCTATCCCTCACACAGGATTTATTTCTATTTGTTCAGTCTTGCTTTTCTGTTCTTTAAAGTTTTTTTTTTTTTTTTCTATCAATTTTCCCAGTTCTTATAAGTTCATTCCTGGGTATTTTATCTTTTGTGTTGCTGGCGTGTCTTCTTGCTCTTGAAAGCAGATTGTTGTTAGCAAGAGTGGTTGGATATAAGCAGAGCTCCCAGACCCCTTTGCTGTGGCCTTGCTGTGTCCACAGAGAGACAGAGGCACAGTTGTGGGGTGGAGTGTGGGAAGGGGGGATCGCACCCTTGGTGGTCTCTATTTATCCCTCCAAACACTTCTGAGGCTTTGAGGCTCTTATTAGCCTTGTACACATGAGAAACTGAGGCACAGAAGTTTAATGATTTGCCAAGTTCCCTCAGGGCACACCCGAGCTGGGATTCCAGCCCAGGCCTGTCCAGCCCATACTACCCCACCGTCCTGCCGGAGGACTGCATGCTTTCCTGAGCACAGCCCAGAGTGATGGGGTGCGATTGCACATCACGCAGCTGTGCAGTCTGGGGCATGTCCCTTCTCCTCACTCGGCCTCTGTCTGCTCATCTGCAAGAGTGGCTAAACCAGTTGGTGATTTGCTCACTTCTCCAAGAGTGTGCCCTCCATGGAAGACAATATCTGGAACAGAGTTGTGAGCTGCTGGGGTGGAGCCCAGAGGCCGTGCTCAGCAGTCCTGTCTTCAGCACCCCGATGTGGCCCCAGGCAGCTGAATGCGAACGAGTGCCCACCAGCCCCTCTGAGAGCCTTGGACATACCTTCTGCATCGCTAGTCCTGCTCAGAAGCCACCCCCAAAACTGTGAGCCCTGCTGGTCGACTCTATTCAAGGTCTGTGGGCGCAGGCAGTACATTAGCCTCGGCCCCCCGCCAGAACCCTGTGTGCTTTGGAAAGGTCCCTTGACTTTTGTTAGGCAAAGAATTCTCTTCACGCCAAGCTGCGAGCGAGGTGGTTTCACGAGTCCTGTCCTGAGTGTGTGCTGGCTGGAATGTACACCACAGAAACAAAATGTTTGTTTTCCAATTGTGAGAGCACCGGGAGGCCCTTTGGCGTCAGCTCCCACACCTTCTGTGTTCGGGCAGGCCATCTGCCATCTGGGGCCTGGTGCAGAAACGTCGCCACCGTGTGGCCTGTGGGGTGCCCTCGGAGAGGGGCCCCTGGGTTGGCCACCATTCAGAGGACACGCGTGGCTCTGGGCCTCCAAGGTCTGTTCTTACCCACGGCATCCTGGGGTGTAGGCCTCAGGACCCCAGGGCTGTGCAAACAGAGGCCCAGTTGGGAGGGCCGACCGGGTGGGCCCTTCCTTCCTACCTACCCTCTGCCCCCAGGCTGCACGATGCACCCACTGTGAACCAGGCCGTGGCATGTGGGGTCAGGGTTCCCTGCACGCTTGGCAGGAAATGGGGTACACACAGGAGCTTGGGCCTGCTTCCGGAGTGGCTGCTGCAGAGGCGGGTTTTGGTGGGAGAGAAGGAATCTGCCAGTGAAGAGGGAGACAGGGCGGGGCCGTCAGGATGGTGCTGACCCAGGGCTGGTGCAGAGGGGGTTTATGTGGCTGAAAGAGGTTTGCTATAGAAGGAGTCAGAGCCTGAGTGGGAGCAGCAAGGGCGGAGGGCCCAGGAAGCAGAGCCTGAGGAAGAGGGGCCTTGGGAAAGGCCAGCCCGAGAGTGGTGGCCGGGCTCTGGCCTGCGTGGCGGGTTTGGCCCGATGAGCACCACTCTGGTGAACTTGACAACTCCCCAGGCCAACGGAGTGACTTTCTAGGGCTCCGTTATGAGTAACCCTCTGTTGCTGATAGCCCACGGGATGAGTGGAGTCCACAGGGCACCTGCTGGAGCCCACGCTTGCCTTCCTTGGGTCTGGCAGGGGAGATAGTAGGCTGGGCCTGCTGGCCCTAGGTCCGTCTTCAGAGGCCTGGGATTTTAGGTGTCTGGGCTGGGGATGGGCTGTCCCCAAGATCAACTCCTCCTTCCCCCACTCCTTCAGCCTCCGGAGGCCATAGGTAATTTTCCTTAGAGTCCTTGTCCCCAGCTGGGTCCTAGGCCTCGAGTTACCGTAGGCAAGGCTACACTGTGTAAAGAATCCAGCGGGAGGGGTGCCCCCAGGATGCACAGCATGAGGGCCCCAAGAGAGCCACCAGAGCGGGGACAGCAAGGCCAAGGGATGGCTGGGGGTGTGGAGACCATGGAGAGAGCCCCAAGCTGGTGCCACCCTTCCCGAAGTGACTCAGCGTGGCCTGGACTGGCCGCCACACAGCATACCTGGCTCTGGCACCACCTGGGCCTCCCAGATCTGGAGGGGATGTCAGATTTGGGGCAAGATACCTTGTCCACAGAAAAGGAAAAATGGCGCCTGCCCTGTGAGTCTGACCAGTCTGAGACAGTGCCGCCAAAGTCTGTCCCCTGCTGTACTGGCTTCTGGAACGGGGTGACCACAGTCTGGCTGGCATGTGGCAGGCGCTCAGTACACATTTGTTGGCCTCTGCAGAAATGAGCTAAGGAAACTGTCACAGGAAGGTGGGAACTTTCCTAGTAACTGACCAGGGCCAGCCTTCCACCCTGAAGATATTTACCACCCCCACTGGGCCATTTGCTTCTAGAACCTGTGGTCTGGGAAGAGTCTTGAGTATCCATTGCCAAATCAGTGGAGCTTCCAGGGCCCTGGAGTACCTTCCCGCTCCTGGCAACCTGATTTCCCTATTTTCAGGCCCTGGCAACCTGGCTTCCCCATCTGGGTTTTGCTGCCAGTGTTGCCCTGATTCCTGAGGGTAAGGAGGCAGTCCAGACTCAGAAGGGCTGCCTCTTTGGGGTCCAAAGGTGGTAAGCATTTCACAAAAATGGGCTGGGCATGATGCTGTCCCCCGCTTTTCTTTTTTTGGAGAGACAGGTCTTGCCCTGTTGCCCAGGCTGGAGTACAGTGGTGCAATCTCGGCTCACTGCGACCTCTGCCACCTGGGCTTCAGTGATCCTCCCACCTCAGCCTCCCGAGTAGCGGGGACCACAGGCATGCGCCACTATGTCAGGCTAATTTTTAGTTTTTTTGGTAGAAATGGGGTTTTGCCATGTTGCCCAGGCTGATCTCAAACTCCTGGGCTCAAGCAATCCACCTGCCTTGGCCTCCCAAAGTTGTGGGATGACAGGTGTGAGCCACCCCGCTTGGCTGATGCTATCCCTTTTTAAGACTGGGCACCAACACGGCCCTGGGCGAGCAGCTGACCTGGCCTACACAGGAGGTGGCTGGGCAGCAGCAGAAGACCAGATGCCCAGGGGAAGGGCCCTGCAGAGCCTGGGCAGTCAGCCCCTAGGGAAAGGTTGGCCATGCCCACAGCCTTCGAGGCATCTCTAGCACCTGCAGCCTCAGAGGAAAAGAAGCCACCACCACCTGACCCCTCTGGCCCCAGGGGCAGGGGCAGCAGCTTCCTGTGAGAAAGAGTACGGCCTTCACGCAAAATCCAGATTTACCAGAGATGGGTTAAAGATGGGCCAAAAATATGCTTGTGCCTTTTTTTCTTTTCTGAAATAGTTTTTTAAAAAGCCTAGGAAACCACATGCCTTGCCGTCTTGGTTGTTTCTGTGCCAGCTTCCAGCACAAATGGGACTTAGAAAATTTCCAGGCTGTTGGCCATCCATTCTCATAGCCTGGTGTTTTCTTGATACTTGGAGAATTCTGTTCTCATGCAAGCGTCTGTTTGGGGAGGAAATGCGTCCACTCAGCCAGAGCCTGGGGCCCCTGCAGCTTTCAGCAGGGCAGCTGCCAGGCCAGGCTGGGGACCAGCTCTGCTCGTGACTTGTGAGTTGGGCTTGTTGATGGCCCTTTCTCAGAGGGACTCGAGGTAGCTCCATGAAGACCTCTAACACAGAGCGCCATAAAACTGGACTAAAAAGAGGGAGAGAGCAAGGGAAGGAGGAAACGCAGCTGGTCCCGCCATGAGGAGCAGTGGCACAGGAGGGAAGTGGTCTTCGCTTGCCCAAAAGGGAGGCACTTGAGCACCTCTGGGAGACGGACTTGGCGCAGGCAGGGGCCCAGAGGAAGCCTCATGTGGGCACTACACTTAAGACACCGACTAACCGAGGAGAGGCGTCCCCAACAACCACCCCTCCCCAGCACATGCCAGGCAGGCTGGGGCCAGGAACTGGACTCCCCACAGGGCCCCGTGGCCAGTCTCTGACCATGGCTTGACATTCCCGTTCTAGAAAGAATAGTAGTACTAAGAAGCAGGTGCATAACCTATAACTACATTAACACCCAGGGTGCTTTTACCTGTGGCTTTAGATTGGGTCTCTAGAAGCGGGGCCTGAGCCGGGGATTCTCGTGCCAGTGACACAGAGAGGGATGCTCCCAGCAAGAACCTTCAGGGAGGCGAGGGAAGCCCATGAACTGCAGAGGCCCAGGAAAGAGGTGGGCTCAGCTGAAGTCGCTTCTCAGCCTGGTGCTTTGGGAGCTGCGAAGTGTGACTAGCACGTGGGACTTGATCCCGCCCAAGAGGAGGGACAGCTCCTGTCCCTGCACCTGTTGGTCATTGGCTGGGGGTGACCCCAAAGGGAAAGGGTAACCTCCTTCCTATCCTAGATCTCCCAGCCCAGAGTAGTTCCGGAAGGGGCAGCCATGAACTGTCAGAGCCAACACTCACAGCAGTGGAGAGTGGGCACTGCTGTGGGTTTGGGACTCCAGGTGGGACACCAGCAGCCTGGCTTTCCTCTTAGGATCCTTGCAGTGGCCCTGTGAAGCAGCCTGGCCAGAGACAGCAGTTCTGCTTCCCAGGGGAGGAAACGGGAAGTGAGGCCACTTGGCCAGTGGAGGATCTCAGTGCCTCCAGCTGCAGAGTCTAGTTTCCCACTCTCCTCTCCGGAACCCTCCAGGTTCAGTGGAGAGCCAGGGCCCAGGGGGTGAGAATACCGCAGCCTCCTTCGGAGGAGGCAACCGGGACAAAGGGGAGTGGTCACTATCTGCTCCCAGACATATCACCTGACCAGCCAGCTTTGTCTTTGTCACCGGATGCCCACTCCTGCATGTGGGGCCGTAGCTCATGAGTTCTAGGGACAGCAGTCCCTAGACAAATGCTGGGGCTGTTTCCCCCTCCACTCCCCAGGCCTTGCCCTTCGGAGCCCAGAGTGGGTTCTGGGTCACTACTGATAAAACATGTGGTTTAGTTCAGCTCAGGAGATGTTTCTAGCGTCTCTATTACGTGTTCACCCTGCTGGCCCAGGAACAGCAGCACCTGGGAGAGGGAATGAGCTTGTTGGGCTGAGGCTGGACGGAGTGAGTAGCAGTCTGCCTGGCAGCAGTACAGAGCTGATATGTTGAGTTGATGAGTTTCCTGAGGCAGGTCTGTATTTCAGCTTGTACCTAGAAGGCAAGGACCAGGCCACCTTTGTCTGTATCCCCGTGGACTCAGGAGAAAGTATGGGAATAAATATCTGCACAGAACAGCCCTGCAGAAGAGGGGTCATTGCTCCAAGCTGGGAAGCCCTAGGGAGGCCGGCTGGGGCAGGCTGAGCAGGAAACCCCAGCTGGGGCCAGCGGGAATGGCCAGGGCCTCTTTGGTGGCTAGAGCTGAGGTCTAGGGGGTCTGATGGAAAAGGCAGGGCCTCCATCCCAAAGTTGCCTCTCTAGCAGGCTGCTGTGGTCTGCCTTTTGCAGACTCTAGGAGTAGGTCTTGATCCATGTCCCTGGCCACTAGCCTGAGGCCATAGGGACAGTTCCCACTGAGCTTTTTACCTGGGCAGGCCTGTTCCAGAGTAGGTGGCCCAGCCCAGGGCTGGGGCTGGATGTCAAGAGAGCAGAAGTCGACGGGCTGGGGGACAGTTGGTCCTGGAGCAGCACTTTCACCTTGGAATAATGTGTTCATGCAGCACTTTGAACTTAGCCATTTTGCGGCTTTTTGCAGACATTTTTGAGGGCACACAGGCCTCCAGGCTTCCAACTTGCCTGTGCAGTGTTCTTCCATGGGGTAGCTAGAGCTGCTAGGAGACTCTGGGGCGGGACCTTGCCCCGGGGCATGGAGGGCACAGGGCAGCTGCAGGGCCTGGGTGTGGCACACCCTGGGTGTCTGCATGGGGGTTGCTCACGAGGGATGGGGCTCTGGGCAGAACACACACCGCCCCATTGTGGCAGTCACATTCCTTCCTGACAGGTGGGGCTCGCCACCAGCTGGGGCAAACAGTGGGTGGTTCTTGGCTTTCTTTTACTGTGGCTGAAATGGCTGTTTTGAGTCAACGGAATTCTCAAGGTTTCGCTGGCTTTGTGGCCAGGAAGCAGGTATATTTGAAGAATACTGGAGACTCAGTGGCATTCTGGGGTTTGCTTGTGACGAGATTCACCAGCCCTTCCTTGTAGACTCCCCCTGCTTCACAGCAGAAAGGGCCCAATTAGTCCAGATAGCCCTGAACACCCTGACTCGGCAGGCAGGCTGGCTGCAGCCCAGAGGTGGAAGAGTTGCCTGGCGCCGTGATGCCCATGTGGATGGAGTCTGCCTCTGTATTGCCTGTCTGACCTCAGCCCCTTCCAGGGCGCAGTGAGGCAAAAGCCACACGTCTGTGAAAGGTCTAGCTAATGGGTCTCCAGTGCCCGTGCCTGGCTATGGCTAATGCATAAAGTGTCTTACTTTGTTTGGGCTGCTGTGACAAAGATGCCTTAGACTGGGGAACGTATAAACCGCAGAAATGTATTTCTTAGTTAGAAGCTGGGAAGTCCAAGATCCAGGTGCCAACAGGATCGGGGTCTTGTGAGGGCCTGCTCTTCATAGTTGGCACTTTCTCACATCCTTGTCTGGCTGGAGAGGCACCTGCGCTCCCTCCAGTCTCTGTTATGGGCCCTCATCCCATCTGTGAAGGCCCCTACATGACCTCATCACCTCCCAGAGGCCCCACCTTTTGCACTGAGGAATGGTGGGGGGGGGGGGGGCACAAATTTCGACCGTAGCACCACGGTTAGTGCCGAGACCCACACAATCATGGTGGCCATAAGTTAGGCACCCCCGCTACCTGCGCCTTATGCCAGAGGAGGTCAGTGGGAAGCTCCGAGCAGGACCGAGAGGGTGAGCACAGACAAGCGCTGTGCGGCGTCTGTCCGATTGCGCAGGCTGCGCTCCTGCTGCGTTCACGTGCGAGGCCACAGAAAACACTCGCAGCAGGCCACGCCCCAGGCCCCTCACATGACAGCTCGCAGAAAACGCTGGCACGCGTTCGGGCGTCAGGCACACGCATCTCAACAGATGTGGCTGACACCCAAGGCAGTCGGCCTCAGTGCCCTGTCACCCACCTAGAACCTGTTCACAGCATGTCATCCGGGCTGCTCTGGCCTTGACTGGACATGATTATTTATCCTTACACACCGTGGCTGCTCTACAGGCCAAGAAACAGGCTGCTCAGCCAGGGTCAGGAGAAGGTGGGTCAGGCTCCCCGGGGACCTCAGGCCCTGACGCATCCTGGCCTCACCCTAGGCCTCCTCTGTCGGGGCAGCCTGGCTCAGCAGAGCCCGGGACACACGGCTGAGGCCACCCAGGCTGGGCCATCTTGCCCCTGTTTTGTGCCCCCTACTCAGTTCTCCTTCTGTCCTGGCTCAGGTCTAGGCCAGTCAAGAGGGTGGCTGAGAAGCAGGAGGAGCCTCAGAGACCCTCCCCTCGAAAGCACTGGGGCTTCCACCTCACAAGCGGCAGGTTCGCTTTGGGAGCTGCTGGTCCATCGCCCAGGCCTGGCCAGGGGCAGGCGAGGATCCTGGTTGCCGATCCATCGTCCAGGCCTGGCCAGGAGCCGGTGAGGAACCTGGGGCTGTTGTGCAGGGGTCGCCGTCTCCAGCTCTCTGCCGTGGTGAGGGGATTGTGCTGTGTGCACACCACCGGGCTGCATCGAATCCCACCATGGCCCAGAGGGTGGACCTGTGGCTCCTTGGGGGGCCAGCATCTCCAGTCTAATGGGTGCCCCTGCCACTCTCCTGAGTTCCCGTGCAGAGCTCCCCCCAACACCTCAGCCTTCACCTTTCTCAGTTAATCAAAAGATTCCAAAAAAAGCAAACCCATCAGAACGGCTTCCTCCACCGAGTGTTCAGGAACAATGAGCGTGCCCATGGCAGGCACATATACCTTCCTCCAGAGAGAGCGCCTTTTATTTCCCATCCGCTGAGGCTGGTTCAACAGCTTGTTGGCTGTGACAGCCAGTGATCACCTGTATTTCAAAGAGACACACAAACACTGCAGCCTTTGAAAGAATCAGGCCCTCGGGACAGGTCTGTGGTCTTGGCGTCAGCAGGCGTGCGGCGAGGGAGGCGGCGGGTGCTCCAAGGCCCTGCTTTGCTTCCCCAGTCCCCACCCATCTGCTGGGAAGAAACTAAAGGCTGGAATTCCCCCCTGCCCTCTGTGCGCAGCTCTTCCCTCGCTCCCCTCTGCTATTCGACCTCGTTGCTGCAGTCCGGTTGGGGATATCCAGGACTGCGCCGGGAGTGCCCCTCACTGTCTCAGCCTCTGTCCTGTCTGTGGCATGTGCATCATTCTGAGGAGAAGGCTGGATTTTGTGCTCTGCCCTGGGAGCAGGTGTTGAACTGCACCCACTTGTGCACAGTGTCAGCCCTACCCCCATCGCTGGCAGCTGACGCCAAGCAGAACTGGCCTGCGTACCCTTGAAATCCTGTTCAAGCTCTGCCTGCCGCTCGGGCAGGCCCCAGGCTGCCTCCTGCCCCAGGCCAGCCTGGGAGCACACTTGGTGCCTGGGAGCACACAGAGGGAGCACACTTGGTGAGCGGAGAAGCTTCTGCGCAGCCTACTCTCTCTCTGGGGCCTCAAAGGGCCCAGCAAGGCAGGCAGGGAGCATCATGCACCTCTTCCAGATGAGGCCCCCAGCTGGCGAGCACCAGAACCTGGAGCCTGGCCCCTCCTCAGCAGATCAGACCTCCCAGTCCCCAGCACCTGTGGAGGGCACAGGACCACTCCCTTCTAGAGACTCTGTGTCTCCAGGTGAGGCCGAGAACTCATGTTTCCCCAGCTCCCTGCATGGCTCTGTTACACACCAGGCTCAGGACTTCAGCTCGGCCCCTTCTAGCCTGCGGCTCCCGCTCTGGTTGTGGAGAGTGGGTAGAGCGGGCGTCGTGTCGCCCTGTGTGGGGCAGTTACAGCCTGGGCTTCCTCCAAGTCAGATCCCTTCTCAAGGGAAGTATCGCGGCGCGTCAGTTATGTTTGCATAGAGGTCCCTGCTTGAAAAACATTGATTTCACCACCATTGTAGGGTGTTTGGGTTACTCTCTTCTTTTCCATTTAACGGTATGTTGCCAAATTTTTACACACATCTTAGAATGTTTTCTTAAGATAAAAATCCAAGTAGTGAAATTACCTGATCAAGGAATTGGATATATTTTCCCCAGGTTGCGCTTCAGAAAGGCTGTGGACGAAGTGTTAGGAGCATTCCTGTTTCACCGCAGCCCCCCAGAACTGGGTCTGCATCAAATTTGTGTGCTTTGCCGAGTTAGTAGGTGAATAGTGGAATTGCGCGTGTCTTTATGAGCACAGAGCGCTCATTGGCCGGAGGTGCATCTTCATGAGTACGTTGCTCATGGGCCCGTCCTTGCCTGGATAGGAGGAACCCGGGACTTGATTGGTCTTGCCACAGCCTGGTGGTCTAGTTGCTTTGTGGGGTGTGCAGTCCTGGGGCTGCGGGAGGGGAGTAACCCTTAGTAACCTGTGTGTCTGCCCCTCCACAGAACTGTCAGACCTTCAGCAGCCTCAGCTGCCTGAGCGCAGGGACAGAGGACTGCGGTCCCCAGAGCCCCTTCGCCCGCCACGTCAGCAACACCAGGGCCTGGACCGCCCTGCTCTCAGCCTCCGGCCCAGGGGGCAGGACCCCCGCTGGGACCCCGGTCCCTGAGCCTCTTCCCCCTTCCTTCGACGACCACCTCGCCTGCCAGGAGGACCTGTCCTGTGAGGAGTCAGACAGCTGCGCCCTGGACGAGGATTGTGGCAGGAGAGCGGAGCCGGCTGCAGCCTGGCGGGACCGCGGGGCCCCTGGGAACAGCCTCTGCTCCCTGGACGGCGAGTTGGACATTGAGCAGATAGAGAAGAACTGAGGGGGTGTGGGCCCAGGCAGGGCTGGGGTGTGCTGGCATCGACAGCCCCCACTCTGGGCACTAGGTGGGCCCTTGAAGGGGAGCCCAACTCGTGGGCCTGATGAAAGCTTCCTGAGTGGTGTCGGGTCCCAGAGAGGGAGCCCACCTGCTGCCTGGGGGAGAGCCTGGCCTGGCCGCGTCATACAGCGGGTGTGTCAGCCTCTCACCGGCTCCCCGAGCGTGGCAGCCACCAGGTCCACAGAACTACTGCAGCCCAGAGGACAGCTTTGAAGTTTGCGTCTTTTCTGCCTCTTTCCCTGTGGGATGTTGGGCAGTCTCTGTTGTCCCCGGCAGAGCTGGGCACCGCTCTGTATCCCCCTGGTGGTGGGGGCTGTCAGGGAGGGCCTGGGGTGGGGGCCAGGGGCCATCTGCTATGTCAGGGCCCTTCTTGGCCTCACTCAGGTTCACTTCTGGGGAGTCGGCCCCGCAGCTTCTTTCACTCAGTTTTACTCCGTGCCTTCTCTCCCAGGTCTCCCTGCTTCAGGCTTGGGAAGGTTCGGGAGATGCTTCCTTCTGTAACACCAGAACCATTTGGCCTTAATTCCAATGTGAGAGACAGAATCCCTGGGGTGCTGGACTGGCCCTCCAGAGGGTAAGCCATGTCCGGAGTCTCGGGCCCAAGGAACGATTTGGAGGGTGCTTGTTAGGGCCTCCCGTGTTGGGTAGAAATTTGGTGGATCTGTTGGCTGAAAAGACGGACTTGCTTGCCTCTCCTACAGCATGGAGAGGCTGACCCCATGGCTCTGCCACCGTTGGGGCAGGGTTAGCAGATGGCAGCCCTTCTCTGTGGCTGACAGGTCACTGAGTGATAAGCATGGTTGGTTCCGGTGAGTGTAGGGATGGCACGATACCAGGGCAGCCTCTTGAAAACGGCCTCGGGAGACGGGAGCTGCGAGCAGGTGGGCAGATGAGGGCCCTATGCGCACTCAGGGGTGAAGGGCGTCCGCTGGCCACTCTGCAGGGGCCCCTGCAGGATTCCAGGCACCTCCCGTTTGTCCTTGAGGACTGCTGGCTGTAACCAGGGCACATCACCCACCTCAAGACAAGCCCACGCCCTTGTCAGCTTAGGGGGAGCCCAGTCCTGAGGGCTGCATCTCTGTTGTAGGCCCAGCCACCGGCACAAAGCTGGATTCATGCTCCCTGCCCCTACCCCACCCTGGCTCCTCACCCTGGGGCATCCGAGGAGCCTAGCCCCCTGAGGGTTTGCTCTCCTCTCAAGGTTTGTAGCTCCTCTCCGGCTGCCTTGCAGACACCACCACATGGGCTCTGCTCTATGGGAATCTGGCTTTTAGCGAATGTGGCGTCTTCTGCAAACAATAGCAATTGGGCTGGCTTAGGAGCAAGTGGCTCATTTTCCCATAAGGCTAAAAATAACTGGTGCGCTCCCTTGTGTTGGCTGACACGCGCGTTCAAAGCACTTTTGTAGTCACTTTGCTTTTGCTCGTCTTCATGGACGAGTGAACGCCTCGCTTCTGCAGGTTGAGTCCAGATGCTTCTCACCTTCTTTCTCCTCAAGAAAGATGCTTTTTGGGAAACGTTGTTTAAATCTTATTTTTTTACTACATCAAAAGGATGGTGGTTCAAGTTCCCAATATGTGGGTGGCACTTCTTAAAAATCAGCTTTAAGGAGCTGGCAGAAAGCCCCCAGCCCCACAGCCCTGAGAGATGGTGTTGCTAGCTCAGGTGGCTGACACATGGGGTATGCCGGGCACTGGGCAGGTCCCAGAGCCGGGGAACCAGCTCACCTCTGGTTGCTGTAGCTCCTGCCGGAGGCATGTCTACTTGTGATCCCGGACAGCCGAACCCAAGAGCTGGTGGCTCTGAGCAGACAGAGACATCTTGGCCTGTCCCTGCCTGGGGGTCATGGAGACCATGTCTTCTTAGAGCAAATGTGGAGGCGGCCAGGGCAGTTGTTGGGTGAATGTGGAGAGCACATGGCCATGTCTTGCCCCCGGAGTACCACTGGGCGTGGGGGGTCCTGGCACCACATGCCCGGTGTGGCCGAGGGCACACAGCCTCTATAGCAGGCCTTCCTGTGGAAGGCAGAGGCAGTGAGGGAGGTGGACGGTGCCAGCTGAGGCTGAGGCATGCAGCAGCCCCCAGCTACCTTTGCTTAGGGCTGGGGTGGGAGGCACATGGTGACAGGTATATGTCGTGGGACTGGGGTGTGGGTGACCTGCCCTCAAACCTTGCCTGCCACCTCCCCATTCAGGCCTGGTGGCAGGAAGGGACAAGCTGTGGAGCTGGCTGAGTCACAGCCACCTCCCCACCTCCCCGCAAGCTGGTCCCATCGACCAGCAAGCCCAGCCCCAGGGCGCTTAGGGAGAAATGACCCAGCCTCCTCAGACCCCGCCTGCCTGTCCTGTGCCCACCACGCAGCAGTCAGGGGAGAAAATGGTGGCTATCCCTTCTGCTTAGAGAAAGAAATGGCCTTTAGCTGGTTTCATGTTTGTGTTTTGACTGGAGGGAGTAGACCCTATCTATAAGGTGCCACCCCATCATCCAAGCTGCCACACTGCCCGGAGCAGCCTGTTCCTGCACTCCACCCTGCTGGCCCCAGGACTTCTGATCTCAGTCCTCTGGGAGGGAGGTTCGCCTAGGAGGTGCCCCCCACATTGGTGTCCCCATGGGCAGCAGGCAGACAGCTCACCCCCACCAGCATGATGGCCCCAGCTGGGGGCAGTGGCAGGAGCCTTACTTTTGTCACAGCCTTGCCCACAAACCCTGCCTCTGAGGGGAGACTGAGGAAGGGCAGAGCCAGAAGCAAGCCGTGCCAGGCCATCTGCCTGCTCATGGGGTCCTAAAGCGCGGGCTAAGCCTGCAGGAAAGCCGGGGCGGTGGGGGGGGCTTAGTGCCACATGCACCCCACTCATTCCAAAGCCACCAAACTGCCAGGGGCTGCCGTCCACCCGTGGGGCCCAGGGGCTGGGGCCACAGCCTTGCCATTTTCGTTGCCATACCCTCTTGCCTTACTCGCGGTGGAGGCCGGATTTGCACGGGCAGACGTGCACCTGGGCCCGTGGGGAGCTTGTTCTGACCAGACGTACAGATTTTCATTCTCAGAAAGCCTTACTTTTCAACCAAATTTTTGTAGCCAGTTTTGTGAATTTGTACACTGAAAGAAAATTTAAATAAAGGGGAAGTCCACATTAAAAAGAAAACAAAACAAACCCTAACTAACTTCCAAATGGGTCTCCTGGTGCGGGGGCGTGAGTGGCCGTGCCCTGGGTGTGCTGCCTGTCTGAGCAAGCTTCCCTAGCTGTGGAACCCCGGGCCCCCTGCTGCGGGCTCTGCCTTGGTGTCATGCCTGCTGCACCCCCGTTTCCACTGACGTGCCGTCTGTGGCTATGGGGGTGGTCACTGGAATGACGGTCACTCCAGACGTCAGCCGGCAGGGATGCAGCAGGCTGGCCGCGCACCGGGGCTCGGGCACCCTCTGGCCCCACACTGGCAATGATGCCACACCTTGCCATGTCCACGCTGTTGGTCAAACCCCTCTGTCATGCCTCTTTAAAGAGAAAAGAAGAGAAAGATTTTTTTTTTTTTTAATGGCAGACCGAAGTGGAGATCTTGTAGCCTAGATAGGATAGTCTGACCTTCTAGCATAGTCTTTTTGGCAAATGATTTGTGTTTTCAGTGTGTGGGGAAGCTGTCCTGGGGGCTGGGGCGACAGATAGCACATAGGCTGTTTCTGGGGCTGCAGGGGCTTCCCTGAGCTGGATGTTGTGGGTGTTGCCGTGCTTCAGGAAGTGTGGCGACCAGAAAGCGTAGACCCGGGGCCCAGGGTCTGCCCGCCCCTGCAGCCTGGCCTCCCCGCACAGGCTGTGGCTTGCACTCCAGCCGCTCTAGTCTCTCAGGAATTTGCTTGTTACTTGTACTGTGTAAATAAAGCTTCCTGGTTCAATACCCAAGTGCCTGGTGCCAGCTGTGTGGTTTCTGTTGGGTGTGGTGAACTGGCAGGTCCCCCCTGCTCACAGGAGCATTAGCTCTGGGCGCAGAGAGACCTAGACTGGACCCTTCTGTCCCCTCCAAGCCTCGGGGTCTGAATCGATAAAATGGGGCTAGCAGACATCACAGAGCTGTGGAGACGCCGGGGGACGGGGGAAGGCTGCCCATGGCCACAGCTGCATCATGGGGAGCCCTTCTAGGGCCAGGAGCCCCAGGACAGCAGTGGGGAGACACTCCTTGTGTCACTTGAGTTAGAAGCCATGGAGGAGTCTGCCCTTCCGAGCACAGCAGCTCAGCCTTCGACAGCGCTGGGAGGTGAGGCCACACAGCAGCGTGCGGAGATGGGCCCAGCCTGGCCTGCAGCCCTGAGGGGCCTGGGATGGCCCCCACCACCCACCCACCAGGGTAGCTGAGGTGGCACAGACAGGCTCACTGGCTCCGGGTTTCTGCCCCCGCTGCAGGCAGCACAGTGCAGACTTCTGCTGCGTGAGTGAGTTGCGGGGGCCCCAGAAGCACGAAGCCCAGCCCGGCGTGGCCCACTGTCTCCCGTGCATGGCCCTCTGCTTACCCGGACTCAGGAGAAGGGCGTGTTTGCGGCCTGGAGGACAGGCGTGGAGAGGTTTGCTTGATTTCCATAACTCAACACTTGCCCACACAATCTGCCCATGGAAGTCTGGCCTAGAATGCTTGTTAGGGCCAGAGCAGCCCCTCTGGGAATGAGGCTCTGTAGCCCCCGCTTTTCTTTTGGTTTTTGCTTTTAGCAAGATTTTTTTTTTTTAAGTCTATGAGCACTGAACTCAAGAAACAAACATGTGAAGTGGGGCTGCTGGGGGGAGGTGAGCCCCTTGTCCTCACTGCCATCCCTGCAGCCCTGCCTTACCCAAGGCCTAGGGACTCACTGATTCGAGGCTGGATGCATTGACTTCCCCAGCACACCCTCCCCTCACCCCTGCCTCCGTATCTGACAGATGACTGGTGGGCCAGGGGCTGGCGGGGGGCTTCTACCCAGCGCAGTGCCCCCACCCTTGTGCCCCACCTGAGGGTAGGGCACAGAGTGGCCCTGGAATTACCTCTGGCCCTTACCAGCCCCTTGCTGCCCCCAATCCCTAGATGAGGTCCCTGGCTGGATGGATAGCTCCGTTCTGCCCCCACGTGGGGCCTGGCCCCAGGCCTCACCCCCAGTGCAGTGCCCAGGCCAGGCACAGGTGCTTCTGACATGGGGCACACGTGTAGTCTCCTTACCTGCACAGCGATCATAACCCTGTGGGCTTACGAGAGAGACTCAGCCACTCTGTCCAGTGTGCAGGGAAAGGGCTGGAAGGAAGAAGGCCGAAAGGAAAGGCCCCAGAGAGCACAGTGCTCAGACTCCCGGGTGACTTCTGGTTTCTTTTTATATACTTCTGTTAAATTTCCTGTAATAACACATGCTGCTTTTATAATGTTAAAAAAACCACGTAGAATGTAGGCTGCCCCGTGTGTTCACCTCCTAAACCAGGACAGTTCTGAGGGGCAGCTGGAACTGTTGACACGCACTCTGGCACGGGAGGCGGACCCAAGAGCACCCACCCCAGAGGGGCACCACACTCGCCCGTCCCGCCCTGTGTCCCCACCTCTGCCCTGAGGTGAACACAGGAGGCTTTCCACCTGCCAGCTGCCAGCCAACCTCCCCGAGAGGGGCAGGAACCGACCAGCAGGACAGACCCACCCAGGACAGCGGCACCAGGTCAGGCCTCAGCCTTTCCGATCCTCTGGAGGGCTCAAGCCGAACGGAAGGAGGGAAGAACTGCAGTCACCTGGGCCGGTGGCGCTCACATCTGACGTGGAGGCCTCTGCTTCACTTGGCCCAGTTCCCAGCCTTGTCGGCAGTGAGGACATGGACCCTCGCTGGCATCCGTCCTCCGTCTGGCACAACGTGCCGTGTTCTCTCTGGTTAGGGTTTGGGTGGGACGGAGACTGCGCCCCTGTTCCTGGTCCGCCTAAGTCTCTGCCAGTCTGAGTCTCGTGGGCCTTTTCTGCAGGCCCTGGGGTTGCGGAGCAGGCAGGGGGACGTCGGTGGCTGGGGGACATCCCGCCACCTGCCAAGTAGCTGCAATGGGAAGAGATGCGGTTCCCGTGACAGCCAGGCCTGGATGTTCAAGTCATGTGAGACCACCAAATACCTTGTTGCACTAAGCCAATTTGAATTGAGTTTTCATAAGTGGTACATTGAGCCCAGGGCTTGGTACTGTGTGGGCCCTAGAGCTGGAAGGTGCAAGGGTGGGTGAGGCCCGAGAGGCCTGCTCTCCCTGTCCTCCCCTCCACCCCCCACCCTGCTACCCTTCACGGTTGCCTGGCCTGGCAGCTCCCGAGCCTGGGAGGTGTGGCTGGGCCTAGGCTGCTGCTCACTCCCAGCCTCGGTGGGAAAGACCCCTGGGAGCACCCCGGACCTGTGGTCCTGAGTCTTTTTTTCACGACAGTTCCGCGACATGTGTTGAACACAGGGCCTTAGCCCATTGGCAGCCCCGAACTCCAGCCCCGCATGCGGCCGGCGGTTCCACACCGTCTCTGCCAGGGCCCGGGCCCCCTCCACATGCTGGAAGTGGCCAGGCTGCCGGAAGGAGCCAGGGGTGAAGGAGGTCATTCCTCACTTCTAGGCAACACCGACCCCCAGGCAAGCATCACACCACGGCTCATCAGCTCCAGCCAGAGACAGGGCACCCCGCAGGGCCAGGAAGTGCCTGTAAAAGAAGTGAATCCCTCTGTTTTATAGACGGGGTAACAGGCTCGGGCTACACCACCCCACCACAGGTGTGGCTGGACCTCACCCCTCAGAAGAGCTCATCTCTAGAGTGAGGACACTGGTGCCCTGGCTCAGCCGGAAAGTCAGCCACAGGGGCCACCACATGCGTCCCCCACAGGAGGATTCCAGGCAAGGGTGGGAAGCAGCACGGCAACAGAAGGGGCTAGAAAGGGCCTGGGAGGCGGGGCTGGACCTTCCTGCAAGTCGCAGCTCCACCCCTCACTAACTGTTGGCCCTCAGCAAGCCGCGAGCTCACCGCACCCCAGACTCTAGACCCGTGCAGTGGGAAGGATGACAACACCCACTTCACTGAGCCCACCGCGGCTCAGAGGGTGGCATGCTCCCGCCCCAACAAAGCAGGGGGCTGCACCTCCAGGGGCTGTCCCTCTGGGCACCCCACTCCTGGGTAGCAACTTGAAAGAGGAGGTCTCGGCTGGGCGCAGTGGCTCACGCCTGTAATCTCAGCACTTTGGGAGGCCGAGGCAGGCGGATCACAAGGTCAGGAGATCGAGACCATCTTGGCTAGCACGGTGAAACCCTGTCTCTACTAAAAAATACAAAAAATTAGCTGGGCGTGGTGGCAGGTACCTGTAGTCCCAGCCACTCGGGAGGCTGAGGCAGGGAAATGGTGTGAACCCGGGAGGCGGAGTTTGCAGTGAGCCGAGATTGGCCACTGCACCCCAGCCTGGGCGACAGAGCGAGACTCCGTCTCAAAAAAAAAAAAAAAGAGGTCTCAGCTTGAACTCCTTCCCCCAGAGGGGTTGCTGTCTTGGCGGGAAGCTTCCCCATTAAACACAAAAGAAAGAAAAAACTAAAGACCTACAAACAAACCGGCATCACGCACAGCCTGGCATCACGCACAGCCCGGCATCACGCACAGCCCGGCATCACCCCCAGCCCGGCATCACGCACAGCCCGGCATCACACACAAACCCGGCATCACACACAGCCCCGGCATCACCCGCAGCCCGGCATCACCCGCAGCCCGGCATCACGCACAGCCCGGCATCACCCGCAGCCCGGCATCACCCACAAACCCGGCATCACGCACAGCCCGGCATCACCCACAAACCCGGCATCACGCACAGCCCGGCATCACCCGCAGCCCGGCATCACCCACAAACTCGGCATCACCCACAAACCCGGCATCACGCACAGCATGGCATCACCCACAGCCCGGCATCACGCACAGCCCGGCATCACGCACAGCCCCTCCAGGCTGCCACTGAACTGCAGCCGCCGCCTGAACGTCCTGTATTGTCTCCTAAGGAGCTGCCATCAGGGGACTCCATCAAGGAGCCAGCCATCTGCATATTTTCCAACTAAGGGGCCAAATGGCCCTCCCTCAAATCCAGTGACACTGGCCCGGCTGGTGGCCTCTCATCTTGCTGAAAAGACTGTCACCGTTTCCCCCAATCCTGATTTAATGGGCGGCCTTGCGGGGGCTGTACTTGCCCCTCCCCGGCGTGGGTCCCACACTTTCTTATCGTCCACCTTCATGTGGTGGAAATCCTGCTCCGGAGACCCATGGCTTCTCTCATAAGAAGCGCTCTCCAGGCCGGGCGCAGTGGCTCATGCCTGTAATACCAGCACTTTGGAAGGCCGAGGTGGGCGGATCACCTGAGGTTGGGAGTTCGAGACCAGCCTGACCAACATGGTGAAACCCTGTCTCTACTAAAAATACAAAAAATTAGCCAGGCGTGGTGGCGGGCACCTATAATCCCAGCTACTCGGGAGGCTGAGGCGGGAGAATAGCTTGAACCCAGGAGGCGGAGGTTGCAGTGAGCTGAGATCACGCCAGTGCCCTCCAGCCTGGGCAACGAAAGCAAAACTCCATTTCAAAAATAATAATAATAAAATAAAATAAAGAAGCAGTCTCTCAAGGGTTATCAGTAGCTTCTGAACTGATTTGGGGAGAAATGGAGCAATCAAGTTATCTGTTCAGCTGACTGATTCTGAAACCTGAAACTTCAGTTATGAGTGATTTGTTCCCAGGGCCCCTGTGGGAAGGCCGCCGCGCCCTTGGTCGGGAAAGCAAAGCTCACCACCCCCAGGCCACAGGCTGTTCCGTTAGGGAAGGCAGTGCCAAAGTTTGCCCTGGACTGCCTCGTTCCAGATAGGGCCAACAGCAGCTCACTGGCCCCTCTGGGCCTCAGTTTCCCCATCTGCTAAGTGAAGGGGCTGGAGCAGGTGAGGTGTTTCAGGGCCCTTGTCCCTCGCACCTCTGATATTCAGTGGCTCAAGCATAAGGCAGGACTAGAGACAGTGGCCCAGACCCTGCTGGTGGCCTCCCCCATACGGTTCTTCCTAGCAGTCAAAGCCTGAGTCAAAGGCTGCTGGTCAAGGCAGAGTTTACTGAACTGTTAGTTTCCTCCTGCACACACCGGGCATGACACCTTCAAGTCTGTCCAGCAGTGGGTCCAGAAAGTACCCTGTGTGCCTTGGACGCAGAGGCTACAGTTCTCACTGTGTGGCATGGGAGCCTTCACAGTGCCCTCGGGAGCTGCCCCTGGTCTTTGTCTGCAAAGGTGACTGGGAGGATAGAAAAAGCAGCGGGCTGGCATTGTTTCGGGGGTGGGGTGGTGGGCAGTGTGCCTGGGCAGTCGCAGGGAGGCTGACTTGGTTCTGGGCTGCAAGATCTGTGCATAGGAGGCCCCTGGGTTTCTTCCAGGCTCTTCACTGAAATGCAAAGAGTCTGAAGAGGAGGCAGTGGGCATAGTGCCCCTGAATCTGGTTAGGTGGAGTTTACTGCATTTAAAGGCCCATGGTGAGTGGTGAGTTCTGGGATTTGGGAGATTCCCAGAGGCCTGACAGGCCTGTCCCACCCTCCTGGACTTCACTACAGGGAGCTGAAGTCAGGGCCCAGGCAGGGGAGCAGGCCACCCAGGTAGGGAACAAATGCCTGCCCATGCAGGGCAGAGGGCAGAAGGCAGGGCTGTCAGGGCCTTGGTTGGTCTGGGCACTGGGGCAGGTGGAGGGGAGGCAGGGGTGGAGGAGAGGCAGGGGTGGAGGAGGTGGGGCTCTCCTGGGCGGGTGGAGGAGAGGCAGGGGTGGAGGGGAGGCAGGGGTGGAGGAGAGGCAGGGGTGGAGGAGGCGGGGCTCTCCCAGGAGGCCATCACTTGTCGGCGTGCTGCAGCAGCAGGTCCACTGCCTCTGCGAGGTTGTCCACGTACCCATCAGCCTTCACTTCCGGATGGTGCTCGTCACTGGGCCTGGAGAGGATGGCCGGAGGTTAGTCAGTGCCCCCACGCTGACCCCTCTGCAGCCACACCCACCCTCCCAGCATCTAACATGGGCCTGGCCTTAGCTTGAGGAAACCTCCAGGTCCTGCCAGGCAGCCTGGCCCGTGGCCACTGGCCATCCCCCTCCTCCCCCTGCCCTACTCAGGCACACATGGCCCCTCCTGACTGTGCCCTCAACCTGGACACCTCCCCAAACCTGTCTCCCACTGGGGAGCCTGCTCAGCCTTGTGGTGGAGTGACAGCCGGCCCAGCTCCCTCTGGGCCTCCAGCACAGACATCTCACCTTGGATGGTGGGGACATGAGTGTACCCTGCTCTGGGCTCCCCAGGGGCTCACCCCACACCCCTGGCCTGGCCTAGTGCCCCGTGGGAGGAGCCTAGTCCATGTGCACTGTGGGGACAGCTGGGGTAGAGACTCGGAGCTCCTGCCTGCCCTAACGCTGGGGGCCCGCATGTCAGTGACAGCATGTGTCTTCTGGTTGGTGCCCTCTGAGGCCACGCCCACCCAACAGAGGAGGCACCGGGCTCCTGGATAAACTGCCCTCTGGCTGGGATTCTGGGGGCAGCAACCTCTCCAAAGCCTTCAGCCATTCCCCAGGCATCTCCTGAGGTCTCACTGGATGCTGAGGACACAGGAATGAAGCCATGAGACAGTGCAGAGGCCTCCGGGCCCTGCCAGGGGACTTTGTGGAAGGGGCTGTGGGCTGAGTCCTGAAGGCAGGCAGGAGCTACGGGTAGACACGTGGGTGGGAGAGGAGAGCCCCAGGAGCAGGAAGGGGTCAGGTGGGTTCGTGGAGACATCCAGAGCCTTTTTTATTTTTTATTTTTTTGAGACCAAGTGTCACTCTGTTGCCCAGGCTGGAGTGCAATGGTGCGATCTTGGCTCACTGCAACCTCTGCCTCCCAGTTTCAAGCGATTCTCCTGCCTCGGCTCTTGAGTAGCTGGGACTACAGGCACCCGCCACCACGCCCGGCTTTTTTTGTATTTTTTAGTGTAGAGATAGGGTTTCGCCATGTTGGCCAGGCCGGTCTCCGACTCCTGACCTCAAGTGATTTGCCCGCCTTAGCCTCCCAAAGTGCTGGGATTACAGGAGTGAGCCACCGTGCCCGGCCCCCATCCCAGTCTTGACAGTCATTTGAGGAAGTGGCACCTCATCCTAGGGGCTGTGGGCAGCCTGGAGGGCTGTGAGCCAGAAGGCCCCTCCCCACAGCCTTGCACCCACAGAGGTGCCGCTGGAGCTTGGCAGGAAGTGGGGAGCGGCCCGTCTGCAAACCTACCACTACCGAGGGACATGTTGCTTGGATCTCCCCACGGCCTGGCCCAAGCTCCCTGAGAAGCAGGGAAACCACAGTCTCCCGGCAGCAGCGCCCCCACTTTGGAAGCTGCCACCCTGGTCTGAGAGGAAGTGCTTGAAGTTGGTTCTCACGTCATCTAAAAGCCGTGTTGGCCCTTTCAAAGGGTTTGGTTTCTGCAAAGGGCTTTCTTGACCCTAAAATGACTGTCATGGGCAGGGGGGCTTTTTCTTTTAAGGGTTCTCAGCCCAGTGGCCTGGAGGCTACCTCCTGGCCCTCAGGGACTGCTGAGGCTGTGGACCTGGACGGGGGCCACAGGGGCAGTCCCTGGGAGGGGAGGGCAGTGTGGGCTCCCCTGTGACTGTGAGGGTATACCTTTTGGCTCTTGTCCAGGTCCCAAGGACAGAACCCCTTGTCCCCTAAGCCCCTCCAGCGCCCCCACTTCCTTGCCCACCTGCTTGTATGGGGCTACGGCCGCTTCCCCTCCTGCACAGTCTCCGAGCACAGCACTCACGAGCCTCACATCCCTCTCCCTTCCATCCTCCAAGGAAGAAGTGGTCACCCCCATCTTGAACAGGTGAGGAAACAGCTCAGAAAGGTTCAGAGACTTGCTATAGGTCACACAGCAGGGAGAGCAGAGCTGGGATCTGACTGAGTTCTACTCCCAGCCCTGTGTTCTTTCGAGAGCTTCCACCACTGCTGGACATTGCTGCCCCTTCCAGCAAAGGGCAGTTGCCAGCACCCGCTCCAAGCAGGGGCACCTACAGATGCCAGTACCAGTGGGGATCGCTTGGCTGGCCGTCCCAAGCACGGCCACTCTGCTGCTCCTGAATGAGCACACACCAAAGTAGGAGCCTGGGGGACCAGGCAAGGGGATGAGTATGCGGCCCCCTCACCCGCACCCGCTCCATCAGCACCCTCACCCGCACCCGCTTCATTAACACCCTCACCCGCTCCACCAGCACCCTCACCCGCACCCTCACCCGCTCCATCAGCACCCTCACCCTCACCCTCGCCCGCTCCATCAGCACCCTCACCCTCACCCTCACCCGCTCCATCAGCACCCTCACCCTCACCCTCACCCGCTCCGTCAACACCCTCACCCTCACCCTCACCCTCACCCGCTCCATCAGCACCCTCACCCGCACCCTCACCCGCTCCATCAGCACCCTCACCCGCACCCTCACCCGCTCCATCAGCACCCTCACCCTCACCCTCGCCCGCTCCATCAGCACCCTCACCTGCACCCGCACCCGCACCCGCTCCACCAGCACCCTCACCCGCACCCTCACCCGCTCCATCAGCACCCTCACCCTCACCCTCGCCCGCTCCATCAGCACCCTCACCTGCACCCGCACCCGCACCCGCTCCACCAGCACCCTCACCCGCACCCTCACCCGCTCCATCAGCACCCTCACCCGCACCCTCACCCGCTCCGTCAACACCCTCACCCTCACCCGCTCCATCAGCACCCTCACCCTCACCCTCACCCTCACCCGCTGCATCAGCACCCTCACCCTCACCCTCACCCGCTCCACCAGCACCCTCACCCGCACCCTCACCCGCTCCACCAGCACCCTCACCCGCACCCTCACCCGCTCCATCAGCACCCTCACCCGCACCCACACCCGCACCCGCTCCATTAGCAACCCCAGCAAGAACAACCCGTGTCAGTGTCAGGGCTTTAGAGGCCTCTTGTCTTGTGTGTGTCATTCTGTGATGCCACACAGGGTGTCTACGATCTAGGAGAGGGGCATTGAAGACATGCGTGATCCTGCGTCAGTGCTGAAATAGGGACTTGGCACCACGCAATCCTGCGTCAGTGCTGGAATATGGACTCGGCATCACCACGAGGCCTTCTATGGTACGGGCCACATTGGAAAACTGCGTGTTGATATCCACTTGCAACCCTGCAGTCCCACTCCTAAGTATGTACACAGCAGAAATGCATCCTCACGTTCACCAAAGGCACGTTCACCAAAGGCACACTGCTCCACACAGCTTTAGTTGCAATAGCAAAAGTCAAACACTGGACAAATGCCCGCCAGGGGGAGGATGGGAAAACAGACCACGGCAGAATTGCACACTGGAATACTCCACAACGGCTCAATCTGGGGTGAGTTCCTGCCGCGGCAATGGGGGTGAGCCCCAGACCTGAAGAGCAACTGAGGCCAGACTCGAGGAATACACACAGCAGGACTGACTTACAGAGAGCTCCAGAGCTGGCAAAGGCAGACTAGTGACAGAGGGTGGGACGGCAGCTTCCTAACGGAAAGGTGAATAGGGGTGCCAGGAATGTTCTAGATCTTGACCTGGGTGGGGCTAACATCCTATTCTTCACTTTTAGAGCACTTTACTAATGTTATACCTCAAAAATTTAATTAAAAAGCCACATATGGGCCGGGCGTGGTAGCTCACGCCTGTCATCCTAGCACTTTGGGAGGCTAAGGCAGGAGGATTGCTTGAGCCCAGGAGGTCAAGACCAGCCTGGGCAACATGGTGAAACCCTATCTCTACAAAAAAGTACAAAAATCAGCCAGGTGTAGTGGCAGGCGCCTGTAGTCCCAGCTACTTGGGAGGCTGAGGTGGGAGGATCACCTGAGCCTGGGAGGTTGAGGCTGTGGTGAGCCGTGATCACACCACTGCATTCCAACCTGGGTGACAGATGAGAGTCTCAAAAAGAAAGAGAAGCCACATATAATGCTCACAGTTGCTATTGTGTAGGCCAGAGGGCCAAATCCTACCTGCGGCCTGTCTTTATATTTTTAAAGGGGTGTAAAAAGAAGAGAGTAATATGCAAGAGAGACCAAATGGAAGCTGGCAGAGCCTGAAGTGGTAACGATTCGGCCCCTACAGGAAAGGCCTGGACCCCTGGGCTGGCCTGTCCACCGTCCCCCAGGGCTCTGGACAGGCCCCTTCTCAAGCTCTTACTCTTGGGAAGCCAGTGCTTCCACTCAAGTGCACCGCTGCTGCAGAGATGCGGCTGCTCTGGGCTGGGCAGGGTTGGCCCTGTCTTCCTGGGGCTGCCAGCCACACCTGGCTCCAGGCTGTGCAGACACACCCTGCCCTGGTACAGAATGAAAGGTGGGCAGGGGTCCAAGGTCCCCTTGAGGCTGCTGATGCTCTCCGGCTTACTCAGATCCCTCTTGGAGGACAGATGACAGGCTTCTCTCAGCAGCTCTACCTCTGAGACTGCTGGCCCTGGCCGAGGACACGGCAAGCTGGGTAGGCAGGTGGGTGGGGTGGGGGTCCCTCTGAGCGAGACAGAGACAAAACCAGAACGGCTGGCTAGCTCAGTAAATCAGCCCCCTGGCAAAACACCTCTCTGCCTCAGTTTCCTCATCTGTGCCATGAGGATAAAGCTGGCTCCGCCCCCTACCAGCCACGTGACCTCAGGCAACTTCCCTAAGCCCCTGTGCCTTGGTGTCCCTGCCTCTAGACCGAGGTCATAATAGCATGCACCATGGGCTCCCATGAGGAGGGCAGGAGCCAATATTCGTGGCAAGGACAGGTTGGTTGGCGCGGGTGTGGGCGCTGTTGTGGCTAAAATGGAAAACTCAGCAATCCTGTCCAGGGAATGCACCGTGGGCTGGGGCTGGGCTGGCCAGGGAGGTAGAGCATGACCGGCCTTGAGCCTTCCCCTGGGCACACAGGCTGGTGGGGGGCAGACAGGCAGACGGACGGACACACTGATGTGTGGGCTACATGGGGCACAGGGAGGACAGGGTGAGTGGGGAGGAAGCCCGGCACAGGCACTGGATCAGGAGGGTCAGAAAGGCTCCAAGCAGGACCCTAGGGGGCATACCAACAGCCTGGAGTCCCAGCAGACCTGGCACTAGGGAGGGTGCCTGCGGGAAGGACCAGTAGGCTCACTCCTACGCCGAGGCTCTGCCCCCTCCTGCCCTCTGCCCCTGCAACGCTTCTATTCCCTGGTCTCACCTCTGCCTGGCCTGTGTGCATGGGCCTGCATCAGCCCTGCCAGGCTGCCCTCAGCTCCCACTAGGGTCTGGGGAGATGAGCTCCAAAGCACTGCTCGCAGCCGCCACGTGTGCACCCAGCCCACGCTTACAAGGAGTCGGGGGCTGAGGCCGCGGCCCGGGTCTGACGTCCTCTCTGGTACCGCAGCCAGTTCCCATCTGATTTCCAACTTTTCTCCCCACAACAGTGAGAGGTTTGGGTTCCTTGTTGCCCGAAGCGGAACAAAAATTCTTCCAGCAAACACCGCCCATGATTCATCATCCGAGCCCCCGGGGGACTGGCCCCCAGGACCCCCTCCTTGGACACCTTCCCCAGGTGCCCTGGGGCCAGGCTTATTGTCCAGGCAAAAGCAACCAGCCCCGAGAGGGAACAAGAGGTCTCCCCATAGAAGATGACGCTTTGTAATGAGAATCCGGCCAGCCCCACTCCGCACGTGTACCTAGCCGAATGGCGTCCGTGGCTAATTATGTTTAATTACATATCATTTAAATTCAAGAATCCACTAAAAGAAAGGATTGCATTAGCACCCGGCCGGTGTTTGCCCACACGCAGCGGAAATCGTGGACTTTTATGTCTTAATTACGTGACGCTGCTGTGGGCTGTGTCTCCCAGGGAGCTGGGGTAGGCAGGAGGGGACCTGTTCCTGGCCTGGTGGCCCCAAAGCCCCTGAAGCAGCTCTGCTTTGTCCAATGGCCTGGGCAGGAGGAGTCCCTGCCCCACACTGGCCAGTGCCCTGTGACCTGTGGACCTCAGAGATGTCACGGTACAAAAGCTGAACCAAGAAACCCAGCAAAGGTGTGTCCTCGGCAGTGGGTACAGAGCGGAGAGGGTGAAGCAGGAGGGGCCGCAGACCATCCTGCCCGGAGTGGCCCTACTGGGACAGAGCTGGAGGAGGAGGAAGAGACAGACAGAGAGACACGGCCACACACGGAGGGAGGGAGGGCAGGGACAGGAAGAACCATGAGACAGGCAGAAACGGAAAAAGAGGATGAAGCAGAGAAAAGAGGGCAGAGAGAGGGCAGGCGAGTAGAGACAGACACATGGAGGGAGGGGACAGGCATGGGACACAGGAACAGGGGCAGGGGCCTGTAACAGGCAGGGAAGGGCTGGGGCTGCCCCCACGGTTCTGTGTCCTGGCCATGTGGGCCTGCGTTAAGCCCCTCCGCCCTTCCCTGGCTACGGGCCTGGCTGACGGCTCCCCGTGGGGGTCACAGCGCTGCTCCTCCCCCTGCCCCAGGCCCAGCCCAGGCCCCCAGACAGCTGAGCACCCTGCTCTGTCCCCAAAAAAGTGCATGGCCCAGGGCCGGTCTCTTCACCTGCCCGAGCCTCAGTTTCCTCATCTGTAAGGTAGCATAGGGCTTGGCTCTGGGGGCCACTCTGAAACGAAACAAAAGAGGCAAGACTGCACACGAAGTTGGCGTTTCCCCTGCACCTGGGGACCCTGCAGCTCACCCTGGCGCTGGCCCTGCCCCCTCCCACCTCCACCATCTGCCCTCCAGGGTTCACAGTCCAGTTCCACACTCACAGTTGTCAGCACTGCTGGGAAAGAAAGAAAAGGGCCTGGAGTCTGAGGGCACTGATGGGAGAGGGAGTGGGGCAGGACTGAGCGGGGCAGGGACGCTTCCGGAAACAGGGACGTTAAGGCTGAGCACTGCTCCCGTCCATCGTCCTTGCTGCTGTCCCCCCGAGAATGGTGTGGAGACACCAGGCCTTTGCTGGGTGGCTTCTTCACTAAGCCAGAGTGCCTGGCCCTCGGGGCCTGGCTGGGAGGTGGGAGCAGTGAGTGATTTCCCCAGGCGCCTGCGGGGCGGCTGCGGGTTCTCCTCTCCTCTCCTGGGGGCAGCCTCCCTCGGGCTGCATTTGGGCGTCTCTGGCTGAGGACCTGCTTCTGATGTGGGGTGGGCCCTCCAGGTACCTCCCCCATCCTTGCGCAGGAGCCTGCAGGGTGGGTCCTGCTGCCCGGGTTTCGGAGGTAGAAGCGGAGGCACACAGCTGGGAGGCATGTGGCTGCAGGACCAGGAGGCTGGCCTTAACCACCGGAACCCACAGGGTGACCCGGGCCCCTTGAAGGCAGGAGGTCTTCTGCTGAAGCCTGTTCCCTTCCCCTTCCCCCTCCCCCTCCACTGGCTCTCCCTCCTGCCTGGCCCCCTCTCCTCTTTTGCAGCCAGAGTGGCTTCCCTAAATGCTCAGCTGCTCCCGCCTCCCCTGTGTAAACTGCTGTGGCTCCCTATTGCCCACATCATAGCCTGGCTCCTCAGCATGGCAGATGAGTCCATCCTGACTGGGCCCCACCTGCGGACCTCCCTCGCCTCGCCAGCCACTCAGTGTCTGGGCTGCTGCTCTTCAGACATCCCAGCTCTCCCTGCCATTGCCCATGCTGTGCCCTGGAATGCTCTTGAAACCTGCTCCACCTGCAAACTCCTGTTCACGTTTCAAGACCCCACTCACCTGTCCCCATCTCCCACTGTATGCTCCTTCCACAGGGCGAGTTGCTCTCTCTTCTGAGCATGCAGAATGTGCCCTCCAACCACCCCATGCCATCAAAGCTGGGGGCTGCTCTGCCACTTCATCTGCAGGTGCCAGTGTTGACTTCGCTTCCTGGAGGGACAGGCCAGGTTTCCTGCCCTCGGTGGTCCCCCCCACAGGCCTGACCCAGAGCAGGCACCCAGGAAGTGCCCACCAAATGAATAAACAAAGGCCCCCAGCTGGGCAGGCCAGTGCCTGTCATCAGTGATTCCTCCCCCTCATGCTCTGTCAGCCGAATGCAGGGAACGGGTGAGTGAGAGGCAGAAAACAAGGCGGTTCTGTGCCTGGGGCCTGGCCAGCTTCACAGGGACAGTCTTTGTACCAATCGAAGGAAAATGGTGGCCAGGCCCCAGCAAAAGAGCCCCATGAGGCCAGTCTCCCTGCCGCCTCCTCCAGGGCACACGCAGGCCAGCACCGCCTCCTGGGGAACACTGACCAAGGGAGACGGGTGCGGCCTCTCCCCGAGGGGCTCTTGAGGGACCTGAGCTGCCCGGGACTCCCAGTCGGTGGCCCACCCGCCTCCTCTCTACCCTGCAGGGGCAGGGGAAGGGGCAGGGTGGGGCAGAGACTCTCACAACTGGAGGCCGCAACAGCTGCCTACCCAGGGAGGGGCAGGTATCCCTGTCCCCATTTGCTTTGGAAAGGCAGTGGCTGGGAGCCAGGTGCAGGGGGCGGCTGCCCAGTGAATTCAGGGATCTGGGCACTGGCATCAGAGGGTGACGCCAGCTCGGCTGTGCCGACAGACTTGCAGGACAAGGACAGAGGGTGATTCATGAGGTGGAGGTAGTGAGGCCGGGCAAGGGGCATCCTTCCATCAGAACCCCAGGAGCCCAAGACCCCCGGGGGCCTGGGGGGTTATTTCTAGAAGGGTGTTCACCAGAGCCTGACCCTGGCAAGTGCCTGGAGGATGCAGCTGGGAGGTCTGCCTCCACCTGCACACCCGCAGCTTCTCTGAAGGCTGCTTATCAGATGGTCTGCACCGGTACATCACACACACTAGGCCTGTGCCCATGGGGTTCCCTGCTGTCCACGTGCTGGCCCAGCACGGCCACCCTCAGGACAGCAGCTTGCTGGGGCCCAGTGAGGTGGGCAGAAGGCCCAGAACATCCCACATCCAGCCCGTGACCTGGCCTGAGCTGGGTCCCTGGCAGGTGCCCGAGGGTCGGTGGCCTCCTTACGGGGTAGCTGGGTGGCGGAGTGGAGATGGCCACAGATCTCAGGCAGGCTGCTCCGACCTCCGTCCCCTGGGTTCTGGAAGCAGGTCGGGGAATGACATGCCCAGACCCATGTACCTCTGGGAAGGTGCCATGTCGTGCTGCTTACAAAGAAACCCGAGCAGGAGCTCCTTCCCATGGAGCCTGTGCATCCAGCCAAGGCCTCCCAAGCCCCTCTTCTCCCAGGACCTGGGGGTCAAGAGGCACACAAAGGACTCTGACCTGGTCCCTGCCTGCAAAGAGCTCACATGGCACCTGAGCCCAGCACTCCAGCCCCAGGCCCGGGCCTTAGCAGCTGCCTGGGGGACACAGGCTCCAGCCTCAGCTACCTGTTCTCACTCAGGGATTGCTCAGCCCTCAGGCCCGTGTCCTCCCAGGCCAGCTCTGCCCACAGGCCTGGGGACTGCTGAGTCAACCTGGAGCCCCGGAGCCCAGCGTGGGGACCCTCCAGCCCAGGGCACCTCCTGCCATTGAAGCCAGCTGGGTCCTGGCACGAAGGGTGGCCTGGAGGGACCGGAGGGTCCAGGGCCACATCAGTGCCGAGGCGAGGGCCGCGAGGAGGCTCCCAGCTTGGAGACCCGCCCTCCCCTTGCCCAACCTGCTCACACATACAGGACCTTCTCGGGCGGCTTTGAAGTCACTTGGCAGAAAAAAAAAATCCAAACAAAAACCCAGGACTGAAGGAGTCCTCATCCTGGGCCTCTCTGGGTCCCTCACCTCTCTGGCCTGGGGACCAGAGCAGGGATGGGGACACACTTCCCCTGGCTGGGACCTCCCTTGGAGGTGCCAAGCTCCCTTTCCCACTGGCCCAGCTGAGAGCAGGAGCAGTGGCCCTGTCAGGTGCTTGTCCCCCATCCGTTTGGCCATCTGCTCCTCTGTAACAAGGAGGGGTGGGGAGGGAGGAGGTGACCCCTCCCCCTGAGC
The DNA here is from genome assembly GCF_000001405.40 of Homo sapiens. NCBI lineage: Eukaryota > Metazoa > Chordata > Mammalia > Primates > Hominidae > Homo > Homo sapiens. The sequence goes on along the minus strand of NC_000010.11, from coordinate 124,603,299 downwards.
CCCTACACATGGAATGTGTGTGTGGATGAGAAAGCTGTGCACCCGGGCTGGGCCTGCCCAGCCCAAACCACCCGTGCCCGCCTTCCTCCCACGTGGGGTGAGCCAGACACCCACAGAGGCTGGGCATGAGCGCACTGCAGGTGTCCAGCTAGGCTGCCGCCCGCAGGCAGCACTACATACAAAGAGCCAGGGCAATGGTGAGGGGCCTGGATTCCCCAACTCTGTCCTGCCCTGGCCTGGCCCAGCCCCAGTACCCCTCCCAGGGACTGCAGCTGGCCACACCCCACCCTGCCCTGTCCCTCCCACCTGTCCAGGAGGCCTGACAAGGGTGTCTCAGAGCTAAGAGTGAGGTGGGGTCCTGTGCCCCCCAACCAAAAGAGACATCTTCCCTGTGTGCACATGTGTGGGCGGTTGCAACCCAGAAATAGGAGAGGGGCGCACTGCGTCTCCTGCCCCTCGGCCTTGGATCCTTACAGTCTCCTGGTGGTCTGGCCCCCATCTGGATCTGGATGTGTGAAGAGCTGGGGTGGGGCAGGGCTGGGCTAACTGAACCCCAATTTTCTTCCATTGGGGGGCAGGGCTGGGCTAACTGAACCCCCTTTCCTTCCAGTGGGTGGTGCCCAGGGCCCAGAGCCTGCCCCGGCTGACCTGTCCTCTGGCTAGTAAGGACAAAAGTCTCTCCTCGCAGAAGGAGGCACTCACTGAGCCAGTCCCCCAGGGCTCTGAGCCCTAGTGGGTAAACCGAGGCACAGGAAGGGATCTGCCCAAGGTCTCACACACCCCCAGGAGCCACAGACTCACTGGAAATAGGCCTGCCTGCTGCCCACAACCCAGAGCTCTCCACCAGCCAGTGGGCAGGCCCCGGGATGCAGGTGAGGCTCCTCTAGCTAGCAGACTTGTGGCCTCCAGGACATCAGCGATACCACAATGGGCCCACACCTCTGCAGTAAGCCAGCTGTGGGTGGCGTCTCTATGTGCTCTGCACAGCGCGCCATGGGGTGCGCACCATGATCTGCTTCTCTGAGATGAGGAGAGAGACCCCCAGAGATGAACAGCCATGCTCAAAGTCACAGCCAGAAGTGGCAGAGCTGGGGTTTAAACCTGGTTCGTCTCCCTCGCACAAGAATCGAAATCTGGGCTCACGTCAGCAGATCCTCCCTGGGCACGTGGGGCATAGCCTGCATCTGGGTGTCTCTGGTGGGCTGGTTGACTCTGGCTAGACCCGGAGGCCTGTAGGCAGGGGTCTCCACTCCCACCCACCCCCGGATGGAGCTGGGGCACTACGAAGAGGCAGTGCAGCGGAGGACGGGGCACAGCACACATGGAGGTCAACGGGACCTGGAGAAGGAGTGGTGCATGCTGCGAGTGCACGCAGGGCCTGGTAGCCCACGGCCTCCCCATGGCTGGTGCTCCACGTGGGGCCACCCAGATGCCTGCATTCCTTGGGATCTGCAGCCTGGTGGTCAACAGGACCCGGGGAGCCAGGCCTGAGGCAAGGGCGTGTGCCAGCCAGGCAGAGAGCAGTGGGGCCTGGCGGGGAAGGGTTTTTGCCGTGAACCTTGGCACCCACCAGTCTCTGTCCACAGGGAGGAAACGGGGCTTATTTACGGCTGGGTTTAGCCAGGTGGCACTCTGTCAACCAGAACCGACACCATGGCGCCAGCTATTTCCTGCGCGGTTCTCACTGCCCCACTGACTGCGGGCACCGCAGGGGCTGAGAACAGAGGTGGGACGCACTGAGAGGGACTGGTGGTGACGCTTGGCCGCCCACCAGCGGGTTGGTGGTCTCCAGAGACTCCCTCACGTGGCAAATGCGGTACCTTGAACCCCCAATCCTGGCTGGAGTGTGGGGCAAGTGCTCACCCGCCTGTCTCAGGCCCTCACCCAATTCACGTACGTAAGGCCCCCCGGTCAAGCGCACATAGAACTTTTCAAACCTAGGAGCTGGAAACCTGGCTTCTTGAGAAAATCTGAAAGATCCCACAATATGGGCCGACAAACCATGGGCAGCACTGCGCTGCAGCGTGTGACGCGGCAGCTGCTTCCTTGAAAGGGGCAAGGCGGGCCCAGCCTGCCACACTCCCACTATTCTCTAATGTCTCCCTGTTCCCACGCCAGGCACACGTCACTCTAGTGCACTTCCCCCTACCCCTGGGGGTGTCTCTGAATCTGCTGCCCTGCCCTAAAGCTTTAGCTCCCTGGGCCTCATTCCCTAAGAACAAGTCACCTCCTCCAGGAAGTCTTCCCTGAAACCTTCCTCCCTCCAACCCTTGCCTCCTCAGTTAGGTGCCCACTCTGCACTCCACGGTAACTGTGTGGACCCCATCAAAGCACCCATCAATCTGCCACAATTGTTTGGTTACCTGTGTGCTGCCACCTCCACACTGAGATCCCTGAGATCAGGGACATTCCGTTAGTGGCCTCATGGCCTTGGCTCCTAATGAGCACACAAGCAGGCAGCCTCCTTCCTACTGACCACTGGGGACTGTGGGTTATCGCCTGGCATTGGCTTCCTGTGAGCCTCGGCCCTCCTAGAAATCTGGGCTGGGGGGCAGTCCCTCCCCATGAGTGGAGGAATGATGGGCAGACAGGCAGGCCCCTGGGGCTCAGGGCCTTGGCGCCCTGGCCTGAGCTCACCCTCCTGGTCCTCCCTAGAGTCCAGCTCCATCCAGCACGAGGGGCCACATGCACTTCACCTCCTCCGGGGAGGCCCCACTGCGTGAGACCCCGGGCACCTAGGTTGCAGCACCCAGATACAGAGAATTTCCTTCTGGAGACCAACTGCCCTGGATGGAACAACCTCTCCCCACATCCAGACTGAGAGGTGTGGGCATGCTGGCCACCCCACCCAGGCCAACACCCAGATCGAGCCAGCCCTGTTTCTGGCCAGTGAAGCTGAGCCCTAAGAGGCGAGCCCCCCACCCTGCCCCAGTCGCCTGCAGCCCTCTGTGCCTTTGGCGAAGCAGGCACCAGTGCCCCAGGGCAGGGGCCTAGGAAGAGCTGCAGGTGCCAGTAACAGAAACAAAAGCTCACAGAAGCCGGGGCTGCGCCAAACCAGCAACCCAGGATCCTGGAGGTCTGACAGGGGACCCATCACTGCGAGGGGCCGCGCTACCAACAAGGCCAGACCCTGTCTCCCTAATGTGGCCCACAGGGGGGCCTTGGAGCTGGCCTCTGCTTACCCACCAGCTGCCCCCTCTCCCCGCTCCCGAGCACTCATGTCCCCAACTGCCCCTGCCTCACTTGGTGCCTTTCTCTGCCACCTCCTCTGCCTGGAACACCCTCTCACTCCCTCACTCCGCAAAAGCCCCAACTCAGAGATCCCTGCCCTGTGGTCTTCAGGACCTATCCTACCCCCAAAATAAATGCATGATCAGTGAATGAAGACCTGGAAGGTCTCTGGGACACAGGCCTGGGGGACCCAGTTGGGACCTTCCAGAATGGGGGCTGACAGTGCCATGGGACGAGCACCCCCAGAGTGGATGGCTCTGTCCACAGAGCACGACACTCGGTTCAAGCCACAGTGCAGACGCAGCTCCTGGGCACTCCAAGTCAGGCCCCAAGCAGTGGGCCAGCACATTCCCCAGGACACCCACAGCATGTCCAGACAGCAAAAGTGGCTTCTCTTTTTCTCCTTGTTTTGTACAGAAAGCTTTGAGAGCCAGGCCTCCCGAATTCCAGTGACACGTGGGACTTGGGCCTCCCATAGCCAGGCTGAGGAACTGAGAGGGGAGCGGGGAGGGCTGGCAGCTGCCTGGCAGGGAGTACGGAACCCCTGGCTGCTCCACCTGCAAGCCTGGAGGCGGGACTGGCAGAGGGGGCCTGGGCTTTGGCCATGGGAAGCGCTGGCCCTGAGCTCTGTGTGACCTTGGGCAAATGGCCACTCAGAGCCTCCCTTCTCTCATCCTGAAAGTGCAGCTGAAAAGAGCCCCTCCTGGGGCTACGATGGAGATTCACCGAGATGGTGCAGGTCGTGGGCATGGCAGGTGCTCGCCTGGGTGGATGGGTGGATAGATGGATGGGAATGGACAAACAGACAGTTGGAAGGATGATGCATGCACAGGGATGGACAGGAGGATGGATGGCTGGGGACGGATGGGTGGATGGATGGGTGGGTGGGATGAGTGGATGGGTGAGTGGACAGATGGGCAATGAATGGATGGATGGACATGGATGGATGGATGGGAATGGACAGAGAAGGGTGGACGGCAGGCACTGCATCAGGGTGGATGAGTGGATGGATGGACAGGGATGGATGGATGGGGATGGACAGGTGGATGGATGGATGGATGGATGGATGGGCAGAGATGGATAGATGGAGATGGAAGGACAGAGATGGATAGATGGAGATGGATGGACGGGGATGGACAGAAAAGGGTGGATGGCAGGTGCTGCATCAGGGTGGATGGGTGGACGAATGGACAGGGATGGATAGGGGGATGGACAGGTGGACAGATGGATGGACAGAGATGGATGGATGGGGATGGACAGAGAAGGGTGGGTAGCAGGCGCTGCATCAGGGTGGATGAATGGGCAGGGATGGACAGGGGGATGGATGGATGGGGATGAACAGGTGTACGGGTAGACAGATGGACACGTGGATGGCAGGAACTGCATCAGGGTGGACAGGTGGATAGGGATGGATGGATGGATGGATGGATGGACGGACGGATGGGTGGATGGACCGCTCCCAGCAATTCCTCGTGCTGGCCCTGGCCTCATGGGAACTCATGCTGACCTGACTGTCTGGAGAGCAGGCCCCACCTCAGGAGATGGTGGGCAGGTCCGATGCCCAAGCACCTCAGGGGGGCTTTCCCCATGGGGTTATCAATAGAACCTCAAGGCCACGCCCAGCCAGGCCACCAGGCTCACAGTGCCACACTCCTGCCCTGCGGTGGCCAAGCAGGCCCTGGACAGCTGACTCCCAGACCCTGCAGAGGCACCTGTGTAGCGGCTGTGCCTGGGGACCAGTGGCAAGGGGCCACCCTGGACCCCCTGAGACAGAGAAGCGGAAGCCCCTGTGGGTGCTGACCCAGCCTGTGTCCCCTCCAGGCTGATGGGACGCTCCTCTCATAACATTACTCCTGGCAGTGCCAATCATTGAGAGTCCTCCCACTGGGGACCTGGTGAGGGGCTGCCATGCTTCCGCTCACTTGGTTTTCACAGCAGCCGGGGAGGTAGGTGCCACTGCCCCATCTTACCACTGACCCAACGGAGGCTCAGAGTTGGGGCTGGGAGGCCTGGACGTCTCACTGCCATGCACTTGGATATGCTTGCAGCCTGGTCCAGGGCCCACCAGGAGCCGGGGCCTGGGCTAGCAGGTGGCCGGCAGGGCTCACCTAAAAGGCTCGCTTTGGCAGAGGGACGGGCCTGGGCGTAGGGCCTTGGAGCAGAGCAGCCTCTTGCAGCTGTGCTTGATATTTTGATAAAAACACGTTAAGCACCTGGTGTGTGTTTAGATTAAAAAGAGCTGACTCCGTCCCTCCCAGTGCGCACTCCAACGGCCAGATCCCCCCGAGGTCTGTATGCACCCCCCACCCAGGGGCACAGGCAGGGCACACGCTGGGCTCAGGGCAGGGCACTCACTCTGGGCTGCCCCAGAAGTGCCACCCCACCTCCTCTCTTTTTCAGGCCAAACCACATGGGGGCAGGGAGGCCCCATGTCTAGCCCAGTGGCCCAGGAGAAAGCAGGGGGGCAGGGAGGCGGCACCAGTCCTCCCACAGTGCTCTGGGTGCCCTTGCTGGTCCTAGGGGCGCTGGAGTCACGCAGCCCCACTACTTAGAGCCTAGTGTCATCTCCACTGCCACTCACAGACCCGAGTGCTGGGCTGGGGGATCTCTTCGACAGGTGGCAGTGACACTGATGGGGACTTGCTATCCTGGGTGGTGACACCAATATTCAGCCCAGTAGGCAAAGAAACTGAAGCTGAAGGCCAGGTGAGGGGCCTGCCTGGAGCTCTATGCCACTGTGTTAGGCAGGGCTCCCCAGAGGGAAAAGACTCATAGGATCCATGTCTATACATGAAAGGGAGTTTATTAGGGAGAACTGGCTCACACGATCACTAGGCGGGTCCCACGACAGACCGTACGCAAGCTGGGGAAGAGAGAAGCTGGTAATGGCCAAGTCCGAGTCCAAAATCCTCAAAAGTAGGGAAGCCGACACCTCCCGAGAGCTCCAGCTAAACCAGAGTCCAAAGGTCAAAGAACCTGGAGTCTGATGTCCCAGAGCAGGAAGCATCCAGCACGGGAGACGGATGAAAGCCAGAAGACCCAGCAAACAAAGTCTTCCCACCTTCCTCCATCTGCTTTGTTCCAGCCACAAGGACAGCCGATGAGATGGTGCCCACCCACACGGAGGGTGGGTCTCCGTCACCCGGTCCACCGACTCAAAAGTCAGTCTCCTCTGGCAACACCCTCACAGACACACTTAACCAGCCAGAAACAAAACTTTACCAGCCATCTAGGCATCCTTCAATCCAATCAGGTTGACACCTCATATTCACCATCATGGTGGCAGGGCAGGGCTTATACCTGCAGCCTCTGTCCTGGCCTGTTTGCTTAGGAAGCAGGTCCCTTAAAGTCGGGCCTCCCCACCCGTCCACCCAGCTTCATGGTGTCCCCCTGCTCATAGGCCAGGCTGCTCCTCCCTGGGTGTTGTTTAGGGTCCCACGTTTAGGGCTCTTGTTCCAAGAAAAGAGTGGCCCCAACCTAGAGATGCAGCTGTGCTACCTCCACAGCTCTCCAAGGATTCACACGGGACTGCTTATGAGCGCCGGCCCACTCTGTGTGTGTTCCACCTAAAAGGGATTCATGCAGGCCCCTCAGGAAGGAAATGACACCGCTCCACGTCCACCTGAATGGCCAGCGTGGAGAGGTCCGGCCACATCGTGTGCTGCAGAAGACATGGTGCTATGGGAACTCAGCGAGGCTGGCGGGAGCGCAACATGGTACATCAGACACTCTGGAGAAATGTTTGGCAAGAGTCTCCTACACTAAACACATGAATGCCGCGGGACCCAGCAACCTCACTCCTGAGTCACACACATGAAATGAGGCTATGTCCACCAAGAGCCATGGACAGATATGTTCTGATCAGCTCTGTTCATAAGGACCCCAAGCCAGAAACAGCCCATGTGACAGCAACAGTGACATGATAAACACATCGTGGTCCAGCCTCGTGATGAAACATCACCCACGGATGCCGTAGGATGGAGTCTGGCTGCACAGAACAACACGGATGAAATGAACGGTGGGTGTTCATGGGTAGGAGCCCATTCACCTCAAGTTTACCGTCAGGCAGAAGACGGGGGTGAAGGCACGGGCTAGCTCCCTCTGGAGAAGAGTGTTGACTGGGTGGAGGGAGGCTTGGGTATTGGAGGTGCTCCTCGTCTTCATCTGGGTGGCTGTGCAGGGAGAGCGGTGTGTACAGATTCATCAGCCACACACTTCAGATTCATGCACTTTGCTATATGCAAGTTAAGCCTCAGACAGATGTCTTTATTTATTTATTTTTAAGTGTCCCAGATAGCCTAGAAGGGCACACAGTGATATTTGTACTGGGACAGATGCAGAGGAAGTTTGCAGGGTGGCTCAGAAACCACAGTAAGGAAGAAGGGAGATATCTACACCAGATGGCTCAGAAACCACAGTAAGGAAGAAAGGAGATATCTACACCAGAAGCCTGGGAATGTGAGCGAAAAAACTTAGCTTTGAGTTCCCTGGCAGCCAAAGCAAAGAGGGAATCCCTGTAGGTTAACACAGAAGCAGATAACTGTTTAGGAGTGACAGCCTTCCCAGCAGCACAGGCCAGGGTGTGAGGGACGTGAATGGCCTTCTATGGCAGCCAAGGCTCCAGCACAGGCTACCTTGGCGCTCAGAAGCCATTCTTCCCACACGAGCAGACTCCTGGCCATCTCCAATGGATGCAAACTCTGAGGTGCCTGCTGTGTGGCTCCATGGGGGACAACCGGGCTCTGGGCCCAGACTGCAGTCCCTCCTCCTCCCCCTGGCAGCCTGCTGGGTGCCCTCCTCGCGTCCCCAACCAGGTTGCAGCGGGTGGGGAAGAACAGAGCTGGGACTGATCCCTCTCCAGTGTTCACCCCCCAACCCTGCCCAGAACCCCCATGCAGGAGAAGTCACTCCAAAGGCAGAGGGGACCAGAGGCTGTCACCTGGGGAGAGTTCATTCCATCAGAAAGAGGCAGGCCCAGCCTCATTAAATGACATGGTGTATTAGTCTGTTTTCATGCTGCTAATGAAGACATACCTGAGACTGGGTAATGTTTAAAGGAAAGAAGTTTAATGGACTCACAACTCCACATGGCTGGGGAGGCCTCACAATCATGGCAGAAGACAAAGGAAGAGCAAAGGGGCTGGGTGCGGTGGCTCATGCCTGTAATCCCAGCACTTTGGGAAGCTGAGGCAGGTGGATCACTCGAGATCAGGCATTCAAGACCAGCCTGGCCAACATGGTGAAACCCCTCTCTACTAAAAAATACAAAAATTAGCCGGGTGTGGTGGTGCATGCCTGTTTTCCAAGCTACTCAGGAGGCTGAGGCAGGAGAATTGCTTGGACCCAGGAGGCAGAGGTTGCAGTGAGCTGAGATCACACCACTGCATTCCAGCCTGGGTGACAGAGTGAGACTCCATCTCAAATTAAAAAAAAAAAAAAAGTTTACTGAATTGAAGGAAAAAAGCTATAGGAATTGCAGAGATATTTACGATAGAAAAGGAGACGTTCGACCCTGGGAGTAGTTAAGGCCGGCAGAGTTTATCTGCTCTGTAAAATATTATGCAGCTATGAACAATGAGCAGGGTGAGAAAGAGAAGACTTATATGTGCACGTGCCCACAGCTACAGAAGGGGGCTGGCAGGAAACTGGAGGAAATGAACAACTGTCTAAACATGCACTTTTTTCTTTTAAGTTCCCTTGGCTACAGTGATGCTGTCTTTTTTTTTTTTTTTTTTTTTTGAGATGGAGTCTCACTCTGCCGCCCAGGCTGGAGTGCAATGGCATGATCTTGGCTCACTACAACCTCTGCCTCCTAGGTTCAAGTGATTCTCTTGCCTCCGCCTCCTGAGTAGCTGGGATTATAGGCATGCACCATCATGCCCAGCTAGTTTTTTTGTATTTTTAGTAGAGACAGGGTTTCCCCATGTTGGCCAGGCTGGTGTTGAACTCCTGACCTCAAGTGATCCGCCTGCCTCAGCCTCCCAAAGTGCTGGTGGGAGCCCCCCACGTCCGGCCGATGCTGTCTTAAAATGTGCGTAATAATAACAGTCTCTAGTTTGGTCATGGCAGCACTCCACAGAGGTACTGAGGATGCTGAAAGGTCAAGGGTATTCTGCAGCCCAGCCAGACGCAGCAAGGACCTGGTGTTCAATAGCTGTGGGAGGGACAGCCCTGGCCCTGGGGCCAAATACCCAAGCAGGGCAGGCATGGCAAATGCCACCTGCTCCGCAGACCATATCAGTACCTTATGGAGTAAGGGACACCCTCGGTCAGCCGAGGGAGCCCCTGGCGCCGGCAAAACCTCCTGCGTCAAACGCGCATGACCTGGAGACTGCCCAGAGCTGGTCCTCGCCCCAACCCCTCTCCTCAGCCACCGCCACTGGGGACGTCGCGTTTGGGTCCACCACCCTCTGGATAGAGTGCCCTGGGGGATCTGCCCATCAGGTCCATGGTGGTGCCTCACTCGGGGCCACTTGGGGAAGACCTCATGTCACACCCCCAAGAGGAGGACATGGGAGTAAAGTTCGGGTCATGCAGCCAACACACGGGGGCTAGAACAAGGACCCCAGTGTGACTCTAATGCTGGAAACAACTGCAGGGAAACAAGAGTGATCCCCCAACCTGAGAGATGGAGGGCCTTTAGGATGCAACCTCTCCCATCTCAGGTGTGGAAACTGAGGCCCGGGAGGGGCAGATGCTCATCCGAGGCGGCCAGGGAGGCTGTACCTAAGAGGATAAGAGTCTGTTTCCCTCCCGAGAGCGCAGCCTGGTTCTGGGCAGATGGGGTTACCGCCCTGCCACCCACGGGCTGCAGGACCCAAAGAGAAAGAGGTGCTCTCAGCTGGCTTCCCAGGACGCTCTCTTCTGTCTGGACTTGCAATCCAGGGACCAGGGCAGGGGGCATGTGCTGTCTTCATCAGTTCCTCCACACAGATGGGGAGACTGAGGCATAGCACAGGGACCCAGAGCGGGCCAGTGGGGAGGGCAGCACCCTCCCCCTGTATTTCCCTAGCAACTTGTACCCGGTTCCCCGAAACGCCGACTGAGGCCACCTCATCAATCATAGCTGCAACGTCATCACCTCATAAACTGTCAAAGCGGCCCAGTGAGGGTCCATTCATTCTGGCCCCCGGGACGCCAGCCTGCCTGGGGCGGTGCGCCCCACACTGGGCCGATTGTGCCCACAGGGACCCCATCCAAGCTGCCCGGGCTCCTGGCGGGCTGCCGCGCCCTGGACGATTCCTAGACGGAATCTTGTTTTCTTCAGTTTTCATCTCCAGGCCAGGGAGACAAGCTGCCCTCCAGGACACTCTGTCAACACTGCTTTGCTTTTCCTCAGACCCTGGTCCTGTCCCACCGTTTACTGGGAAGCCACAAACCAAGTAAGACAGCCATGGGGCCTCCGGGAAGGCCTGGAGGCAGCTCCACAGCTCCCACCTCCTGGGCACCAGCCATGGGCATGGTGGTGGTTGGGGCTCAGTGGTCCTCAGGAGGGTGCCGGAGAGAAGGGGAAACTGAGGACTGGAAGGGAAATCGGGAACTTGGCAGCAATTTAGGCTCAGGATTCTGGGGTCAGGGCTTTTCCCAAGTTCGGGGAATGCCCCAGTGACTCATTTTCCCCGCCAGTGACCTCAGGGTCTCATCATGAAAGCTCAAACCTGAGCCCTAGGTCCAGTGTGCTTTAAGAGCTCGGGTATGCTGCAGTTCGAGAGCTGACAGGGCCAGCCCGGGGCTGGGTGAGTGAGGGTGATGGGACTTCCCTCTTTGGGGTGCTGAGAGGGTTGAGGAGCCATCAGGCCCGGGTGCCATCTGCCAGGTTTTGCCTTCCTGGTGAGAGATGTGATACACAGAACCTGGCATATGCAGGCAGGCCACCCCGCACTGTCCCTCACCTAGTCACAGGCCAGACCACACTGTGCCAGCAAATGGGGCTTTATACTGCAGTTTACCATCCCATAGGGCTTGCCTTCTCTTATTGTTCCCCAACCCCAATATTTGATTTCCTAACTAATTTTACTTGCTTATTTGTCCATATAAACTTGAGTGCTGACTTGTCTAGGGTGTGTTACAAGGTGGGGAGAAGGAGGCAGGAGAGCAGATGAACCTGTTGGCATCTTAAATTGTTCCTAAACAAAGTTCTTCACCACCAGACAGTCTAATTTGCTCCTCAGAGCCCTTAAAACCAGGAAGTGTTGCTAGCTCCATTGTCAGAGACCCAAGATCAGAGAGATGAGAATGTTTCTCAAATGTGGCCGCTCTCTGTAGTCAGCTGCGGAGCTTAGAACAATTACTCCTACCTGGTATCAGAAGTTGGGATGCAGCTGAAGCAGGATTCAGAGGGAAATTCATAGTACCAAATGCTTGTTAGAAGAGAGGAAAGATCTGAAATTGATCACTGAAGCTCCCATCTTAAGGAAGTAGAAAAGGAGCACAAAATAAACCCAAAGCAAGCAGAGGAAGGAATAACAGAGACACGGACACAGTGCTGGCCACCTGCTGTGTGGCCTTGGGCAAGTCCCTTTTCTGGGCCTCAGTGTCCACAATGACTTTGTCCTAAACCTGTTGTTCTCTACCTGCATGGCCTGGAACCCCAGGCTTCCAGAGAAACCAGGAGTCGGGGGGACAGCCCAGGGGTAGGGGTCAGGCTGCCTCATCCTCAGGAGCCTGCCCCACACTGTCCATGGCAGGGGAGGTGGTGGGGGTTGGAGGTGGTATGGACTGTGTCCTCCAGCACCAGGCCTGCACCTGTGGAAGAGCCCCTGACTGCCCCAGCTCTGCCCCACCTTCAGGGGCACCCCAGCTTTTGTCTTTTCTCCCTGAGGCCTCTCCCTCACCGGCAGCTCAGGCCATGCCGGCTGGAGCCACACACATGCCACTGATCAGGTACAGAGAGTCTTCCCCGCTTGCCTCACCCCTGCTTTCATTAACAGGACTGGACCCCGAAGCAGCAGTTAACACCCACCCGCGGTGCCCCCTTCCCCCCGGCTTATTTCCTGCACACGCTACCCCCTCAGAGGGCTGCTCTGCACTCCCCACACAGACTTGAGGAAACAGGAATTCCTCACATTTGAGTCTCACAAAGGAATGATGCTCTCAGGCCCCAGGATGGGCGAGACTGCTTCTGTCTGAGACAGGGATCCTGTTTCCTGGAAAGGAGGCCTGTTGCAGTGTTTACCAATGACACAGTCCCATCCCTTGAGTTACAGGGCACAGCCAGATGGATACGAAGCCATCCTGTCCCTCCAAGTGTGCACTCTAATTATCTAGTCTTTGTTTTGTGGACAGAGAAGCAGGCTCAGGAAGGCGACATGGCTTCCCTCGGTGGCAGAGGAGGCAGGCAGGTGGCAGCGCTGGGGCTGGTGCCCACCGTGTCTCCTCTGGCAAGGGCTCAGCTGAGCCTTGTTGGTGCCACTGTGGGACAGGTACACTGTGCGGGTGGGGAGAGTCCTGGGCAGACAGGACCAACACAGTCCCCTTCACCTGGAGCTCCTGGGCTAGAAGTAACAAGTCCAGTCATGACACAAGGGACAGGTGCTGGGTGGGGGCTTGGCAGGAGAGCCAAGTCCCCTAATGGGGTCACACAGCGGCTTTCTCGGGGTAGCCTGGAGTTGCTCACCATCGCCCACGCCTGCGTCGGAACTCAACTCAGAATTCTGGGTCAGAAGTCTTCTTGGCTCAGAGGATGAGAGGCGCCTTCAGAGCCCAAGAAAGGTTGCCCTCGTGCGGAGGGTTCCAGCACTTCCCCGCAGTCGAGGGTGGGAGCCACTCCTGAGCAGCCTGGCAGTGGGGGTGCTTTCCTTTGCAGACCTCAACCAAAGCCAGTGCCTGCTCCGCACCCCACCCCCAATAATGCTCACACACCATGTTCTCCCACTTCAATTTCATGTGGCTGTGGAAGGAGAGAGAGAGACAGGGATTGGGAGAGGGAGGACGTCACATGAACGAATCGAATGAGCTGTTCACACTATTCTTTGGAAAGAACGATGGATAAAAAACCTGCAAAGCCAGTCAATCACGCATTTATTTTTCTAAGGGCGGGGGGCGGTGGAGTGGTGGGATGGAGAGAACTTTCCTGAAAGGATTTGGCCTTGAAACATGAAGTCAAACAACTGGATTTGGCAGGCTGACAGCTCCCGAGCCCCGCCAGCCCGAAGAACTGCCAGCCTGGCGGCCAGGGCGCGCTGAGACATAATGAACTCATTCAGAGCCGAGCGGGGCTGGAGGACGGGGCTGCACGCAGGGGGCCTTCCAACCAGAGGGGCTGCGGCACCAGGGACCCTGCAGGCCTGAACGAGAGCCGACCTCACCCCCAGAGATGCGGGAAAGGCGGGTCCGTCCGGGGATAGACAAGAAAGGGTCTTGCTCGAGTCTCTAACACACAAGGAAGTCCCAGAGAACAGGAGTGAAGGAGGCCGATCTCAGATGGGTGATGAAAGCTGGGGCCGGGTGAGCTCTGCACACTGGGACCTGTGCACTGAGCCTGACCCCTGCTCTCGTGTCAACAGTCCTGCTCCTCCCGGCTCATTCTGCTGAGCCCCATGGCCACCTCCAGGACCTTCTCCTGGGTGGAATCCTGCCGTGGGTCTGCGAGATTGTGAACTACATCTAAGCAACTCCATGGCTGAGCCCATGCCAGCTTTTTAAAGCCAAGTTTTCATTTTCACAGAGAGGCCTTTGCCTTCCAGGTGGCTCAGAAGCCTGAATGATAACAGGGCTCCATCCAGCAGTGGAAGCTTTTGTGGTTGGAACAGATAAGGAATTAGGACCTGCGGTGCACACTGCAAGTGAGACAGAGGTCCCATGTATCAGGCTGCGAGCACGGCCACCGCCAAGGAGGTGCTATAAGCTCTGAGATGCCTTATGCAGGAAAAGGCTCCTGACATTTCTGCACGGACTGTCCCCAAGGCTGCCTGTAAACCTTGCAGCAGCAGGAACAGGTTCTGCTTGAGTCCCGGCAGAAGCATTGGTCCTTGAAGGTGACAGGCCTCCTTTCTCTGGGATGGTTCAAGGGAGGGGCACCATGAGATCATCTCGGAGCCCTCACAGCCGCGCTGCTGGGGAAAGCCTTGATTTATGGGCGCTCCACCAGGGCTATAAATAACCGCGCTGCACCGGCTGTGGCTGGTCAAGAAACTGACGTCTGGTTTTCCCTAACCTTTGCCCTTCCTTCCTCATTCCCAGGGCACTGTGCAACATGTGTGGAGGGTGGGCCAGTGCCCTCTCCAGGACCCCCTGGACCTGACTGTCAGAGGAGGGAGGGGACAAGGGAGGCCTTGGGGTAGGGCATGTCTCCCTTGGAAGGCAGTGTTGGGGGAGCAGTGTCCTCTGCAAGCTGCTGTCACCTCAGATTCTGAGGAGCCAGGATCCATCAATATGGATATTTTTTGCAGACATTTGTAAAAACCTCAGATTCTGAGGAGCCAGGATCCATCAATATGGATATTTTTTGCAGACATCTGTAAAAACTTGTATTGATTTCAAAATGAAAAAGCTGGGCCGGGCACTGTGGCTCACGCCTGTAATCCCAGCACTTTGGGCGGGCGGATCACTTGGGGTCAGGAGTTCAAGACTAGTCTGGTCAACATGGCGAAATTCCATCTCTACTAAAAATACAAAAATTAGCCGGGCATGGTGGCAGATGCCTGTAATCTCAGCTACTCAGGAGGCTGAGGCAGGAGAATCACTTGAACTGGAGAATGCAGTGAGCCAAGATTGTGCCACTGCACTCCAGCCTGGGCAACAGAGCAAGACTCAGTCTTAAAAAAAAAAAGAAGAGAAAAAAGTAAAAGCATAAGTGGCTGCTCCAGAAAGCAGTGCTTCTGGCCAGCTGGACCCAGGGCACCTTGGAGGGCAGCAGAGGTGGCAAGGCTGAGGGACGCGTGTTGTGCCTGTGGCCACCTCTGGGCCTGACACATGAAGCCCCCGGGCCTCAGCAAGTGTCTGTTCAGTGGGTCACGTTTTCTCAAACTTCTGCTCTCTGTACAGAACACCTGTGAATGTGGCCTGCCTGGAGAGGGGCAGTGGCAGTGGGGCTGTCCGTCAAAGCTGGTGGCCAGTGGAGGTGGGCAATGCCAGGGTGAGGCTGTGTTTATCACGGCCTTCAGCCCCAGCTCCACCGGGTGGGTCTGGGGTCCCCATCCTTACAGAGGCCGGCAGCCCTGTCCCCCAACCTGCATTCAGCACTCGGCCAGGGCCTCCACGTCCTCATCTGTGGGAGGCACGGGAGCTCCACTGCCACCCCTGAGACAGCCCAGCAAGCATTTCTTAGCCTTTTTCTTTTAAACTCAGGGTGGGTTTTTTTGGTTTTTTTTTTTTTTTTTTTTTTTTTTTAGATGGAGTCTGGCTGTGTCTCCCAGGCTGGAGTGCAGTGGCATGATCTTGGCTCACTGCAATCTCCACCTCCTAGGTTCCAGCGATTCTCCTGCCTCAGCCTCCCGAGTGGCTGGGATTACAGGAGTGTGCCACCATGCCTGGCTAATTTTTGTGTTTTTAGTAGAGACGGGGTTTCCCCGTGTTAGTCAGGCTGGCTCAAACTCTCGACCTCAGGTGATCCGCCCGTCTCGGCCTCCCAAAGTGCTGGGATTACAGACGTGAGCCACTGCGCCTGCCTCAGGGTGGATTTGGGCCACATTTGAAAATAAACAAGCAAAGACCATGAAGGTAGAAGTGGAGGGGACATGGCTTCCCCAGAGGAAATCAGCCATGGTAGGAATATTTACACCACAGAAAGTGGAGGCCGGGCGCGGTGGCTTATGCTTGCAATCCCAGCACTTTGGGAGGCTGAGGCGGGCGGATCACTTGAGGCCAGGAGTTCGAGACCAGCCTGGCCAACATGGCCAAACCCCATCTCTACTGAAAATACAAAAATAATTAGCCGGGTGTGGTGGCAGGTGCCTGTAATCCCAGCTACTCGGGAGGCTGAGGCAGGAGAATCGCTGGAACCCGGGAGACGGAGGTTTTACAATGAGTGAAGATTGTGCCGTTGCACTCTAGCCTGGGTGACGAGAGCAAAACACTGTCTCAAAAAAAAAAAAAAAAAAAAAAGTAGCAAGCACTACAAATTAGGGCTTCCCCCACACCAGCCAGAAGGGGTTGTTTGTTACCTTTAAAATCCCCCAAGTTCATCTCAGTTAAAAAAAAATCCATGAGATGATTTCTATGCACACATATATAAATAATTCTGTGTTCACAGGTCCATGGCAAGGCAATTTTCAAGACAATGACAATAAAACCTAATTACTCTTAATCCAGGGAAGGTCTGTTTAAATGAGCAAAGCTTTAACTGCATAATTTTTTTGCGTAATTAAAACTGATCGTACAAAGAGGAGGTCCACAGGAGAGTTGTGGTCCTTCTCGCCTCGGGGCCTCTGTGCAGGCCACTTCCTGCCCTGGAAAGTCGTCTCCTCTCGGTCCACCTTTCTTTCAAGCCTCAGCTCAAATCTCACTTCCCCTGTGGAGCCTCCCTGGACCTGCACAGACACTGCTGGCTGTCCCTTCATGAAACAAATTCCAAGCTCGGCACAGCACTGTGTCCCCAGGCCCCTTTCCATTCTGTGCTGAGTTTGTGTCTTCCCCACAAATCTGGGAGGTCCTTCAGGGCAGGGGCCTGGCTCACTCATATTTGTAACTGACCATAGTCCATGCTGGATCACATGTTGGGGCAGGGCTATTTCCCCCTCCCAACTCCAGAAGGAAGAGGACTAGGGAACAGTTCCCATCTTTCTCTGCACCGGCCCCACCCCTTGAGGTGACTAACCTCATTGGTCTTCACCCCTCCTTCTCCCCACCTCTCATTTAGACAGAAAGGTGACAATGTAGGGACGCAGGGATCCATCTACAATGTGGAACAGCTGCTAGGGTGGGTGTGGGAGGGGCACGGTCCTTCAGGGTTCACCTGCTTCACTACCTGGGACCTTCAGCATGTTAGCCTTGAACCAGCCTAAGAAAAATTTCCTACACAATGTTGTTTTAGAAACATATCTAGGCCGGGTGTAGTGTGGCTCACGCCTGTAATCCCAGCACTTTGGGAGGTCAAGGCAGGCAGACCACTTGAGTTCAGGAGTTTGAGACCAGCCTGGCCAACATGGAAAACCCCGCCTCTACTAAAAATATAAAAATTAGCTGGGTGTGGTGGCACACAGCTATAGTCCCAGCTACTCCGGAGGCTGAGGCAGGAGAATCACTTAAACCCAGGCGGCAGAGGTTGCAGTGAGCCAAGATTGTGCCACTGCACTCCAGCCTGGACAGAGCAAGACTCTATCTCCAAAAAAAGAAAACACACACATCTAGCCAGGCACAGTGACATACTCCTATGGTCCCTGCTGCTCGGTCCCTGCTTGCTGCTCGGGAGGCTGAGGCAGAAGGATTACTTGAGCCCAGGAGTTTGAGGTCAGCCTGAGCAACACAGCAAGGCTCCTTATCTTTTCTTTTTTTTCTTTTTCTTTTTTTTTTTTAGAGATAGAGTCTCGTTCTGTCGCCCAGACTGGAGTGTGATGGCGCGATCTCAGCTCACTGCAACCTCCATCTCCTGGGTTCAAGCAATTCTCCTGCCTCAGCCTCCTGAGTAGCTGGGACTACAGGCGCCAGCCACCATGCCTGGCTAATTTTTTGTATTTTAGTAGAGTCGGGGTTTCACTGTGTTGCCCAGGCTGGTCTCAAACTCCTGAACTCAGGCAATCTGCCCGCCTCGGCCTCCCAAACTGCTGGGATTATAGGCACGAGCCACCGCTCCTGGCCTAAGTCTCCATTTCTTAAAAAAGAAAGAAAGAAAAAATCTAACAGGAATGCAGTCCCATTTATGGTAGCTCAAAAAGAATAAAATACTCAGTAGTAAATTTGACAACGGAAGTGCAAATTTTATATTTTAGCTTATATTGTTTGTATTATATTATAGTTTATATTGTGAACACTACAAAATACAAGTAAAGAATCCCTTATCCAAAATGCATGGGACCAAAAGTGTTTCAAATTTCTCTCTATATATATTTTTTGATTCTGGAATATTTGCATATACATGAGATATCTTGGGGATGGGACCCAAATCTAAACATAAAATTTGTGTTTCATATATGCTTAGACACATAGCCTGAGGGTAATTATACAAAATTTTAAATAATTTTGTGCATGAAACAAGGTTTTGATTGGGTTTTGACTGCGACCCATCGCGTGAGGACAGGGGTGGAATTTTCCACTGTTGCTGTCATGTTAGTGCTCAGAAAGTTTCAGGTTTTGGAGCATACCAGATTTCAGATTTTTGGATTAATGATACTTGTTAAAAGAAATTAAAGAAGATCTAAATAAACAGAAAAGCATCCCATGTTCATGGAGCAAAATACTTAATATTGTTAAGATGGCAACGCTCCCTGCTACGGTCTGAATGTCCCCCCAGAATTCATGTATTGAAACTAAACCAGCAACGTGATAGTATTTCGAGGTGGGGCCTTTAGGAGGTGATTCAGTCATGAGGGCTCTGCTCTCATGAACAGGATTAGCAATTTATAAATAAAAGAGCTGCTATGAACACTGTTCGTCCCTGTTTCTCCTTTCCCTCCTTCGCCACGTGAGGACAAACCAAGAGGCACCATCTTGAAAGCACAGAGTAGCACTCACCAGACACCAACCTACCAGTGCCTTGATATTGGAATTCCCAGCTCCAGAACCGTGAGGAAATAAATTGCTGTTCTTTTTCTTTTTTTTTTTTTTTTTGAGACAGAGTCTCGCTCTGTTGCCCAGGCTGGAATGCAATAGTGGATCATGGTTCACTGCTGCCTTGACCTCCTGGGCTCAAGTGATTCTCCCACCTCAGCCTCCTGAGTAGCTGAGACTACAGGTGCACGCCACCATGCCTAATTTTTTTTTTTTTCAGAGATGGGGTCTCCCTATGTTGCCCAAGCTAAATTTCTCTTATTTATAGATTACCCACTTTCAGGTATTTTGTTATAGCAGCACAAATGGACTAAGACACTCCCCAAATTGGGCTACGGATGTGACACAACCCCCTTCAGAATCCCAGCTGACTTATTTGTTGAAATTGACAAGCTGAATCTAAAATTCATATGGAATTATAAAGGACCCAGAATAGCCAAAATGATCTAGAAAAAGAAGTACAAAGTAGGAAGATTCATACTTCCTAATTTCAAAACTTACTACAAAGGAACAGTAATCATGTCAGTGATCAATGCAATAGAACTGTAAATCTGGAAATAAAACTTTGTGTGTATGGTTGCTTTAGTTTGAATATTTGTCCCCACCCAAATCTCACGTTGAATTGTAATCCTCCATGCTAGAGGTGGGGCATGGTGGGAGGTGTTTGGGTCATGGGGCAGATCTCTCAGGGCTTGGTGCCATATTTGCGATAGTGAGTAAGTTCTCATGAGATCTGGTCATTTAGAAGTATACGGCACCCCTACCACTCTTGCTCCCATTCTCGCCATGTGAGATGCCTACTCCTGCTTTGCCTTCCACTGTGATTGGAAGCTTCCTGAGGCTTCCCAGAAGCAGATGCTGCTTTACTTTCTGTGCAACCTACAGAACTGTAAGCCATTTAAGTTTCTTTTCTTATAAATTACCCAGGCTCAGGTATTTCTTTATAGCAGTGCAAGAACAGCCTACTACAATGGTCAACTGATTTTTGACAAGTGTGCCATGACCATTCAAAGGGGAAAGAATAGCCTTCAACAAATGCTGCTGGGACAACTGGATAGCACCATGCAAAAGAACAGAAGTTGTACCCTTACCTCACACCATATGCAAAAGTGAATTAACAATGTATCAAAAACCTATCTGTTACAGCTAAGAATATATAATTCTTAGGAGAAAACACAGGGGTAAATCTACATGGCTTCAGATTTATCAAAGGATTCTTAGATATGCCACCAAAACTATAAGCAACAAGAGAAAATAAAAGATCAAATGGACTTCATCAAAACTTTAAAAACTTTTATGCTTTAAAAAACAACATCAAGAAAATGAAAAGACAACCCACAAAATATGAGAAAATACAGTTGACCCTTAACAACTGGGTTTGAACTGCATGGGCCCACTTATATGCAGTTTTTCTTCTACCTCTGCCACCTTGAGACAGCAAGACCAACCCTCCTCTTCTTCCACCTCCTCAGCCTACTCACATCCTACTCAATGTGAAGACAATGAAGATAAAGACCTTCATGATGATTCACTTCTGCTTCATGAACAGTAAATATATTTTCTTCTTCTTTTTTTTTTTTGAATAGAGACAAGGTTTCACCATGTTGCCCAGGCTGGTCTTGAACTCCTGAGCTCAAGCAATCCACCTGCCTCGGCCTCCTAAAGTGCTGGGATTACAGGTGTGAGCCACCACACCCAGCCCCTTATGCTTTTCTTAAATTTTCTTTTCTCTGGCTTCCTTTATTGTAAGAATATAGGGTGTAATACATACACAAAATATGTGTTAACCAATTGTTTATGTTTTCAGTAAGTCTTCCAGTCAACAGCAGGGTATCTGTAGTTAAATTTTGGGGAAGTCAAAGGTATATACAGATTTTCTACTGCATAGGCAGCAAGCACCCTTAACTCCCATGTTATTCAAGGGTCAACTGTACCTGTAAATCATATATTTGATAAAGGCCTTATATCCAGAATATATAAACAACTCTTACAACTCAATGATAAAAAGGCAACTAATCCACTTTTAAAATGTGCAAAGGAGGCTAGATGTGGTGGCTCACACCTATAATCCCAACACTTTGAGGGGCCTAGCCAGGAGGATTGCTTGAGGCTAAGAGTTTGAGACCAGCTTGAGCAACATAGCAAGATCCCATCTCTATAAAAATAAAAATAAAAATTCACCAAGAATGGTGGTGCATACCTGTAGTCCTAGCTACTTGAGAGACTGAGGCAGAAGGATGGTTTGAGCCCAGGAGTTCAAGGTTGCAGTGAGCTGTGATTGTGCCACTGCACTCCAGCCTAGGTGACAGAGATCCTGACTTTAAAAAATATATATATAAATAGGCCAGGTGCGGTGGCTCACACCTGTAATCCCAGCACTTTGGGAGGCCAAGGTGGGTGGATCACGAGGTCAGGAGATCGAGACCATCCTGGCTAACATGGTGAAACCCCATCTCTACTAAAAAATACAAAAAATTAGCTGGGTGTGGTGGTGGGCACCTGTAGTCCCAGCTACTTGGGAGGCTGAGGCAGGAGAATGGCATGAACCCAGGAGGCGGAGCTTGCAGTAAGCCAAGATTGTGCCACTGCACTCCAGCCTGGCCGACAAAGCAGAATCTGTTTAAAAAGAAAAAATGTGTGTGTGTGTGTGTGTGTATATACATATATGTATGTATTAAAATTGTGCAAAAAATTTGAATAGACATTTCTCCAAGGAAGACATACAGGTGGCCAATAAGTACAAGAAAAGATGCCTGACATCACTAGTCATCATTGTAGGGAATTGCAAACCAAAATCTGAATGAGATAGTACTTCACCAGCCACTAGAATGGCTAGAATTAAACAGTCAGATAAGAAGCGTTGGTAAGGACATAGATAAATCAGCCCTCATACACTACTGGTGGGAATGTAAAATGGCATAAAATGGTGCAGCTGCTTTTGAATAGTCTGGCAATTCCTCAAGTGATTAAAAATAGATACCACGTGACCCAGCAATTCCACTCCTTAGGCATATATTCAAGAGAAATGAAGACCTATGTCCACACAAAAACTTGCCCATGAATCCTTATAGCAGCATTACTCACAATAGCCAAAGGCAGAAACAACCCAAATATACACTAACACAGGAATGAATAAATAACTGTGTTCTATCCATACAGTGGAGCATTATTCAGCCATAAAAAGAAATGAAGTCCTGATACATGCTACAACATGGATGAACCTTGAAAACACGCAGAGTAAAAGAAGACAGAAAAGGCCACATACTATATGACTCCATTCATAAAAAATATTTAGAACAGGGAAACCCACAAAGGCAGAAAGCAGATGAGTATTTGCTTAGGGTTACAGAGATGAGGAGGTAACTAAAGGGTACAAGGTTTATTTGGGGGTAATGAAAATAGCCGGGCATGGTGGCTTACGTCTGTAATCCCAGCACTTTGGGAGGCCAAGGCGGGTGGATCCCAAGACCCAAGATCAGGAGTTCAAAACCAGCCTGGCCAACATGGCGAAACCCCGTCTCTACTAAAAATACAAAAATTAGCTGGGTGTGGTGGCGGGTGCCTGTAATCCCAGCTACTCAGGAGGCTGAGGCAGGAGAAGTGCTTAAACCCAGGAGGCAGAGGTTGCAGTGAGCCAAGATTGTGCCATTGCACTCTAGCCTGGGTGACAACAGCAAGACTCCATCTCAAAAAAAAAAAAAAGAAAAAAAAAAAGAAAATGTTCTAAAATTGACTGATAGCGATGGTGTATGAATATAATAAAAACATTAATTATTCACTTTAGATGGGTAAATTGTATCATGTGAATTATGTCTCAATAAAGCTTTAAAGATACATTTAACAGGAACTGATAAATATGAAAAGCTGACATGACAGAGGTGGCATTATAAGTCAGTGAGAGAAAAGGTGGACTACTCAAAAGTGATAATGGAACAACTGTTATCCACATAGAAAATAAAATCAAATCCCTACCTCACACCATATACACAAGTCAAATTCAAGTAGATTTGGAACCTGAATGTGCAAAGCAAATCTTTAGAACTCCTGAAGGAGAATGTAGAATATCCTTCTTTCTAAGTATAACAAGGAGAGGGATGAATTTCTTAGACAAGATAGAAAATGCACAAACTACAACATCATGATTAATACATCTGATTATATTTTAATTTAAAACTGTGTCCCAATAAGAGGCCATAAACAAAGTGGAAAGACAAACCACAGACTGGGAGCAGATGTGTGCACCACATATAACTGACAAACGAGTGGGAGTGAAATGTATAAAGAATGGCTACAAATCAGTAACAAGCATTCCACAGTGAAGCTACAAAGGATATGAATAGGTAATTCACAAAAAGGAAGTTTCAATGGTCAAGGTCATCAAACATTTGAAGAAGTGCTCAAGCACAGTAATAATATAGAAAATGTGGATTATATTACAACAAAATACCATCATAGTCTTAAGAGAAGAAGTTTAAAAAAATCTCACAATACCAAGAACTGGCCAGGATGTGGGATAATGGGATTCTTTCCTACTGCTGGAGGGGACAGAAATGGCACGTCCACTTTGGAGTCATCAACAGCGTATATCTAATTAGTAAAACAGAACATACATGTTTGCTCCAGCGAGCTCTTCTGCATCAGAGCTTGCAAAACTTCCTGGACCACAGGAATCACTTAAGTATCTGTTAAAAGAAAGAAAAGATTCCTGGCTCCAAATATCAGACCCACCAGAGCAGACCTGGAAATATGTATATTTAACAAACTCCCCAAGGTGACCATATTACCCGGCAAGTTTGGAGAAAAATGCTCTGAAGAACACCTAGCACCATATTTGCACAAGGAGACACATCCAGAGCTGTTCACAGAAGTGTGATCTGTGATCATGAAAAAAACTGGAAACCGCCTACATGTCCATCATCAGGGGACTGGAATATAAATTGTGGGACAGCCATACATTGAAATGCTACAGCACAGTTCTGGCCTCCTTCCTGGCCAACACTGAAATGCTGATTTCCAGAGGCCGGCCAGGCCTCAGAATGAATAGGTGCTATGTAAGTTTTCCCCTGTTGGCGCCGTGTCCGCGAATATAGTTGAGGGGAAACTGGACGGCACTCAGTGCTGTGATTCTTCTGCCTTCCCCAGAGTTGACTGCCTCCCAGGCAGGACTGACTCAGACTGGCCAGCGCCCCGGTGGTGGGCTGCCTGCTCAGAGGGCGCTCAGAACGCTCGGCCCGGGAGATGTTCCTTAAAGAGGGGCTGTCCGTAAGCTCCTCTGGGGAATATGAGATACACACCCACTCTCAGCCCGTTACAACATGTATCTGCTTGCTGGTAACCGGGAAGACCTGCCTTAGAGCCACTTCGACGGGGAGACCCAGTGACTGTGCCTGGAACAGCCTCAGGGGAGTGTGCCAGCTTCAAGCAGCCAGAATTTCCCAGGCTTACACAGCGGACCCCCCCGTCCGTGCTATCCTGCCCCTGGGAATCCCTTCTGGCCCTCCAGGGAGGCCTGAGGCCTCTGAGCAGCCTAAGATGGGTGGAGCCAAAGCTAAAGCAGCACTCAGGGCTGTGAAGAGCTTTTTTCCACAGTCAGGACAAAATGTGCCAGGCACTGGCCCCATGCCCCCTAGGTGCTGGGCTGCACTGGATGGTGGGGGTGCAAGCGGGGAGGGCAGAGATGCTGCTCAGCCCCTGCTAGCTTCTGACGCGTGGCGCGGTGTAAGCCCTGCATCCAGCAACTGTGCCTATGTCCCCTCAGCTCTGTGCCACCACAGCACCTGCCACACACACAGTTACATCCTCCCTGAACCCTCTCCCTCCCACACTGGCCAAGGCAGGGTGAGATGTCACCCTCTGAGCTCCCCAACACCCTGTGCCTCCTGATCAGAGCCCGTCACACCAGTGGTAACCGTTTGCGTCCCGCCAGTCCTTCACAGCAGACGCTCCACCTCAGAGACACTCAAGAACCCCTGCTGAATAAATGAATGGATGAATGAGTGAGCAGATCGGAGAAGGACACGTGAGGGCCAGTGACACATCGGGCTCCGCAGAGGACCCCAAGCCATGCCTGTGGCCCTGTGGCTCACCTGTCAAGTGGGGACTCGCAGAGCCGCCCCTGAGGTGGTCACGGGGCGTGTGCTGAGCACAGAGCCAGCAGCCCCTGCACGGACTTGGTCTTCGTTCTACTCCCTTGCAAATGCCCTGGGAAGCAGGTCAAGGCTATCAGCAGGGAGCAACCTGTGAAGGCTTCCTGGAGGTGACAGCATGTGGTGGGGCCTAGGAAGGCAGTGGGAACTCCAAATGTGTCTATGGGAGGAAGAGCGACTCAGGTGTGTGCCTGACCACTGTCCTGGGGCTTGGTCCCAGTCAGGTTCTCGGCTGGGGCCACTCTAGCACACCTGGCATAGAGGAAGAGGTCCTTCCAGCCCTTGGAAAGCACAGTTAGAGGAAACCTGGGTGGCACTCCCAGGATGGGGCTGTGTGTGCTGCACCGAGGTGGGGACCAGTGTGGCCCCACCTCACCTCAGGTAGCTCAGAGCCTGGGGGCTGAGAGGTCACACAAGGAGCTGGAGTAGCTGAGTACAGTTGTGACGGGGCCACAAGATTCAAGTCCCAATGCTGCCAGAGTGGAGGAGGGGCAGCCCCAAGGAAGGCCTTCCCCTGGGGAGGGATAGGAAGGTGAAGGTATGTGCATATGTGTGCACACATATGCATGTGCATGCATGTGTATTTACACATGTGTGCATGTATGTGTGCACACATGTGTAGGATGGGGCAGAACTGGTCACTGCTTCACATCAGGGAAGGAGAGATGACCACAGGGTGACATTTCAAAATGAGGAAGGCAGGGCCAGGCCTCTAAGGTTACCTGGTGCTGGGTAAAGAGGGACCTGGCTGTCCACCTGCCTCAGAGCCTCAGATTCCCTGGGGAACCTGAAAGCCGGAGGTGTGTCCTCTGGAGAGTCTCAACTGACAGTTTATGCAGCTAATTAAGTTTTTTCTTTGGATCCATAAAATCTCAGGGTGGACTCATTCCAAGGGATGCCTTCCTTTAAAGAAAAGGTTAGATGGGAAAAGGCTGTATGGGTGGGCCAGGGGTGGGAGGTGACCCCTGTGCCCAGGAGGCTGGGGTGGACGCTGGGGATGGTCTAGTCTTGGGTTGGCTGGGCTTGGCTGAGCCACCCTGGCCTCGGCCATCAGACACACAGCCTGGCGGTCGGGAGCACAAGCTCAGGACCCATCAGCCTACCTGGCCCTTCTCCTGGTCCAGCACGGACCCACCTGAGCAGGCTATGGAACCTGTCTGGCCTCTGCTCTCCTAGCTCTGAAATGAGGATGACAATGGTACCTACTTTCTAGGGTCTGGAAAGACTGAGTATGCGCTCAGTAGACTCTATTATTCGGTTTCCTTATCCTCAAAATGCAAATTACAGTGCCTACTTTATTTCTGGGTCGTGGCTGTTGAGAGGGCGGAGCAATGTACCTGTGCACTCAGGATCATGGCGGGCCAAGTCCCCTTGACAGTGGCACATGGAGGCCTGGCTGTGGTCGGGTGCTCAGCAGCCCACCCACGGGCCCGGGCTGGATGAGGTATCGTGGGCTACGGAAGGACAGGTGCACGAGGGCAGGGCTTTGCACAAACACTAATGTGGTCTCCCCGTCTACAGGGCAGGTAACTCCTGCCCTAAAGAACCCCCCTCAGCCCCCCAGTACCCCCGCCCTCAGCTCTGCCTATCCCTCGCTCAGGGAAGGAGTTTTGTGTGTGCAGTGAGGAGACCTCTGTATCCCATATTACCAGCAGGCCTGGGGGCAGACCATGGAGGAGGGTCTGGGGGCGAGATATGGGGGAGTCTGGGGTAAGATATAGGGGTGGCAGCAAAGGGGGATCTGGGGGCAGGCCATGGAGGGGGGTCTGGGAACAGCATATGGTAGGGAGTGGGAGCAAGATATAGGGGTTCTGGAGGCAGGATGGATATGAGGGGGTCTGGGAGCAGCTCATGGAAAGGAGTCTGGGGGTGGGATATACGGGTACCGCAAGGGGGGTCCTGGGGGCAACCCCTGAAGTGGGGTCTGGCCCTGCTGCCACCCCAGCGCCCCCACATGCTGCCTCATACCCCACACTAGTACTTTATGTTCTGCCGGGTTGGTAATGGGTTTTTCTTTGAACACGTTTCTGGGAAAGCTGTATTCTCACTCCTGCCTGCCAGGTAGTTTTAACATGTGTGAGCACTCTATTAGGCAGTACAATTATAATCTCATGTGAAGTCACCCTCAGCAGCTGATCAAGCCCGGGGTGTTCAGTGAACACAGTGGTTAAGAAACCAGGTCTGAGAGCTCCGGACAATGCAGAAACGACCAATCCAGTGGGAACCCCCATTTCTTTCGGCTCATACCTTTCTCATGAAGCACTGATTAGTATGTATCACAGCAGGCCCCAAGGGATGTGAACGTTTTCAGGGGGCCACCAGGCTGCCCAGACCCCCGACCTGGCACCCAGGTCCTCACCCAGCCCTGGCTCTCTGCCGTCCAGGCACCTCATGCCCCTGCGACCTCGCACACCCAACACGCCAGCCTTTCCTTCACTCACTCATCCACATGCACAATGCCTTTGGGGGTCAGGGTGTGGGGGACCGGGATGCAAGTTGGAGGTGGTGAGAGTGCAGGGGACACAGATCCGACCACGTGACGCAGTGGCAGTGGGTCCAGGGAAGCTGGTGCAGGAGTGGACAAAGGGGGCCAGGACGAGGGGAAAGACAGACACAAGGGCCAGCCAGTCCTGCAGACGCCTACAGAGGTCTCTGCTCAGAGCTTGGACCAAAGTGCTGAGGTAGGAGTCAAGAAACCCTGTAGCTCCTGCCCCCAGGAGAGGCTGCAGGACATGGGCACAGGGGACTGTCATGGAAAATCAGGGGCTGACGCATCCTAGGAAGAACAAAGCAGGGGTCCTGCAGAGAGAGAACCGGGTGCTTCTGCCTCAGGCAGCTGGAGAGGGCTTCTCCAAGTAAATGGCGTATTAGGGAGTGAACTGTACCTCCGCCCCCACTGAAGCCCTAAGCCCCAGTGTGCCTGTCCTTGGAGATGCGGACAGCTTGGTTTTGTCGGATGCTCCCCATGGTTAGGCTGAGTGGTGCGTTGGGGCAAGGGCACCTGCAGGAGGTAAGCTGCCCTTCTCAGCACACCAGGGGTGCACGCCGCTTCATGACTGGTGACATGAACCTTGATCACCTGGCCAAGGCTGTGTCCACCAGGATTCTCCACCGTAAACTTCCTATTTTGCCCTTTGTAATTGCTCAATATTTGGGGGTGGGGGGAATTACTTTAAGACTATGCAAAAATATTCTGTTTCTGCTTAAACTCCCCAAGGGCTCTGTTTCGAGGCTGCCAAGTTTGAGATACTTCATGATGGCAAGGGGGAGGTTGCATGGCTACTGATGGCAGCTTCTGAGCTCAGGGGAGGGCCCGGCAGGAGGCAGAGGCTGGAGAAGCATCATCTGGCTGGGTTTAAGGCCACAACCCAGGTGGGTTCCCTGGGGAGAGAGTGGAGAAGGACAGCAGTGGGCCCAAGCCTGGAGCCCATGACCTGGAAGATCAGGAAGGGATGGAGGCCTCAGGAAGACGAGGAGGGGTGTGCTTCAGGATGGCGGCCCCTCTCCCACCTCTGGACCTCCGACCATGCCCTCCCCCAGCCTCAGCTCCACTCCCTCCTGCTCTGTCCCTACAAATCCCCCCTCTGGCCCTACGGGGCCCAAATCAGATGCTGCCTCCTCCAGCACCATTCCAGGCACCCGGTGGGATGCGACCACTCCCCTCCCTCGGCGCCACCAAACTCAGGACTTTGGTTGACCCTTGGGTCAGCACAGGTGCCGGGTTCAGATCGGCCCTGGGAGCAGGCTCCAGGTCTGAAGCTCTGCAGCCCCCGGTGCCCACAGCTTCTGCACACAACACCTCCCGCAGATCAAAGCCAGACTGAGCTCCCGCCCATCCTCGAGCCAGGCTCTCTGCCTGTGAAGTTCTGGGGACTCGAGGGGACTATGCCGAGGGCCCCTCTTGGGGCCCTGCTCTTGGTGGCGAGCGAATCCGTGCGCGCCCTCGCAGGGGGGCGAGCCTGCTGCTGGCGATGCTCCCGGCTCACGCCCCCCAGCAAACCTGTGCCCCTCAGCGCCACGCTGCCTGTTTGCTGTGGCTGCGCGCTGAGATCCATATGTCAAAAACGACTTACTGTTCTGCGCGGCAGCAAATATTTTGGCAGGCGGGTCTCATCTGCTTGTCTTTCGGGTTTCACACATGTGCACGCAGATGACACATGTGGTCTATGGGAGGCAGAACTCACAGGGGCGTTGGGAGGAGCCAGCACCAGGGCTTCGTGTCCCCTGGACCACGCCAGGTGCTCCTGCAGCCTCCATGGGTGACACCTGTGGGGCAGCACGGTGGCTCCAGGGGAGCCAGGTCCCTGGAGGCTGTGGGGGTGGCTTTTTGATTCCCAGGTCTCAGACATAAACTCGGACCTGAGTCTCATGTAAACAAAATCAGCGTTTGGGTGTCAAGTGTGGCAAGCTGCATCCCCCCACAGCCCCCGACAGCTAAGCCTCACTTTCCTTGGCTGCAAAGAGACTGGGCTGGCCTAGGGGGCCCAAGTCCATGATCTCACCTGGGCACACTGTTCAGTGATGGGGGACAGTGGGGCCCTGTCCCCTATGGGATGATGATGTGGCAGCAAGGATCAGGCACGGCAATCCCACTTCAGGGACTGTACCTTAAACAAATAGTCACACAAGTATACAGAAGCATATGTTTGTAGTAAAATCCAAATAAAGACTGGATATAGTGGTTCATGCCTGTAATCCCAGCACTTTGGGAGGCCAAGGCAGGAGGATCCTTTGAGGTCAGGAGTTCAAGACCAGCCTGGGCAACACAGTGAGACCCTGTCTCTACAAAAAATAAAAAATTAGCTGGGTGTGGGGGCGTGCACCTGTACTCCCACCTACTTGGGAGGCTGAGGCGGGAGGATCACTTGAGGTGGAGACTATAGTGAGCTATGATCTGTGCCACTGCACTCCAGCCTGAATGACAGAGTAAGACCCCATCTCAAAAAGAAAAAAATCCAAATAAAGTCTGGTGTCTCATGAATAGTGTGGGTACCAATGTCAGTTTCTTGGTTGTAACAAATGTACCACAGATGTGTGAGGTGTTCACAGAGGAAACTGGATGAAGAGTGGATGAAAACATCCTAACTCCATAACTTTTCTGTACATATGAAATTATTCCAAAATAAGCTTATTTTTAAAACACAAACACGTTTATAAAAGAATGTTCACTGTGACACTGCTTAAGTAGCAAAAAACTAGAAGCAACATTATTTACCAGTCTGGGAATTGTGAGACACACAATGGCACAACTGCGTTACCCACACCACGCAGTTGAACGCGAGGCAACTCCATGCACACTGATACATGCCCTGAGTGCGTGGGTGTCGCCATTGAGGAACCAGGATTGGTGGAGCTGATATTCTGCTATGATCCCAGCAACGTACAGAGTATGTGTTTCTACACACGACAGGGACCACAGGACTGAGCTGGATGGGAGCAGCAGCGATGACCTCTGCCAAGTGCAGTGATGAAATGACGCCCATGGTCAAACCTCTGGATTTCTTTATTATGTGAACAGAGCCCTCCCCACCTCCCCTCTTCCTCCCTCCCTCCCTTCCTCCTTTCTCCCTCCCTCCCTTCCTTCCTCCCTCCCTTCCTTCTTTTTTTTCTTTTCTTTCCTTTCCTTTCTTACTTTCTTTCTTTTTTTGAGATGGAGTCTCGCTCTGTCGCCCAGGCTGGAGTGCAATGGCGTGATCTCGGTTTACTGCAACCTCCACCTCCTGGGTTCAAGCGATTCTCCTGCCTCAGCCTCCCGAGCAGCTGGGATTACAGGCACCCACCACCACGCCCAGCTAATGTTTGTATCTTTAGTATTGACAGGGTTTCAGCATATTGGCCAGGCTGGTCTCGAATTCCTGACCTCAAGTGGTCCACCCACCTCGGCCTCCCAAAGTGCTGGGATTACAGGCGTGAGCCACCGCACCTGGTCTCCTGAACAGAGTATTTTCTTTGCAGCATGTACACTTCTCGGTGCCAGTGACCGCCACCACTCCGTCGGTTACTGCAAAAGCCTCCTGAGCAGTCCCCCTGCTCTGCCCTCATCCCACTGTGACCTTCTCTCAAACAGCGGCCAGAGGGACCTTTTGAAACCTGAAGGCAGGTCATTGCTCTCTTCTGTGCAAGGCCCGTGATGGCCAGCCTGGCAGAAGAGAAGCAAAGCCTTCGGCAGGCCTGCCAGCCCTGGCCTCTCCCTGCCAATGCTTCCCCTACCCCTCCAGCCACCTGAGTGTCTTCCTCCAACACCCAAGGGGCTCTGCAGTGGCTGTTTCCTCACCTGGAATGTTCCTTCCCCAGAACTCGCATTAATCTCCCTTCCCCAACCCCTCACTCACCCCCCTAGGTCTTGGTTCAAATCTCATGGTTCAATGAGACCCACCTGAACCCACCTGTTTAATGACAGCCCTTCTCATCCTCTTACAGACAACCCAACTTCCTCATCCATCGCCATGTTGTCTATCTTCCTCTGCTAGCATGTGAGGCCACAGCAAAGGCCTGTGTCTCTGACTGATGATGCTTCCTGAGGACCAGCGTGGTGCTGGCAGGGTGGCCAGCCAGGGAACACGGTTAGGGAGCAAAAGACTCAGCAAAAAAACACAAAAAGTCTGTAGTATAAGAGGTCCATGATCTCATAAATGAACTGGACTGCATTACCAGAGTCACATTACTTAACCTTTCCATCTGAAACACGGGGGGCTCTGCCCTTTGCTGGTCCTCCTCCCAGGCACAGGGTCCACAGCTTTTAGGCAGTGCATCCTGGACACCTTGTGCAGGGCCATTCAGCCAAGCCCCTAAAGGTTCCCATTCAGCATGTTGTTTGGTAGGTAAATTTCCTGAACGGAAGTGAATAAATTTACTTTCTTCCTTACATATTCCTATCCAGTCTTTAAAAATGGCCGCTCGTTACTCAAAAAGTTAAACATGAATTACCACATGAGCCAGGAATTCCACAACTAGGTATATATCCAAGACAACTGGAAACGTGTCCACACAAAAACCTATACATTAGTGTTCACAGCACCACTATTCCCAATAGCCAAAAAGTGGAAGTGTATCAGTCCGTTTTCACACTGCTGATAAAGACATACCAGAGAGACTGGGCAGTTTACAAAAGAAAGAGGTTTAATGCACTTACAGTTCCACGTGACTGGGGAGGCCTCACCGTCACGGCAGAAGGTGAAAGGCATGTCTCACATGGCGGCAGACAAGAGAAGAGAGCGTGTGCAGGGCAACTCCGCTTTTTAAAACCATCTGATCTTGTGAGACTAATTCACTATCACCAGAACAGAACAACATGGGAAAGACCTGCCCCCGTGATTCAATTACCTCCCACAACACATGGGAATTCGAGACGAGATTTGGGTTGGGATGCAGCCAAACCATATCAGGAAGCAATCCAAATGTCCATCAGCTGATAACAGATCAACAAAATGTGGCCTATCCACATAGTGGAATATTACTCAGCCACAAAAAGAAGTGAAACTCTGATACACACCGTAACACAGATGAACGGTCAAGACATTAAGCAAAGTGAATGGAGTCAGACACAAAAGACCATGTATCGTCTGATTCCATTTACATGAAATGCCCAGAGCGGGCGAATCCACAGAGATTGAAAGAGGCTGGAGGCTGCTAGGGGCTGGGGGTGTGGGGAGTGGGAAGTCACTGCTAATGGGTACAGGGTTTCTCTTTGGAGTGACAGAATATTCTGGAATTAGAGGTGATAGTTGCACAGCATTGTGAATATATTAAAAACCTAAAGACCACTGAATTGTGTATTTTAAGAGGAATTGTATGGCATGTGAATATCTCAATTACAAAATTAAAAACCTGGCTGCTCATAGGGTCACACCTCTGATTTGGGGACAACCTCAGCTCACCGACTGTCCCCTTCATTCCAAAGGCCCCTGGGCCAGCCCAGTGCCCGACTCACATAGGCACTGGGTGAATTCTGGCTGCACTGAGCTAAACCAGAGGGACCCAAATTAAGAAGCTGTGCACAGGGCAGAGGGAGACAGTGAGTCCACTGGTGGCAGTGAGGGCCCAGAGGAGGGCTGTGACGGTCACTGTGGGTGCCATGGGGACAGAGAGGGGCTTTTCCTCCAGTCCCTCCTAAGAGTAATCCTGGAAGCTACCAAGGAGATTGAAGCCAGGGAGGGACTGGCCAGATCTGCCTGTTACCAATACATTTTAAACCTAAATTAATAGTCACAGTTTTTCCCAGTAGAAGGCCCTCCTCACCTGCTGTGGGCAAAAGAGGAAGTGGCCGGGTGAGCTCTACACTGCAAGTCAGGGCAGGGGTGACCTGGGGTCGGGGGGTCTGACTGGGAAGGGGCACGGGGAAACTTCTGGGTGCTGGAATGTTCTACATCTTGATCTGTGTGGGGGTTACACGGGTGTACGTGTGTGCAAAAATTCAAACTGTACACTTGATGTCCTTTCCTGGGTGTTATACCTCGATCAACATGTAGAAGAGAGAACAGAGACACCTTGCTTGTGACTGGTGACACTCATCAACCCCATCTCGGCTCCGCTGCCTTACAGGTCTGTTTCCCTTCACAGCCTTCATGGCATCTGTGATGGTGGAGGTGGCAGGTGACCATCTCTGTGGACACACATGTCCCTGAGATCCCCCAGCCCTGGTTCAGGGCCACAGAGTGCAGTAAGCCACTCGGCAAATCCTGGCCGAGTGAATGAGCTGCATGGGACAAAGGGTGTTTCCAGGCTGCCCTGCCCACCCTGCCCGCCACGTTCCCGTTTGCCTTTTCCATTTGCTTTGGAAACGCTGCCCTCCCAGCTCTGCCCTCAGACTTTCCGCGACAGAACTCAGCGCCTGGCCCAGGACAGCAGAGACAGCAGGCCCTGCAGCAATGCCTGGAAGAGACAGCAGCTCTGTAGGCTGTCCCGAGGGGCCACTGTGCGACACAGCCCGACAGACAACTGACGGGGTGAAAGGCCTCATTCCTACGTTTGCACAACCTCAAAAACCTGATCCAAAACTAGGGAGAGAAAAAAATCCCCACTTTTGCTAGAGCCTGGGCCTCCCAGTGGCCTGTCTCACAGTCTCAGGGCCACCTCAAGCCACAAGCAGCTCCCTCTGGGCAGAAGAAAGACAGCCATTCCTGATCCCGGGCCTTACCCGCAGGAATGAGCCCCACCCAGGCAGTGTGCATGTGGAGGGGGACAAGACCCCAGGGCACAGACCTGCCTTGGAAACAAAGCTTACCCCTCACCCCCATTACCAGCAGGTCCTGCAATGGCCACTCCAAGCCCGTGTCTTAATTGCCTAAAGCTGTGGGAGGGCGCTGGGAGCACGCTGGGAGCCGTGGGGGGGACAGAACATGCCAGTCGCCAGCACAAGCTCATTACAGACAAACCTAGGGGGGCCTCCAAGTGTCCCCAGGCACCTGCTCTCACTTCTATAGCACACAGAAAAGGCCACCGGCAGCAGGACTGTTGTTTAAAAATTAAATGAAGTGACGTGTGTAACGGCGAGGTGAGGGTGACCACTCCAAAGCTGGCCTCCTCCTCACTGCCCTGGGGACAACAGTCTCCTCTCACAGGTCTAGGATGAAGAGCATTAGACACAGAATCCCAGTGCCAGCACACGCCCATTGCACCACAGGACCTGTATGAGAACATTCCAGACCCCATTCCATGGTCCAGCACGGTAAGCCTCCATCGGTATTCGGAGAAATGGCAGAACACGACTTGCCACGAAGCGGGAAGTGGCCACACCTCTCCACGCCACCGCGGAGGGATCTCACAAGCGCAGGGCTAAGCAAAAGCAGCCAGACTCGAAAGGGGCCTCATCGCGCGGTTTCACCTCCATAAAGCAAAGGAGCGAACAAAACTGTCCCGGGGGCAGAGGCCGGGGAATGGTCACCCCGGGGATGGGGGTTGCAGGCAAAGGGCAAGAAGAGGGTGGGAAATGTCCTGCTTCTCGATCCGGAGCTGGTTTCAGGGATGTATTTCACTCCATGAAAGTATATCAAATTGTACCCTTATGATATGCACACGGCTCCGTAGGTATGTTATTCTTCAATAAAATTAAAGAAATAAGAACCAGCCGGGCATGGTGGCTCACACCTGTTATCCCAGCACTTTGGGAGGCTGAGGCGGGCGGATCACGAGGTCGAGAGATGGAGACCATCCTAGCCAACACGGTGAAACCCCGTCTCTACTGAAAAATACAAAAAATTAGCCGGGCGTGGTGGCACGCGCCTGTAGTCCCCCCCTACTAAGGAGGCTGAGGCAGGAGAATCGCTTGAACCCGGGAGGCGGAGGTTGCAGTGAGCCGAGATCGCGCCACTGCACTCCAGCCTGGCGACAGAGCGAGACTCCATCTTAAAAAGGAAAGAAAGAAAAAAGAACCGTGGAATATTATATAGCTATTAAGACCATGCATTAGAGCAGATCACAGTGAGCCCTCGTGTCTGTGCACTCGTGTGTGCACGTGGGTACAGTGTGTGCATGCATGCGCATGTGTGTCCATGTGTTTGTGCGTTGCATGCGCGTGCACATGTGTAAGTACATGAGTGTGCATGTGTGTGCATATGCGTGTCTAACCGAGGAGAGTAACAGCTCAGTCGACCATAGATCACAAGCCACAGCTGGGAACACAAGTGGCCGCTGCGGCTGGCTGGGCTGCTGACCAGCAGTGCCGCCCCTTGTCAAGCCAGAGCGTTGCCCTGTGGTTACTCGGGGATATTAAGAACTCCAATAGCCCACAAAGGACGTCTTCAGTCATAACACCAGTTACTATCTATTAAACATTGCTATGAGCCGGGCGGCCAGACAAGAACCTCACTTACGTTTTCTACTCTCTTATTTATTCCCACTCATGAGTGGAGGGGGCCGAGGCTGAGAGAGGCAGCCAGGGGCGCGTGGAGGGCAGGCAGCGGCTGAGCGGGATATGATGCCCGCAGCCCTGGTCGGCCCGGGCGTGCACTCGCTCCCTGGTTGTGTCTTCTCTCTGATTTAGTAGACACTCATCAGTTTGCTCTGCCCAGGCCTGTGGACACAGGTGACCACGGCAAGGCCTGCCCACCTGGAGCTTCCAGTCCACTGCAGGGACAGGTCCTGACACAATCACAGCAGAGGTCTGGATGAAGGGCTGGGGCATCCCAAGGATGGGGCTGCAAGGGCAAGAGCCCGTCTCTGAGCTCGTGGAGTTCTGGGAGCCCCCTCAGCTGGCCTGCACCCCTCTCCTCAGGCCACCTGGACCCCCGCCCTCCCTCTCCACCGGGAGCTCTGCAGGCTGAGCAGGGCCTGCCTCTGTGGGGTCCCAGTGCCTGGAGATGTCATCTGGAGGAGAGCTGGATGGGAGCGGGTGTGGGGCTCCTGAGGGACCATTTCTCTTCTGCACCCCTGCTCACAGGGATGTGCGACCAGCACGGCTAGAAATGGGGCCTGACCTTGGGAGGGAGGCTTCTGCCCCTGGACAAAGTGCAGGGAAATCCAACAGAATCCCAAATGGCCCTCCAGCCCTGGCTGCCCCCTCAGACTCTCAGCCTCCTCCCTCTGTCTCAGGTGCCCCCGACCTCCCACCACACAGCCTCACAGTGGCCAGGCCAAGTGTCTGCTGCGACTCCATCCATCAGTCCTGCACAAAAGACCCCAAAAGGCAGACGTGTGCTGGTAACTGGCTCTCCGGGATGGGGTAGGGGTGCTGGGTCCGTGCATTTGCCAACTTCCATGGTGTAAATACTTCCACCGTGGCCAATTTCAAGCTACAGAAGAGAGCTGGCAAAAGACATCACAACTGACTCCTGCCAGTGGGTCCAAGCAGGCTCCAACACCCCAAGGCCTAAATCACAGGCACCCACAAGTTGCTTGAGGCCATGGCTTGGTGACAGTGCAGAGGACACCAGAGGAGGCTGGGCAGAAGCTGCAGGAGTGGCTGGCACCTGCAGTCTCCCTGCCCAGCGCTCCCAGGGGACAAGTAAGCAGAGTGTGTCCCCCAGGGGGGAAAGGACAACCCCTCCTGAAAGTGAGTCTCCCAGGGGTCCCATGATGCCAACCAGACTCCTGCAATCAGGAAGGCGCCAAGAATCTGGAGAGCCCATAACCACACGCCCGGTCTCCAGGACCTGGCCCACTTCAAGTAACTGGAGAAGGTGATGCTGGGAGGCCAGGCTGGGCTGGAACCACCGGGCTCTGCCACACCTGTCCCTGCTCTTGCTGCCGCCGGAGTGGCATGGCAACTGCCCACAACAAACATTGCCAGGCAGCCAAGCCTGGCCTTGCGGGCCACCCAGGGGTACGGCGACGGCTCCAGGCCCACCTCGGCAAAGGCCCTCTGCGGACTGCAGGGGGCACTCTCCGCTCTGCTTTCTTGGTCTTCTCCAGTTTCTGAGGGTGTCAACCCTGGATTTCTCCTTAGCTCCTGCAGTGACACCCCTTCCCCCTCCTGTCCCCACTGCTGTAACCCGACGCCGGGCTGGAGCAGGGCGGATCCACAGGGCCCTCGCCAGCCTTCCCCCTGCCTTCCTGTGACCTTGAGAAAGGCCAAAGCGGTCTCCAGGTCCCCAGCTGCATGTTGGGACGATGGGAACATGGCTTCTTCCGCCTGTGCCAAGAAGTGATACCAGAAAAGACCTGGAAATTCTTGGACGACAGTGGCCGCCTGGGGCGCACGGCGTGGGGTAGCATTCCTTTCTTGTCAGGCTCCGTCCTGAACAATGTCCTCCCCAGTGCGTCCCTTAAGGGCACAGGGTCAGAGTGATATGCTAGGCTGCACAGCTATTGATTTAAAAATAGTGTCCTTTCTAAAATTAGACATCAAATCTGGAACCCCAGCTCCATGGATCCTCCTCTCCCCAAACTAAACCTAATCCTCAACATAAACTGCCACAGAGGCTCACAAGTGAATTCTTGGGGACTATGGCCTGCACGGAGAGCCTGAAGACACCTGTCTGTATTTCTCGACCCTCAGTAAGGGATGGCAAAGGAGACCAGCTCTTCCTTCTGCAAGAACAAGCTAGCGAGCAGCAAGCAACAAACAACAAACAAAACCCCCTACTGCAACCAAAAAATTATTTCCAAGCAGGGGAGGTGCCCTTCTCATGCGTGCTTCTCAGCTTTTGCAGAAGCTCAGGTTGCTGTGGGGAGGGGAGCTTCGGCGAGTGAAGCCCCTTGAGTACCTCAGGGGGGCCTCACTTATTGCCGGGCGTCGTGTTTGCAAACATCAGAGCAGAATGCATAAAGATGCATGGAGCCTCACACAGAGCGCTTGCTGGACAAGGACACCTCGTTCCCTCCCACTCTTCCTCCAAGTCCCCAAAGTCCACTGTATCATTCTCATGCCTTTGCGTCTTCATAGCTTAGCTCCCACATATCAGTGAGAACATAAGATGTTTGGTTTTCCATTCCTGAGTTACTTCACTTAGAATAATAGTCTCCAATCTCATCCAGATCATTGCAAATGCTGTTAATTCATTTAAATATATGGTATAACTTTTCCATCCTAAAAATGTAATATAACCATGCCACACATTGGACTTAGAGATAGGAGGAAAAACTCTCCATAATTCCACGGCACAGTGCACTGTCCCCAGCCCAGACTCAACATCCTACCCTGAGACTGCCTCCTTACACATCCGTCTCTCACTGGGGAACCAGGAGCTTATGCTCCGAATACTCATGCCTAGCAGGGGCTCTGTTCATATCTGTAGGAAGGACGTCAGGAGACTGATGTTCAGACAGACCGCTAAATGACAATCCGAGGCTGGGCACGGTGGGGCACACCTGTAATCCCAGCACTTTGAGAGGCTGAAGTGGGAGGATCACTTGAGCCCAGGAGTTCAAGACCAGCCTGGGCACCACAGTGAGACTCGTCTCTATAAAAAAAAAAATTGGCCGGGCGCGGTGGCTCACGCCTGCAATCCCAGCACTTTGGGAGGCCAAGGTGGGCAGATCACGAGATCAGGAGATTGAGACCATCTTGGGTAACATGGTGAAACCCTGTCTCTACTAAAAATACAAAAAATTAGCTGGGTGTGGTGCTGCGTGCCTGTAGTCCCAGCTACTCGGGAGGCTGAAGCAGGAGAATCACTTGAACCTGGGAGGTGGAGGTTGCAATGAGCCAAGATCGCGCCACTGCACTCCAGCCTGGGTGACAGAGCGAGACTCCGTCTCAAAAAAAAAAAAAAAATTTTTTTTTAAATCAGCTGGGTGCTTCAATGTGCACCTGTAGGTCCAGCCACTCAGGAGGCTGAGGTGGGAGGATCGCTTGAGCCCAGGAGTTCGAAGTTGCAGTGAGCCACGATCATACCACTGCACTCCAGCCTGGGTGACAGAGCATTCCATCTCTTAAAAAAAAAAGTGTTAAATATAAAAAGTAAATGATGAACCATTCCAACTCCCCACTGCCATCCCACTGCAAAAGCATCTGTCTGGCTGTGCAGCTCCTGGTCTCTTTCTCCCAGCGGCATGCTTGTCCCAGAGTTGTCATTGTTCTGAACCAAGAACGCCTGTCATCAGCTCCTGCCACTTATCATAGGCATTCTGGGTTGCTAGGTACAAAGGCTTTTCTTTTTCTTGTTCAATTGTTGCTTTAGTAAACTTTTAATTTGGGGCTAATTGGAGATTCACATGCAGTTGTAAGAACGCCACTGACTCAGTTTCTCTTAACAGTAATATATTGCAAAACTATAGAACAATATCAAAGTCAACAATTGACATTGATACAGTGAAATAAAGAAGCTTTCCATCACCACCAGGACCCCTCAGGCTGCTCTTTATAGCCACGCCCACTGCCCTCCTGCCCCGCCCCACCCCATCCAACAGTATCTGTTTTGCATGATAGAATTTTGTCATTTTGAGGATGTTCTATACATGGAATCAGAAAGTACATAACCTTTTGGGATAGGCTTTTTTCACTGGGAGTCCATCCAAGTCATTGTGAGTATCAAATTTGTTTCTTTTTTCTGCAGGATCTGGATTTTATGCAAAAAAAAAAAAAAAGAAAAAGAGAGAGAGAGATTGTTTCTTTTTATTGCTGAGTACTATTGCATGACATGGATGTAGTTCCTCTCGTCACCCACTGAAGGACACCTGGATTGCTTCTAGTTTGGGGCTATTATCAATAAAACTGCAACGAACATTTGTGTATAGGTTTTTGTGTAAATTATAATTTTTCATTTCTCTGATAACTGCCCAGGAGTACCATGGCTGAGTCATGTGACAGTTTTACATTTAGAGTTTTAAGACACTGCCAAGCTATTTTCCAGAGCATTTGTATCATTTTACCTTCTCACCAGCAATGTCTGAGTGATTCAGATTCTCACTGTTCTCATCGGCATTTTTTATTTTAGTCATTCTTTTTTTTTTTCTTTTTTTTTTTAGATGGTATCTTTCTTGTTTTGTCGCCCAGGCTGAGGTGCAGTGGCATGATCTCGGCTCACTACAACCTCTGCCTCCCCAGTTCAAGTGATCTTCCCACCTCAACCTCCCAAGTAGCTGGAATTACAGGCGAGCACCATCATGCCTAGGTAATTTTTATATTTTTAATAGAGACAGGGTTTTGCCATGTTGGCCAGGCTGTTCTCGAGCTCCTGGCCTCAAGTGATCCACCCACCTTAGCCTTCCAAAATGCTGGGATTACAGCTGTGAGCCACCACGCCTGGCCTATTTTAGCCATTCTGATAGGTGTGTAGTGATGTCTCATTGTGGCTTTAAATTGCGTTACCCTAGTGACTCATGACATCTTTTTATGTGCTTATTTGCTATTTGGATATCATCTTTGGTGAAATGTCTGTTCATTCTTTTCAGTCTATTTTTTCTCTGTTCTGATTGGGTCATCTCTATTTTCCTGCCTTCAAGTTCACAGACTCTTTCCTCTGTCCCCTTGATTCTGCTGTCAAACCCATCCATGGAGTTTTCTATTTTGGCTACTGTATTTTTCAGTTCTAAAATTTTCATTTGGCTCTTCATTGTATCTTCTATTTATTTGTTTGTTTGTTTGTTTGTTTGAGACAGGGTCTCACCCTGTTGCCCAGACTGGAGTGCAGTGGCGTGATCTCAGCTCACTACAACCTTGACCTTTCAGGCTCAGGTGATCCTCCCACCTCAGCCTCCTAAGTAGCTGAGACTACAGGTGTGTGCCACCATGCTCAGCTAATTTTTTAATTTTTGTAGAGACAAGGTCTCCCTGTGTTGCCCAGGTCTGGTCTCAAACTCCTGGGCTCAAGTGATCCACCGACCTCAGCCTCCCAAAGTGCTGGGATCACAGGCATGAGCCACCGTACCTGGCCCTGTATCTTCTATTTCTTTGCTGAGACTTTCTACTTTGTCATTTGTTTTGAGCATATTTGCAATTGCTGGTTGAAGCATTTTTCCAGTAGCTGTTTTAGTCTTTGCCCTGACATCTGTGTCATCTCAGTGCTGGTGTCTGTTGGTCTTCTCTTCTTATTCATGTTGGGGTTTCCTTGGTTCTTAGCATGACAGGTGGTTTTGTACCACAAGCTGGACATTTTGGGTGTGTGGTGTGAGACTCTGAGTCTTATTTAAACCTTCCCTTTCAGTGGCCTTCTCTGGACACAACTCAGGCAGGGGAAGAGGGTAGTGCTGCCTTATTCTGCTTGGGTGGGGTGGACGTCCAGGTTCCCCACTTGGCCTCTGCTGACACTGAGGTGGGGGAGGTGCTCTCATTACTGCTCTTCAAGGAGGAAGTTTTCCCCTGGTTGGGAGGTGCAGGAATCCCTCATTACTGTGTCCCATGCGGGCTCCATTGTCACTGTTGTGGGGGGGGCGGATAGCCTTGTAACCTCTGAGTGGCGATGAAGTCCTGACTCTTCAGTATGATGCTGCCCGTCCAGTGGGAGGGGAAGGGATGTCTTGTCACCACTGACTAGGGGAAGCACAGGCTTACCATGTGGTCTCCACTGATGCTCCAGCTGGGGGACCTCATTCCCACCCTGCTCCTGGCTCCCTCCTTGGCCTTCTCTGACACCCCCAGTGGTAGGGGCTCATTTCAGCCTGGTCAGTGTTTTGGTCCAGGATCCCTGCTGAGCCCTTGCTGGCACGAGTAGCTGAGGGGGCCACAGGGTTTTCTGTGGTGTTTGGCTGGAGTACCACAGTTATTGCCTAAATGTTTTCTGTCTCGCCAGGTGCCCCTGGCTTGGTCCTTCAGCCAGGGAGAGCAGGCTTCTGCAGAGGCTCTTGCTGGCTTCTTCAGCTCCACGTCTGAGATGTGCAAGGCACAAAGGAAACCCAGGGAATTCACCCCTCCACTGATCCCCAGGTCCTGAGGTCCCTGGTCAGTCTGCCTTCTCCTCTCTTCCTTTCAGCCTCTTCTGTTTGTTTCATAACTGACGTCCAGGGTTTTTCATTGCACTTGGCAGGAGGAATAGGGAAAGGCACTTCTGCTCCATCTTGCTGGAAGTGGAAGTCTCTAAAATGCTCTTCACGGTTTTGATTTTCTCCTCTTGCAGCCAGGGTGGGGCTTTGGGTGAAGAAGCATCATGTGTCTCTGACAGATGCTCCCCTCAAAGTGTTCGCTCTGCAGAAGACCCCGGAGAGCCCTAGAGGGGCTCCTCCGGCAGGAGCCAAACCCCAGGCCCCTCTGTAGTTGGGCCGGCCAGGCTCCAGCCCCTCGTCCCCGGCTAGTGCCCCCGCTCACCTGTGAGCCTGACGTCGGGAGCACGGCATGTTCTCTAGAGGCAGAATCACCACGGAGACCCACTCTGAGTCATGGCTAATTCTGCTGTACTGACAGGGAGGAGAACAAGAGGCCACGGCGCTCCCTGAGCAGGCCAACGAGGAGGGTATTTTTAGATTTCCTTCTCCCACAGCTTTAGCTAAGACTCAGCAATCTGGTCTTTTCCCTGCAGGCCAAATTGCAAACGCAGATGGGTCTGTTTCAAAGCTAACAAGTACATGCTATAAAATTGTACATAAAACA
This sequence comes from Homo sapiens, assembly GCF_000001405.40. Taxonomy (NCBI): domain Eukaryota; kingdom Metazoa; phylum Chordata; class Mammalia; order Primates; family Hominidae; genus Homo; species Homo sapiens. The sequence continues at coordinate 124,560,375 of NC_000010.11, read as the reverse complement.
CAATCTCAATTATGTTTAAGAAGTCCAAAAAAAATGGGAGTGGAGGAGACGGGAAGGAAATATGCCACATGTTAACTGATGTTGCCGGTGGATTATGAAAGGACTTTTTTTAGCTGCTTCTTTTTGATTGTTTATAATTTCCAAATTTTCCATGTGAATATATTACATTTATAAAATTAAAAACAAAATTTAAAACCAAGAAAGAGTCCTCTCTCCATATACAACAACGTAGTGACCATATGAAGCCATCACAGGCTGAGTGTCTCACCTGGACCTGAGGTTATTCCTCTAGACCATGAGCTGTGCCAAGGCAGGACTCCAGTGCCCTGGTACAGGCTACAAACCAGATCGCAGGGCCTGGAAAGTGGAAATGATGCCTCCTCCCAGCTCCTGAAAGCTGCTGTCTTGCCCAGCCCCAGGGTTTTCTGCTTTGGGTGGCACCTCAGGTGGCAACACCATTGCAGGGAGCACTTGGCAGCGCTGGCTGAAAATGTGCCTGATTCCACGGAACTTACTGCCCATGGGCTACTGAGCCAATGGCACACACCCCAGACAGGTGCCAAAGGCCTGCAAGGGAAGGCCTGTGCCACCAAAGGACCAAAGATGCAGGAAAACCCAGCACTTCCAAGAACTGATCTCCCCAGCCATGGCTTACTCCAGACTGGCCGAGGAAGTCCTCCAGGACTGAGAAAAGAGTCCACTCATTATCCTACGTGACATACGCAGCAAGACGGCTTCCAGCCTCGGGCAGCCGGATTTCCAAGTGTTGCAGCATCCCCAACAGGTACACTCTGGGCCTCACCAGCCTCACCTCTGTGGCCAGGGTGGTGACCTCCATTTCCACACAACTTGTGATGTGACTTCGCTGGAAGGGTGTGGACCTGGGGAAGCCAGCCAGGCCCCTGGTGGGGAACCTGGGACCCAAATCTATACCAGTGCAGGTCCGTAGGTGTAGCTGAGATCCAGCTGGTATACACCACAGGGGCAGGTGCTCTGGGAGCCCACCCATGTTCCACCAGCAGATGGTCAACGCCAAGAGAGCCAAAGGGCTCAAAAGAAAGGGCACTTCCAATATCCAGGCCAACTCAGCAAACATTCCTAACTTCAAACTCATCTTCAGATAGCACTGTTTTGCCAGAAGCCACCCCCATAGAGTGTCCTCTGCTGGTCCTCTCCCTCCTCGAGTCTCCTGTGTCCTTAACTAGCCTGGGGGTAGAAACCTTGCCCGCTGCACCTGCTACCTGGACATCATTGCCAACTTCTTTGCACATAGGTGGGGGCCGCGGCCTGGCCCTTGTGCATGGTAACCTCTGCAGAAACCACCGAGGGCCAGATGGGAGAATAGGGCCAGGCCTGGCCACTGGGGCTGTCCCGGGTGCAGGAAGCCAGCTGTGTCTTATAACTCCTTTTACTTCCAGTGTTAAGGCCCCACGATTCCAACAGAAAAGGTCGAGAGAAAAATGAATGCCTTGACATTTTTTCCAAATATCCTCCCAAAGAGTGCTTGGCAAGAGGGCCTGGTTTCGCTACGCATGGGAATGCATATGGCCGCAGGGGCCTGCTCGGATGGCTCCTAGTTTTGTTTGCTGAGACATCTGTGTCCTACTAAGCTTGACACTGGGACTGTAAAGAAAAACAAAACATGGAAATGGGGACTCCAAGCTCTACCAAAATAAAAGTGAGTCCTGAGCCCGTGCGTTCCACATTGGGGGTGCCATGGGGGGTTGGGTAGCATGGTGAGTGCCCCTGCCCACTGGCCCCCAACCCCCACAGGGCTGACCAGGATGCCCACTCAGGGCTTCTGCCTAGGTCTGCCCCTGGAAGCCTTCTGGCTTCTGAACCAGCGACACAAGGGCACACACTCTTGGGAGAGGCTGAGACGCTCCAACGCCAAGCGGGGACAGAGCAGCTCAGAGGGCCACGTCCAGACTCAGAGCCCCTTGCCGGTGGGACCTTGGGCAAGTGAGTGATGCTTCCTCCTCCTGTCGCCCTCATCTGGAAAGTGGGATTCTCGTAAGGGCTGTGCATAGCAACACGCGGCTCGTGGGGCCCACTGGGAGTGCCAACTAGGTGGTGGCTGGCTGGGGACAGGGAGGCTGAACAACTGCTAGAGGACGTCCACTCAGGGAGGCCACAGGCAGCCTTTCCAGCTGCTCCCAAGCCAGGGCTCAGCTTCCAGACTCATCACTATGACTCCCTCCCACCAGAAAGGCCACTAGGAAGTGGCCTTTCCCCTAGATCTGCTGGCCCAGCTGCAGCACAAGAAAACGGAGCCACGTGGCTGCTTCTCCCTCACAGCCTGGTACACCCTCCAAAGCACCAGGCAGATGGACAGGAAAGCCAGAGATGAAGCAGATACAAGAGGACAGGCTCCATGTGACCATGCGCAGTGTCACGGTGTCAGGACGCGCTGACATGAAGGAGCCGAGGCCGCCCCAGGCTGCAGGCAACGCACCCCACCCCTGCCATGCCCTAAGCTCACTAGATGTCCACGGGCTCATGTGTTCAGGCAACACGCTCCACCACTCAGCCCAAGACCCCCAGGTGGGATCCCTACCCTGGATCCCCCACGGTCCACGCCTGTGCAGCCATCCCTCCCCCAGTGTGCTCTGTACCCTGCTTGGCCAGCCTTGCCTGGCATCATGTGACTCCACCAATGGCCCTGCAGGGAGTGAGCCCACCAGCAGGGTAACCACAAAGTCATGGGAGGCTTCATCCCCAGCCTCACCCCAAGACCTGCACCCTCACCCTCCTCTAGGATGGAGATTTTCCAAGTGGACTGTGATTTACTCTGAGACAAAAATCATTTTGTTATGTATCCTTGTCCTTGAATTCCTGAGGATATGGGGATTTGGGTAAAAAGTAATCAAATAAAGCTATACGGTGACTCCCACTCCAAACACAAACAAAGGGGGCTAGTGCGCCCGAGTTCCCTTTGGAACTCGTCCAGCGGCTCTGGTTTGTAGCTCACCCAGGTTACCTGGGCACCATCCCTTGTGCAACAGGCATTTGGTGAGCACTACTGAGTGCCAGGCCCTGGCGAGGCCCAGCTCTGCCCGTTCGCGTGGGCCTTCTCTATCAGCTCAAAACCAGGTCTGCCTACTGAGCACTCAGAACTATCCACACCACAGCCGTCCAAACTTCCTTTAAACTGCACACCAACACCTCATGGTACAGCCCAGAAAGTGAAGTCTCTGATGGCTGAGGGACATCCCAAAGTCATGCTGCTAGGAAGTGGCCGAGTGGGGATTTGAACCCTGGTCCGCGTGGACTCCAGGCGGCCTCAACACTTCGAGGAGTTGGGACTAAAATGTGATTTCCTCAGCCAGGATCCTCATGAGCACCGACCGCCTGTCTCGTGCGCCTGAAATTAATTTGCTAGCATCTTCAGGCTGGTCTCTGATTGGTTAGAGAACAAAAAAGAAGCATCTTCTCCAGAGAATAAATGAACCACAGACTCTGCGCTCCATCTTTGATGAAATGCAGATTTCCCATTAAAGAAGAGCCTTCGTTTAAAAAACATACAAAAAAGACTGAGAAAGGATATGAATATGCAATTTATAGAAGAAACAAATATCAGCGACTGAGGAAGACAGAAAAAGCCTTTAGTCTCATTATCAATCAAAGAAGATCCCATTCTTTTCCCATTGATGGAGGCGCGTTTTAAAAATGACACTGCTAGTCCTCGGTGTTATTTGTTGGTGAGGGTGTCGAGAGTTGCAGAATTATCCACAGTGCAGATGGGAGAGCAACTTGATGTCTGGAGGGAGAATTCTGCAGAAGTACCAAACACCTTAGAATTTTGCATACCCTTTGACCCAGCAATTCCATGTGTGAGAAGTTATCTTAAAGCAAAAATCCAAAATAAGTGCAAAGCTATGCTACAAGGATGAGCAATGCAGTTGGGTTTACAATAATGAAGAATTGGAAACACATGGAGCATCTAACCATAATACTAAGGGACTGTTTAGGATGCGTCCACACGCGGGAGCAGGGTGCAGCCATTAAAACGATGGCCCCGGAGAATGCACGGTGGTTTGGAAGGGTGTTCTGGAACTGGGCACTGGGAAGAGATGTCCCAAAACAGCCTGTGCTCCTGACCTCACCTGTGGACTAGAACACAGAGGACACATTTGTGCACACAGTTTGGAAGGTGGACACCCAGCGGCATCAGAGGTCACCGTCACCTCTGGATGGTGGGCTGGTCGGTGGTTTACCCTCTGCCTTTCACTTCTTCAGTTTACTGAAGTTTTCAAGAGGGAACACAGACACAAGTTTAGGGGCCTGAATTTGAATACCACCTCTGCCATCTCATAACTGTGGCCTTTGCAAGGCTGTAGAGACAAAATGAGCCAGTGCATGTAAGCACCAAATAAATAGTGGGCACTGGGGTCAACCAGCTAGGGCCCAGCCTGGTTGCACTACGTCCCAGCTGTGTGACCTCGGGCCAGTGACTTCATTCATCTGTAAGGGGGAATATGGCCTGAGGACTTGGGTGCAGGTTCAGCAAGGTAACATGTACAAACAGCTCGGGGCAGAACTGAGCCCAGAACAAGAGCTCAATAATGTCAGTGGTTTTATTATCAATAAGAAAAAATGCAAACTATTATATTGAATTTTTTTTTGAAAAATAAAGAGCCTAACAGTCAAGATAGACAAAGTACCTTAAAGCAACTAGAAAATCAGATAAAATATATGAAACAATGACATTCAGGCCCCGCACACCAGGCAGCGCAGGACTGTGGGCCTAGAAAGGAGGGACTCCAATAAGGCCAGCCCTACAGGTGCCCTCTGCAGAGCAAGGTCCCCCATGCTGACCTCACAGCTGGGGGACCCTTCCCAGGCTGTGGGAGGGTCCAGGGAGATCAGACGGGGACACAGGTTGGGTGGGTAGCACAGGGTGTACTGCAAAGCGCTGACACACCAGGACCCAGCCGGGCTTTGGACAAGTGGGGAGGGCCAGGCCCTGTAAGGCAGGGACCCTCCCTTCCTCCCTTCCTCCAGGGAGGAGCTGTGCCTTGTAGAGCCCCCATCTCACTCTAGGGTCTCCCAGACTACAGTGCTCACTCGCCCTGGCAAGGGTGCCTCCTGCAGGCCTGTGGCTGTGGTCCAGCCAGGAGTTCGCCCACCCTGCCTGTTCTCCACTACTGGGCTGAGGGAAACATTGACACACTCACCCCTCACCCATCCCCACTGGCCCACCCAGGAAGAGAGCAAAGGGGTCAGGGCCTCCACTCGGGAGGCAGAGAGCACAGTGGTGTTGAGAATGGCTGGCTTCAAATCCTGGCCCAGCTGCCCTCTCGCTGGACGTACTCAAACCAGTGATTCAGCCTCTCTGAGCCTCAGTTTCCTCACCCTAAAGTGAGACTAAAATGCCAGCCGCATAAAGCTGCTGTTGGCAATCAGTGAATTATGTCTGTGCAGTGTTTAGCCCAGAGGCTAAGAGCACACAGCAGGTGCTCAATAAATGACAGCCGCAATTATGAACAATCTCCTGTCCACATTTGCCTCATTCCTTCGTTAAAGAACCTAATTCTGTCTAGAAATATCTGCCAGAGTTGCAAAGTCTTTGGAAAGGCCCTAAGGCCCAGAGATGGAAAAAGTGTACAGAAATGATGATGGGGCAAAAGTGAGCCCTGGGACCCGCCAAGCTAACAGCCCACCCAGGAGTAAGCGAGGTGCAGACAGCCCACCTGGCCCCGCCCACCTGGCCCCTCCCACCTGGGCCCACCCCTTCAGCTCGTCTAGGGCTGTCAATGATAGAGATGACAAGGACAGCAGCAGCAGCATTAATGAAGCAGTGGCTCTGCACCGGGCACTAGGCTAAGCACTGCATGCACATTATTAAACTGCCATATCCCATTATAGAAACTGAGTCCAGGCCGGGTGTAGTGGCTCATGCCTGTAATCCCAGTATTTTGGAAGGCCAAGGCAGGAGGATCACTTGAGCCCAGTTCAAGACCAGCCTGGGCCACACAGGGAGACCCTGTCTCTGCAAGAATTTTAAAAACTAGCCGGTGTGGTGGTGCATGCCAGTAGTCCCACCTCAGGCATGCATCCTACCCAGGAGGCGGAGGTGGGAGGATCACTTGAGTCCAGAAGGTCAAGGCTGCAGTGAGCCATGATTGCACCACTGCACTCCAGCCTAGGTGACAGAGCAAGACCCTGTCAATAAATAAATAAAATGAATAAATGAATAAATACATAATAAACTGAGTCTTAGGTTGAAAAACCTCTACCTGGCCCAGGTCGTCCCAGCTGTAAATGTCAGAGCAGGAGCTGAATCCAGGCAGCCCAGGCTGACCACCGCCCCGCAACTACAGGCTCGAGGCCTTCTTCTATCTGCAGTGGAGTCTCTCGAAGAAGACTCACATGGAGCTGTCCACAGGAGCGCCCAGTTCCCAGAGCATGGTGCCGCAAGGACAACAGGGGGGCTCTGTCCCTCCTGGAGCAGGAAAAGAACAGATGCCAACAGCTTAGCCTGTGGTAAGACAGATGTGGTGGGCCCCTTACCTCCTTCTGCAGACAGAGGAGGGGCCTGGCCCGGGGGAGGTCTCTGTGCAGCTCCCAAGGTGACAATATCACCGGGAGTCATACAACATTCAAGAATGGCTGTAGGCCGGGCGTGGTGGCTCACGCCTGTAATCCCGGCACTTTGGGAGGCCGAGGCGGGCGGATCACAAGGTCAGGAGATCGAGACCATCCTGGCTAACACGGTGAAACCCTGTCTCTACTAAAAAATACAAAAAATTAGCCAGGCGTGGTGGCGGGCACCTGTAGTCCCAGCTACTCGGGAGGCTGAGGCAGGAGAATGGCGTGAACCCGGGAGGCGGAGCTTGCAGTGAGCTGAGATTGTGCCACGGCACTCCAGCCTGGGCGACAGAGCGAGACTCCGTCTCAAAAAAAAAAAAAAAAAAAAAAAAAAAGAATGGCTGTAATCCTGGCCCTATGGTGCCGCTGTTGGGATTTTCCTGGGGTTTCAGGGCAGTCCGAGCTCAGGTGCATCCTGGCTGCAGGTGCAGGGGGTGGGCAGGAGGAAAGCCCCATATGCTCCCCACATGAGAACCCCACTTGGGTTCTGTCCCAGCTCAGCATATGGATTTCTTGTTCTCTTTCTCCAAGTTCCCCTTTGTCAGGCTGAGTCTATTGAGCCAGAAAATCAGCCGTGTTCTGGGGATGGCCAAGTCACAGGGACCTGGCTTCCCATGGTGCTGCCACTCATCAGCTGGGTCCCTGATCAGAGTCCCTGGGTGCTAAAAGCAGGCACTGACTGCCCTCCCAACATCGAGGTCCCCAGAAGGCCCCCTTGTGCAGAATAAAGACACGCTAGGAGGCCGCGGAGCGCTGAGCGGCGCTCATTATCAGCTCGGAAGGCCAGCTTAAAGGATATTCCAGTAATTGCAAGGTTTTTGGTAAATGTTAATTACGGTTGCCTTAATTAGCTCCAAACCCATTGATCTATGGATTATATTAGGTTTATAAGTGTAATTACCTTAACAGCATATGGATTACAATTACGCTCCAATTAAACCCCAAACGTATAGCATATAAATTAGTAAAGGGATCGTCCTGATTGTCCAGGATAGGCTATTGAAATGTTGCCACTTTCAGGGCCTCATGCTGGGGCTGGTCCTTTGCAGGCGGGGACCTTGGGGAATTTGGAGGTAGGGGGTTCAAATGGTCTCTGGCAGCCACGCGTCCAGTCCATCTAGACCCGATTTAGAAATGACTACAGGGGCGGGGGCTGGCAGGCCCCAGCCTGGGGGGCAGTGGCTGGAGGATTAAGAGCTGTGCCTGCTCAGCTCGTCTTCTCTCAAAGAAATCAGGACACCCAACAGCCCATTAATGATGCCCCTCACTGCTCTCCCTCCAGGTAGAGATGGCTTTCTTGCCTTGTCTGGGGGAGGGGCAGGTGCTTCTTTAGACAGCTCCATGTGGATCTGCTGTGGGGGATTCCAGTATAGACAGGAGGCCTAGAGCCTGTATGTGAGAGAGGGGTGGGTGGTGGCAGGGTGGTGATCAGCCTGGGTTGCCTGGATTCAGGGCCTGCTCTGCCACTTACAGCTGGGATGACCTTGGTCAAGTAGTTTTTCAACCTAAGACTCCGTTTCCGTAATGGGGATCCGGTAATTTAAGAATGTACATAAAGTGCTTAGCAGAGTGCCTGGTGCACCATGGCTGCTGCTGCCATTAACATCATGAACTCACTTCCAGGGTGGGGAAAGGCTGGAGGGCAAGAGCGCAGGAGGGCAGGGGCAGCCTGGAGTGCCAGGCCCTGCCATTCTCCCAGCCCCTCTTCTGACAAGCAGGAATGGGGCACTGGGAAGTCCCACGAAGCCTGGAAGACAGACAGGTGACAGGTGGAGAAGGGGAGGGGATGGACGTGCCTGTGCTCAGTGGGGAGGCTGTGATGGGCCTGAGGGTCTCAGGGCCCTGGGCCTCAGCACGGTCCCTGGTGGAAAAGCACTGTAGGAAGCTGCCACCCGGGGGCCTGCGGACATCCTGCGTGCGCCTCCGTGGTGAGGTCAGGCTGGAGCGAGGTCAGAGGTGGCAGCCCTGCTCCCCAGGGAGCCTTGCCTGGTGCTCCCCAAGGCCGGCAGGTGGAGGGGAGGGTGCCCTGCATGAACTGCCCTCCCAGCTGTGGGTCTTCTTCCCGGGGGGCCGGCCAAGCCCGCGGGTCTCAGGGGCTGCAGCTCTTCTGCTCACCCTGGCTGAGGCCTCTCCCCATCCCAGGGACCCTGGCCCCTCCGCATGGTGGGGTCCTAAAGCTCTGGGTCTCCCACTCTGGGACCCCTGCTGAGGATGGCCTCCCACCACCTGACCCTTACCTCCCCACGCACCAGCCTCCACCCCGAGGGTCCTGTGATCTGGTGAGGGAAGTGTGGGAGGGGCTGGCAGGCTCTGCCCCCCCGCCCCCACCCTGCAGAGCAGGCAGCGTGAGCAAGGAGTCCACCAGAGCCTGGGGAAGGGGTGCTGGGGTCAGTGTGAGGGCCGGGGGTGCCAAACTTGCTGATGGTGTCACCACCAAGGATGCAGAGGGAGGGGTGGAGGTGAGTCCAGAGCCCTGGGGGTGCCCAGACAGGCTTGGACCTGGGGCGTGCCCCAGCGGGATGGGATCGGGCCTCTCTGGGGCCCCAGGCGAGTTGCTCATCAGCCCAGCTGCCCTCCTTCTGCGCAGTCTCTGAGGCAGGGAGGAGGCGAGGCTGGGGGGAGCCATCTCCCCAGGAACCCCAACTTCATGGAGACACTGGTGCTAATGCTGGTGGAGGTGCCAGTGATGGCGACAGGCCTGGGGGAGGTGGTGGCTCCCATGGCCCCATTTTACAGATGGGTTGTGTAGAAACAGGCACGCAGAGACCGAACAGCTGGCCCAGGACGGCAAGGTTAGGAAGGGCTGGGCCGGGCCTCTGCACCTAGGCTGGCACAAGCGGAGCTCTAGTCCACCACCTGGACCAGCCTCCTCTGTGGGACCCAGGGCTGGTCCCTGCTGCAGAGCTTGGACGTTACCTTGGGGACACACAGGGATGGCAGGGCCGTGGGCAGGAGGGCTCAGCTGTCCCAGACCTCTGTGGGCCTGCTAGGTCCCTCCTGGCTGCCCTGGCTTCCCTGCCCCCAGCTGGCATTCCAGAGCCTCCTTTCCGGAATCGCCGCCTGGAGAGGGGAAGTGAGTCTATCTTCCCCACGATCAGCCAAGGTAGGGAAAAGGCACGGGGGACACGCCTGTGTGCACACATTTGTACACTGGTGTTCACATGAGGGACAGGAAGGGAACGGCCCTGTGCACATAAACACACTGCGCCTCTGCCCCTCTGGGGCCGCCTCCCACGCCACTGCAGCCACACCACCCGGTGCACGAACCCTCCACACCCTCCCCCACCCACACGTTTTCAGAAGTCCTAGGAAGAAACAAAAGCAGGCGCACTCACTTTGAATGCAGTGCCACAAGGCGCAGGGGCAGCGTGGGCGCAAAGGAGGACAGGCCCTCTCTCCTGACAGCCACAAGAAAGGCTGTGCCTTGTGTCGGGGGAGAAGGGGGGACAGTCACCCTCCAGCTAGTGGAAGGGCTCAACAACCAAGACGGGGGTCACCCCAGCCCCCTGCCCCGCAGCTGCCTGGGGGCAGAGGCCATAAGACACAGGTCAGGAGAGAGGGTATGAGGATGACTGTGCCGGCAGCTTACCAGGCTCCCTCGGCAAGGAGTGAGCTCCCCATCACAGGAGGTGTTCACGCCCAGTTCACAGCACGCAAAGGAGAGAAGTCCATTTGCAACGAGGAGCCTGGCTCGGAGGCCCTTAGTTCTCTAACCCCTGGGCCTCTGAGATCCAGCACTGGCTGGAAGCCTGGCCCATCCACCCTGCATGCCAAGGTCAGGACACCTGTGCCACCCAGTCCCTGCGAGGCCAGCGTCATCCTCACGGCCACCGATTACCATGCCAGGTGCTTCACAGACACGACTTCATTTTATTTAACATTCAACTAAGTAGGCATTGCCACCCCCATTTACAGATGAGAAAAGCAAGGCTCAGAAAGGTGGTCATTTGTCCCAAAGTGCCCCACTAGGCACTCAGCCAGGATTCAACCCAGGCCTCTGATTCTGGAGGCCATGCCTTTCCCGGCCATGCCCACCCCGGCCATGCCCACAGGGCCAGAGGCAGGCCCAGCCTGGCAGCCCCTTCCCCAGATGTAAGGTCCCGTCCTGCAAATCACCACCAATGGACCACCATGGCAACCCCAGATGTTGTGCTCAGATTAAGGGGAAAAAAGTAAAAAATGATTTCTTCTATGAACTGTTAAGGTTTTGCTAACAAGACTAAAGTGAAGAAAGAAAAAAGAAAGCTTTTTCAGAACCAGGGCTCAGAAATTAGGAGTTCCTTCCTTTCTCTTAAATATCCCAGTTTAGCTGATAAAATTCATTGGCCAAATCTTTTTTTTTTTTTTGAGACAGGGTCTTGCTGTGTTGTCCAGGCTGGAGTGCATGGCTACTCACAGGTGTAATCATGGTGCAACCTCGAACTCCTGAGCTCAAGTGATCCTCCTGCCTCAGCCTCCCGAGTAGCTGGGGCTACAGGTGTACACCGTCATGCCCTGCTAATTTATTTTTTTATAGAGACAGAGTCTCACTATGTTGCCCAGGCTGGTCTCAAATCCTGTGCTCAAGCAATCCTCCTGCCTTGGCCTCCCAAAGTGTTGGGAATACAGATGTGAGCCACTGTGCCTGGCTATACATTCATCAAACCTTTATGTCCACAATGCGTTGCGGAAAATTGTTTTGTGGGAAAAATCTAATTAGATTTTCACTTTAGACTTACAAGTTCCCATTCAGGTCTAACCACAAGAATCACTCTTGCCACTTAGAAGTTAATAGATGTCAAGTGTTTTGCCATGCATGTATTTATTCTACAGTGGAATGTCCCGCTGGCTGTCCCCCTTCTCCACTGTCTTGCCAGGTTAGGGAGACTTCAAGGCTACCAAGGCTGCGATCCCACCTTGGTCTGTGAGAAGGCCACAGCAGAAAGAGCTAGCCTCGGTGTCCGGGGACCCGGGCTCCTGCTGAGGCTCTGCCAGACAAGCTGTATGGCCTTGGGGAAGCCTCAGGGTTCACTGAGATCAGCCAACCTGTCCCTCGGAGCTCCATTCTCGAAGATCCACCTGCCCGCCCAGCAAGGGTCTCTACCTGGGCATCTAACAGGACTCTTGATCCCGAGGTGGTCAAAGCAGGCCCTGCTCAGTGAGCAGCATCACCTCCCATGCCCTCCTCCCACCCAGCCGTGCAGGCCAAAGCCAGGAACCCCAGAAAACATGCCTCAGCTGCAGGTGCACAGTGGGGGCCCCGAGGTAGGAGGGGGAGCAGCCTGCCGTTCTGAGACCCACCCACCTCGACAGAAGGCCTCTCTGGGGTCCAGGCTGATTGATTATGCACCGCAGACAAAAATCAGTAGAGCAAAATTGGGAACTTGGAAGGAGGTAAACAGAGCCCTCCCTCTACTGGCTATGGTGGAGCTCCCTGGAGCTCTGGGCAGGGGGTTCCGGGTAGAAAGAGAGAAGAGAGGAGTTAACACCAACCACCCAGCTCATGCGGGAGCCTGAAGGTGAAGAACCAGAGGATGGCGTTCACAGGAGGCAGAGGCAGCATGGGGCCCCCACTCATTTTACCATCACGGAAATGGCTCTGGAGTGGCCGGGCCCCAAGGGAAGCAGTCTCCCCAGCTCCAAGGCTGGCTGGATTTTTCTGAACTTTAGTGCTTACGTAGGTTTTCTGGGTGATCTTGTGGCTTGAAAAGGCTCCCCTTTACCTCCCAGGAACTCCCCTAGAGACAAAGGGAGCTTGCTGACCGGAGAACTCGGAACACACCCATCCACAGCAAACACACCCCGGCCCAGGCTCACCAGGCACAGGGGCATCAGGCGGTGGGCGGGAGCCCAGAGGCTGCCCTGCCTGGACAGGGCCATGTGGATTATTCTAAAGGGACAGTGTGGCCACCCACCTCCACTCACTGTTACAAGCCAGCATCTGAGATTATGCAATATATGTGGACAGCTGATAACCGACACTGACCACTCAGCAGTTTAGAAGCAAGGAAGTGCTGTATCACTGGAACGACATCCTGCCAGGGCCCAGGACGCCCGATGGCCCCGCTGGTCAGGGCTGGGTCCAGCCTGAGCAGCCCTCCCTCAGACTGCTTCTCCTGGCGGTGCAGGGCCAGCCCCGACCTCCACCAGGCAGCCAGAATTCCTCCGCTTTCAGGCAAGCTACAGCATCCAGGCCAGGGGCCTCGGGCTTCCAGGGAGGGGCCTTTCACTCCCCCAGCATGGCCCCAGGGAGGCCCCAGGTGGAAAAGACACCCAAGAGACGGGAGACAGAAGCTCACCCTATTTGCATGCTCACACCTCTGTGGGTGGACACTGGGGGCAGGGGGTGGGAGAACGAGCTGCAGACTCTTCTAGAACTTTCCTTTCCTCTGCAAAGCCTGACACTAATAGACTCACTCACAGAATCTAAAGTTGAAATATTTATGAGAAATTAGAAAGTTTAAAAACATGAAAATAAGTTTAAGAAAGCAATTTTTTTTGTTTGTAATGAAAAGGGGAAAAAAGGGAAACAGTCTAAACATCTGTTAACAGGGGACTGCAGGAATGAACTGGAACTCCACACCGAGGACAGGTGTGCCGCCACGACAGCTCACAGCCATCAGGAAGCACAAGGTCCTGCTTCTGCCGGTGACTTAGAAAGTGGTATCTGGGACGCACCATGAAGTGAAATGAGCAAGGTGCAAAGAGGAACAGGACAATTCCATTTCTAAAAACCAAACAGGACAACCTCCTGTGTGTGTGCGCGCGTGTGCGTGTGTGTGTGCAGAAAAAGAAGCCTGAAGGGTTAACAGAGCTAAATCTGGGTGGGAGGCGGGTTAAGAGCGGGAGAGGTGCAGAAAACATGAAAACCATAGTGAAAGAGCAGCGTGTGTGTGATGTGATATTCCCTGAAAATGTAGAATACCGAATTCTACCTGTACTATTTTTGTATCTAAAAACTGATATAAAACAAAGTAAGTACGCCTGTGGACAAACAGCAACCGAAGCATGCATGGTGAGGTGGGGAGCACGGATGATGAGGCTGGCAGGTGGGTCATAGAAAGACCTGCCTTACCCACCAAGATACAACCGCATGAGGCGGGCGCGGTGGCTCACGCCTGTAATTCCAGCACTTTGGGAGGCTGAGGCGGGCGGATCATGAGGTCAGGAGATCAAGACCATCCTGGCTAACATGGTGAAACCCCATCTCTACTAAAAATACAAAAATACAAAAAATTAGCCGGGCGTGGTGGCAGGCACCTGTAGTCCCAGCTACTCGGGAGGGTGAGGCAGGAGAATGGTGTGAACCCAGGAGGCAGAGCTTGCAGTGAGCCGAGATCGCGCCACTGCACTCCAGCCTGGGCGACAGAGTGAGACTCCGTCTCAAAAAAACAAACAAACAAACAAAAAAACATACAACCACATGAGATCATTCAGTGTCTTCTTTAGTTAATAATGGGAGCTCATAAGGAAGGGAACAACCCAGGGCCCGCCAGAGGCCTAGCACAGGCCCTTGAGAATACGTGGTGGCTGCCACCCAGCAAAGAGCACAATGTGTACAGACCTGGCACGGCCCCGGCCACAGCAGGTGCCAACAACCCTCCTACCCTGCTCACCAGCAGCCAGGGATGGTCTTGGAGAGGCGGGCGATTCTTGGGTCTGGGGCGCACCCCTTCCACCCCACCTGCAGGCGACTCTGCCTCAAAGAGCTTGTGCCCCTGCTGTGTGAAGGGGTCTTGTGCGCTTTGGCAAGGGCCTTCCCACCAGCTTGGCAGAGGGAGGGAGGGAGGGAGGACAGCATCCCAGCGAGCCCTGGGTTCTCACATCACACACCGGAAACACACACGCCTGGTCAATACCACCCCTCCCACCTCTGCTCTGAGCTCCACCAGCGCCGTGACTGTCGCCAGCCACCATTGGACTTAATGACAGCAAAAGCGCTGCATTTTCCCCCCAACTGAACTTCCCTCCCTCTTGCAGCAGAATGACAGCGTCGGCCTTTACAGACCCAAATTATGCCTGTGGTTTGTTTGTATTGATTTTGGGAAAGATTAAAAAAATCAAAAACCACAGGAGACACATTTTAAAAACTCATCTTTATCCTGCAAGCGTGCACACACACTCACATTCGCACTAACACTTCCACCCCACCCCGCCCCCTGACACACCCGCTGGGCCTTTCATGCCCACGTGGAGCTCGGCCCTTCTTCCTGCTACCTGGGAGCAGCTGCCAGCCGCTGACAGCTCAATAAGGCGCCTGCATAGTCCTGCCGCTCAGGAGGCTGCCAGGCTCGCCCACACTGCCCCTGCACAAAGACCCTCCTGCACAAAGCAGCTTCCTGCCTGGGTGCATGGGCTGCCGTGGGCACCGCTGCAGGGGCCGCCAGCACCCCCAGCTGAAAGAAAAATTTGTTTAGATGTGGCAATGACCATTCGGGGAGCTCTGAGCAGGGACCAGGCGGAAGTCTATGTTATGGGCATGATCTCAGTTCATCCTGGGATGGCCTGGGAGGTTCGCACAATACTACACCCCCACTTTCCAGACGAGGAAAGGAATGCTTAGAGAAGCGAGGGACTCAGCCGAGGCCCCGGCATCCAAACCTGGTTTTTGTCCATCTGGAGGGAGCCGCACACAGGAGCCCCCCTTCACTGCAAAGGGGCTTCGGGGCCAGCAGAGGCTGTGGCCCTGTAAGGACAGCTCTGCTCTGGGGGCGGGGGCACCAGGGAGGTGGCAGGCAGAGCTCTCTCCTAGAGAAGTTCCTCCTTCACTCAGCTCAAAGCACCCACATCCTCAGAGTGGGGCAGAGACAGGGAGACACCCACTGGGAGCCACCGTCCTCCCAGACAAGCCGAGAAAGGAAGCCCAACCCAGGCCGCCCATGCACAGCCCTGCGCACATATGCACTCGCGCCACAGTGGCCAGAACACTCGATGTGATCGCCTTCCACGTGATGGTGTCTGCACCAGGAGGGACAGCCACGCCCTGAGCAGGCCTGCTGGGCCCCCACCTCATCGCATCTGCAATCTCATCTAACACTGTGAGGTCCCGTGACGGGGGCAGCCTTCTCCCCACTTCAGAGACGAGAACACCGAGGCCCGGCCACTCAGCCGGCCACAGAGCCGAGGCTTGTGCCCAGAGCTCTGCACACGCTCTCAGCAGCCCACACAACCTCATGGTGATAAAATACAAACACAGGTGCCAGGCCTCCTGCAGGGTGAGACTGTTGGCCCAGAGGTGGATTCGGGTCTGGTGGTGAATAAAGACAGCTTGGGCTGTGTCAGCTTGAGCACGCCTGCTCCCCTGTGATCCACCCAGGATCTCAATGCCCCATACTTGTTGGGAGTGGACACTGGAGCCTGCCTGGACACCTGGCTCCCCAGGTGTCCCAGTCGTTGCCATGGCCCCTGCCAGTCTGCTCCTGACCCCTGGGGACTCTGGGCTGGCAGGCTCACCCACAGCCAAGGAATATTCATTCTGGGGAGCACAGTCCCTCCCACCCCTGGTTCCAGAGAGGGGAGGTCTTCCGCTCCATTCCCCAGAAGACACGAGATGGGGGGACCCAGCATGACTGCATGGGGGCGGACGGAGGCCTCCCCGGTGGGTGATGCCGGGTGAGGCACATACCCGTCTGTCAGATCAGTCCTGGGGAGGCTGCCCCTACCCCCTCCAGCTCTGCTGGGCTCTCAGCATCAGCCATCCGAGGGGCCTCGCAGGGTCACCCCACTGCTGTCACCAGGCTTGGCTGCGAGGCCAGGGTGCGGCAGCTCTGGGAAGGCACAATCACTGTCCCAGGAGAGGAACTGGTGAGATGCCGGCAACTCTGGGTATGAGCTTAACTCTACAACCACAGTTTATAAATCGTTGCTTTTAGTATGCATTTTTTGTTTGTTTGTTTTTTAAAAAACAGGCTGAACAAAATGCTAACTGTGGTTCCTTTTGGAAGGTGGGATTGTGGATTATTTTCTTTGTGATTTTCTGTATTTTCCAAAGAAGGCATGCATTTCTTATATTATCAGAAAAAAAAATATATTAATTTTTAAAAGAAAAAAATTGAAGGTGCCATAAAAAATGTACAAACTAGAAGGATTAATAGAATCCCAAATATATAAAGTGGCTTTTCTGTGCGCTGCTGTGCTGGGCCCAGACAGGCCCCACGGACCCCTCCACACAGCTGAGAAGTGCAAGATACAGCCCAGCCGCCGCCACCATGGGCAGCTGAACTCCTCACGGCTAGTGGCCCTGGCAACCTAGAAGTCCCATCTCCAGAAAGGCCCTGAGCCCAGAGAAGACTCCCTGTTTTGAGGCCCCAAGGCTCAGCCCTTGTGGGGCTCCCAGACCTCCGCCTTCCCAGGGCACCTCTGCCGTTCCCAGTCAGCACATCACCGCAGCCACGGTACAGCCACCTGCGCCTGCACTGTCCTCGCTGGAAAGATGGCTGTGGGATGCGGGCAGACCCCGCACCTGGGCCGACCGGGGGTGTCTAGGGGTCTGGAGGACAGGCAGTGTCTACCCTCAGGTTGGCCACAAACTCCTGTCCCTCTGGGGAGTGCGCCCTGCCAACCCCTGTGGGGGCCATACAGGAAGGAGCAGCCAGGGAGGTGGAGTCTGGGAGGATGAAGGCTTGTACTGCCCGAGCTGGAACGGGGGCATTTTCTCTCCCAGTCAACCCTCGGACAAGGCCCTGTCCAGGTATCCAGCCCCCTGACAGGTACAGCCTGAGGACCCGCTGGGCCCACACCCTGAGATGGGCATGGGTGGCAGTGAGGTGTGGCACAGCAGCCCCCACTCACAGGGCACACGCAGTGCAGGGGCAACGACAGACACTCAACCCAGAGCTGCTGCATCCCCACTGTGGCAAGAGCCATGGGCAGGCAGGGACCGGGGAGAACGACCGTGACGGGGCCTAGATGTGCAGGACCCTCAGCCTCGGTCAGGGAGACGGCTGGACACCACTGATGAAAGGCAGGCAGGCGCGTCCACAAAACCCCATGAACGTGAGGGGAGGCGAGAGGGCAGAGGGGAGAGTAGGGGCAAGGAGGCGATCAAGAAGAGGCAGCAGGGCGGGGTGAGCCCCTGGAAGGAGGCAGAGAGGTGGGCTTCTGGGAAAAATGGGCCTCCAGCCTGGCTGGGCCCCAGGGTGCACAGGGCTGGGATGGGGACCAAGGTCTTCTGGTAACTGCCCCCTCCCCCAGGCTGGTACCAGCCTGCCCCTCTCTCTGGTCCCCACCTGGGGATGCAGGAGAGCTGCAGGCTGAACTGGAGCAGGAGAAGCTCTGATGCAGGAGGCGGCTCCATTCCCCCAGCGCCCTCTCCAGTCCCAGGGAGACCCTGGACCTGAGCACACAGGCTGGAAACAGACTGCCAGGGCCCAAGTCCCACCTGCTGGCTGCATCCCCTCAGGTGGGTCCTAACCTCTCTGTGCCCTCACCTGTAGGTGGAGATGTATTCGTACCTCTCTGGCTGTTGTGCAGGTATCTGTAAACACATAAGTGCTGGATAACTTCAAGGTCAGTAAATAAGTGAAGGCGCTTGGTGGCTGAGTCCCACAGCCTGGGGTCACAGTCCGATCTGTGCAAGCCCCGTGCCCACCAGAGCCACTGAAGGCATCTGTGTTCCATGCTGGCCCGAACGCCAGCCCCAGACCCCAGACTGCCCCAGGTGCTGGTCAGCTCTAACTGCGGTCCCAGGCACAGTGGGAAGGTCATGGGGGCAAATGCAGATGGAGCCTTTGGTGAGGCAGCCACCGAGTCTGCAGGGGCTTCCAACTCCAGGAGCCTCAGCTGGAGAGGTGTCTCAGGAGAGACCCCTCAAAGCCCCCTCCTGCTGTCCGTTTCATGTCTGGACAGGGACAGCATGTGGGCACAGGGCACTCTGCGAATGACCAGATGTCAGCATCTCCCCAGGTAGGAGCTGGGGAGGCAGCACCCTTGCAGTGGGGAAGTAGGGGTGAAGGAAAGGTCACCCCATCTGGGCCGGGGCCTGGCCCGCCCAGCCCACTCCACTCTGGTCTCCAACATTGCAAATTTGTGCAAATACCATTAGAGCCCTCCCCAGTGTCCAGCGTGTTCTAAGAAGCCCTCGTAGCTTGTACTGAGGGATGACGTCATGGGAACTCCCACCCACAGAAGCCCTCCAGGGCCTCAGTGCCCCCTCGAGTGCCCAAGGCATTTGCCTAGACACACACTGTCCCCACGGGTGGTCCCAGGCTCACGCGGGGGTCCTGCAGACAGGCATGAGACTTTCGAGCCTCAGCCTGCCATTCGAGATATGCTAGGGACACCAAACGCCCAGGTGGAATTCCTCAGGGTGGCCATGAGCCGCAACTCCGTTAGGTCTGGGGCTAGCAGAGGCTGGCTCTTCTGCCACCTCAGGAACTGCATCCCATGTGGCCATTTTGAGCCACAGGCAATGTTCTTGCAAGGCAGAGAGCTCCTTCCTGGGCTCTTTCCACAATGAACGCCCGCCACAAAGCAGCCCTCGATAAAGTCAGCCTCCCTCTGATCAAGTTTGGCTCCAGCCCAAATTGTCTATCCTGGTACTGCAGGCTGGTCGTGTCGGCTGTGTCCCCCAAGCACAGTGTGCAGGGGCAGCGGCCCACCTCCAAGCTGCCTCTTGGTGACTCACCATTCTGGGTGGCTCAGAATACATCGCACTCCAGGACTCAGGCACACTGCGTGGGTATGGCAGGCTCTCCTCCGGCCATCCCAGGGCCCAGGGCCACTTTGTGATTTGGGGGGCCCCTTCCTCCATTAAAAAAGCTGTTAAATAATTTAATGGATTTTTGAATTATTATTTCTAAAGTGAGAAAAAACATTAAAACATTTTCTTTGGCCCTAAATGTTCCAGAGATATTTTCCTTCTAATTTTAAAATAAATTAAACATTTTCTTGAGCCCCTAAAGGCATCGTGTGTCCAGAACCTGCTAAAGAAGTGAGCCCAGGTTCCTCTGGATCCAACTCCCGGGAGATCTGGAGCCTAGATCTAGGGCCAGAACTTAGGAGGACTCTGCCCCCTGGTTTTGGTGGCCACCTCAGTGCAGCCTTTGGGGTCCCGGGGCCTCTGTAGGGCCGGCTGGAGAAGATGCTCTTTCTCTCTGCTGCTGCTGGAACCCTGCCTGTGAGTCAAACCATGGAGCACCGTGAACCCCAAGCCACGTTCCAGGCAGCCAAAGTGCAGGGGTGTGCGAGGCCACCCCGAGCAGCCCCGGATCCCCAGCAAAAATGTCACTCAAACTGCAAAGGCAAAACTCAGCTTAAGGGAGCAGGCCAGTGGGGCCAGGAGCACGAGGCTGTGCTGTGCCTCAGGGTGAAGGGCGCTCGGGGAAAGGGAAACTGAGAGCCGTCAGTGGGGTTGGTGGGCGAGCGGCTCCAGGCAGTGGTGAAAAGGCCCCATCCTGCGCAGCCCCCCTGGCCCTAGCCTGGCCACGAAGCAAAGCGGGAGAAACCAGGCTGGGTCCCCGGCCGCAAGTCCCTGCCGCCCCCTGGTGGGAACCCACAGCCGTGTGGACCTGGAGGGCCAGGGCAGGGCTATGTGCCTGGGCTGCAGGACCCTGCTTAGGTGGGAGCCCTCCTTGTCTCGGGAGGCCACAGCACAAGGCACACCTGCCCACCCACCCACAGCATCTCCACCGAAGCGCACAGACACAGAAACAGCACGGCGCTGCATGAACGGCTGGGCCAGGGCACCTGCAGGTAAACCCTCCCCTCCCCACGGTTATCTGGGGACCCAAGTTTCCCTAAATAATCATACTGATGAGAACACCAAGAAAATGAGCAGAAGCGGGTAACTGCTGAACCCTTGCTGTGTGCCAGGAAGTGCGGTGAGTGCTTTTGGCAGGATATCTCATTCTGGTCTCCCCAGCCGTAGGTGGTAGGTACTCTTATTATGTCTATTTTATTTTTTTGAGACAGGGTCTCGCTCTGTCGCCCAGGCTGGAGTGCAGTGGTGCAATCTCAGCTCAATGCAGCCTCAACCTTCTGGGCTCAAACAATCCTCCCACCTCAGCCTCCTGAGTAGCTGGGACTACAGGTGTGTGCCACCATGCCTGACTAATTTTTTTTTTTTTTTTTGAGACAGGGTTTTGCTCTGTCGCCCAGGCTAGAGTGCAGTGGCACGATCTCAGCTCACTGCAACCTCTACTTCCCAGGTTCAAGTGATTCTCCTGCCTCAGCCACCCGAGTAGCTGAGATTACAGGCGTGAGCCACCACGCCTGGCTAATTTTTGTATTTTTAGTAGAGGCGGTCTCGAGCTTCTGGCCTCAAGTGATCCGCTCTCCTTGGCCTCCCAAAGTGCTGGGATTACAAGCATGAGCCACCATGCCCGGCCAAATTTTTGTACTTGTAGTAGAGATGGGGTTTCGCCATGTTGCCCAGGCTGGCTTCAAACTCCTGGGCTCAAGCAATCTGCCAGCCTTGGCCTCCCAAAGTGCTGGGATTACAGGCAGGGCCACCTCACCCGGCCAACTCTGTCCATTTTAAAGATAAGGAAACTGAGGCCCGAAGTGCCCTGAGCAGGACGTGGCCTTGGGTGCTCGAGTGGCTCCGGAGCTGTGCTCATCTTAAAGATATGCCATTGCCTCCCCTTAAGCATTCCAGGTCCACACCCTGGAGAGCTCAGGACGAGGGGAGTCATTTTGGTTTCCTGATGGCAGACGAGCCACAGGAAAAACTTGGGGGTCCTCTGGTATGCCTCAGGACACCCCAGATTTCCTCAAATCACCCGATTCTCTCAATAAGAGGCCCCGAATAACCACTCTCTGCTAGAAGAAGCCCATCTGCCAACGTTGCTGCAAGCTTATTCTCTGATCCCTTGAGGCTCAACTAAAAATAATTCAACTCCTCCAATATTTAGAGAAATGAAGGGCCTTGAAATGTCAGGGAGGCAGCATAAATCCCAGGAAGTGCTTCCCTCCTCTGCCACGCCACGGCTGCAGGAGCTGAGTGGCTGTGAGAGCCTGCACTGGTCAGCAAACGTGGGCTCTGAGGACCATGACTGTCCAAGCAGTTATGACCTCTGGGCAAGTCAGAAACCACCTTGGGTCTCACTTTTCTGTAAAATGGGATGGGAGAGAAGGAGCTAGTTAATTCCCAGGATTCTCCCAGGCATGCGAGTCTCAGAACAACAAATGGACTATCTGGCAACACAATTTCATCCTCCGTCTCTTCCAGGGTCTCAGCAGCACACTCTTCATAGCAGCTGCACGGCCCAGGGCAGTGGTGTGTGGCCCCCAGGTATGGGGCCACAGCGGGCAGGGGGTCCACCCCACCACTTGGGGGGAGGGAGGCCTGTCCACTATCTCCCCTCTGGCAGGCACAAGGTGGAACAGCTCAGAACAAACAGCCTGCTGCTCCTGTGAAGCCACTGGAGTGGGCACTACAGATGCTCCACAGCATCAAAGCCTCCCTTCCTCACAAAAAACATCCCAAAGGGCTGAGAGAAGGCACCCAGGAGACCTCACTGCCAGGAAGTGGAAAGGCAGCAGCAAGGCTGGGAGCTGCTCAGGCCCAGGGAGGCTTACAGACCCCAGGGAGAGTGACCGTGGGTGGGGAGGGTGCTCAGCAAGCTCCTGAAGCCCCACATGGTGAGCCCCGCATGGTGACCCCACATGGTGACCCCGCATGGTGACCCTGCATGGTGAGACTCGCGTGGTGACCCTGCATGGTGAGACTCGTGTGGTGACCCTGCATGGTGAGACTCGCATGGTGACCCCGCATGGCGGGCCCCGCAGGTGGGAGGACCCAGCAGGTGGGTGGGCCTGGGGTGGGAGGCTCAGGGAAGGGGGCCTGGAATGGCAGTGCCTTGGGGCAGTGCTCAGTCAGAGTGGGGTCAAGGACACCACCGAACCCCCAAGAAGGTCTCCTGTCCACCATGGCCCCTTGGCCGTGTCCTTCCCTTTCAGCACACTCGTGGGCCCTGTGGCAGCACATGAAAGGGGCACAGACCCACACACATTCATAACGGGGCGACTCAAGCCAGCAGCTTGTGTCCATGCAGCCTAAATTACTCGCACCCGTGAGAGCTCCGAAGTCTCGGGTAATATCAGCCCGGCCCATGGGCACTGCAGTGGGGCCCACAGGAGCAGGAAATGGGGAAGCCAGCTCCTGGGCCACCTGGCTTTCTGGCCTCAGTTTCCTTGTCTGAGAAGCGGGGGCAGCTGAAAATGGGTGCCCTGTGGGGACTGCCTGGCTGCCATCTCTCACGAGCACGGTCCGCAGACACCATCTTGTGGGACTGGGGAAGGGCTTTGGGAAGTTTGGGGCTCATGGTGTCTGCTGCAGGCCTAGTGCTGAGCAGTGGACAGGAGTCTCCACCAGTCCCACCAGCCTTCGATGGGGCCAGCCTCCCCGCATCGCCAATGGCACAGCTTGCTCCGGGCTGGGCCCGCCTGCTGCCCGCTATCTCTGATCCCTGATTCATGAGGCCACCCACAGCTGCCAGTCCAGGTCCTCATGTCTGGCAACAAGGAGGATCTCACGGGCAGAACCCTGACACCCCCAACAGCTCACGGGCCCCCATGCACCCCACAATCACCATGCTCCCAGGATCTCTCGAGGTAGCTGGACGGTGGCTGGGGAAGCAGGGAGACTGGGCGAGTGAGGTGGGGCCGCCAGCAGCGGTGCTGGGGTCAGCCAGGCTCCGGGTGCACCAGGTTGCTGTGAATGTCTCTGATTCTCAAATTCTTTACTTAAAATCTGGAGATGATGAAATTTACCTTAAGGCTTACTGTAAATAAGGAGAAAAGTGCTTGTATGTTCCCTAGCACATTCTAAGTGCTAGATTATTCTGAAAAGATGGCTGTTACTTTTATTATTTATATATTACATATGCTGTGTTTATGATTTTTGTTGCTGGAGAGGTCGGGGAGCCTGGGCAGCCTGGCATCCCACAGCAGAGCCAGGGCTCCATTCCTTCATCTCTCAGCAGCAGAGGGACCTCAGAGAGCTTCCAACACGACCCACCAGGATGCACTGTTCTAGCCAATCCTCCCCGATCTGTCTGGTTCCCTAGGCTTGGAGCTGCCGCAGGGAATTTAAGTATCTCAGGATTCCAGAGGTCTTCTGCCAATGGCGGGGGGTCTGTCCTGCTTCCTGCCTTCAGGGGTCCCTTCCAAAATGGCACCAGGTACCCCTCCCCTCACTCTAACCTTGCAGCCCTGCCCTGCCTGTCTCTTGACATCCCCCAGCCCTCTGGCTCACAGAGCCCTCAGGGAGGTTCTTCTCTGGCTCTGGGATACACAGCAGGGTCTCTGGGCCCCAGCAGCTTGGCCTCCCTGGAGCCCAAAGCCTTGGCCTGTCCATGTCCTGCCCTGACCCACCGGGCTGGGGGCTTTCTCAGGGTGGAGGGAGAGGGGCCGGAACAATGGCCCAGCCGGGGAGCTTCCATCCAGCCTGGCTGGGGTGGCCTCGGAGCAGGAGCAGGAGTCTATTTGGGACTGCATGCGGGAACACTACCGCTTCCTCTTTCCTGGTTCCAGACAGGTTAACCCCTTCTTCTCCCTCCTGCTGACTACTGCCAGGACAAAACAAGGACTGACTTCCAGCCCCAGACAGCATCCCTGAAAGCCACAAGGCCTCTGGGCAAAATACTCGGGAGCAAGCCAAAAGGCAGGCCCAAGCCCATGGACCGCAGGGCCAGTCTGCACGCACACGCGGCAGGGGTGGAAAAGCCCGGGGACCCAGTGCCGGCCCCAGCCCCCACCTTACAGGCCTGCTCCACCCCGGCTTCCGCGTCTGTAACAGGGCAGAAGATCACTGGTTCTCAAGCCTTTCCAGTGGTTTTAAAGCAGCAGAACCTCCCACCCCAGCCCAGGGGAATCCTGCCTGGGACCCCGGAAGAGATGAGAGCTTCTCTGGCTGAATTAGGGGAGGTCCAGGGGCCCCACCTTGATCTCCCCAGTTCCCCTGAGGGAGCAGAGCAGAACTGGTGCTCAGGGGCCCACGGCCTGAGGAGCCTGAAGCAGCTGCTCTTGCAGCCCTGTGGCACTGAGCTGATTCAACAGGCCTGAGTGTCTCCTCCTGATACCTGGCCTCTGGCCCACAGGTCTTCACAGCATGCACCCCTAAAGGCCAGCAAGGTTTAAACACCCACCAGACTAGGCCAGGCATGGCGGCTCACGCCAAGCTAATTCCAGCACTTTGGGATCCCGATGTGGGAGAATCACTTGAGGCCAGGAGTTTAAGACCAGCTTGGGCAACATAGCAACAGCTTTGTCTCTACAAAAAAAAAAAAAATGTTTTTTTAATTAGCCAGGCATTGTGGCATGTGCCTATAGTCCCGGCTACTTGGGAGGCTGAGATGCGAGAATCTCATCAGAAGTCGAGGCTGCAGTGAGCTATGATTGCACCACTGCACTCCAGCCTGGGTGACAGAGCAAGACCATGTCTTAAAAATAAAATAAAAGCAAACCACAGGACTAACTTAAAGCTGTGTGGAAACAAATGGAACTGACAGTAACCACCACATGTGGCAGAGTGGTTCAGAGCATAGATGACGGAGTTCGACTCCCAGGGTTCAAAGGCTGTGTGACCTTAGGCAAGTTACTTAACCTCTCTGCAAAGTGAGGACGATGTCAGTTCTCTCTCATACAGGCGTCTGGTGGGTAAACAAGCTCATGGAACAATTTCTGGTGGAGTGGGTCCTGCATCTGTCACTGTTGCGATCAGTGTTTTCCCAACAACCTTAGGAAGAAGACATGTTGCTATCGCCACACACAGTGGCAACGCTGAGGCACAGAGAAGTTAAGTAACCACCTATGGCCACACAATCGAGAGAGGTTTCACCCCTAGGCCACAGCCCGGGTGCCTGCGTGCTGTAACAATAGGCGCCGAGGACCCAGGAAGGAATGTTTCCCATGGCGAAATCTTTCAGATGGAGTCCAGGACACCTGAGAAAATACCAGATTCCATTGCTCTTTCTTTCCCTTTCCTTTCCAGGCCTAGAACTACTTGTAAGGCCTCACTGCTACTTTATACGGTCAGGTCAACAAGATCCTCTCCACCTCGTGTCAGCCAAAGCCACACCACCGACAGCGCCAGCCTGGGGAGCACCCCCCTCGCCGCAGCAGGGCCCCAGCCCGAAGCCCCGAGAGCGCATAGGAACCTGCCAGGCACCGGGCGGGAAGGACGGGCGCTCACAGCGGTCTCGCCTGTCTCCCGGGGGCCTCACTGGGCCTCAGAGCTTCCTGCAAGGCCCCTCACGTGATCCGCTTTTACAGACAGGGAAGGAAGCATGCAGGGGTGAAGTGGCCCAGGCAGGTCAATGGTTAGGTCGTGGGTCTGAGATCTCATCCCCTGCCCTTGACCCCAAAGCCCAGGCCTTTCCCCGGCCCTAGGCCAGGGCTGGTCAGGCTGAGAGCCTCCGGACCTCCCGTCTAAGCCGTCCTCGGCCTCCGACGTGCCGGTGCTGCCCTCTTCCTGCCGTTGGCTCTCTGCAGAGTCACAGATACAGGAGACTAACAAAACAAACTAAAAGACAAGCTACCTGCCCTGCTGCGGTAGAGAAAGACAATCCAGCATCTGCCTCCAGCTGCTGAGCTCCCCAGCACCGGAGGAAAGACGGCCATGCCAAATTCCCGGCATGGGCCGCCAAGCCTATGACATGCAGGGCGTCTTCTCTGCAATTGTGGGTGGCCCATGCAGAGAGACTCTCCTGCGTCACACTCACTTATCACGCCTAGGGCCTCTGAGGGGTTTCCAACACAGCAAAGGGCTCTGCTTTGCCTGGCCCACTGCCCCCAAGCTCCCCACCCCAGGCCCCCTGCATCCCCCGCCCCAATCCCCAAACTCTGCCGTTAGAGCCTGCATGGGCAGGGCATCGACCAGGGCAGATGTGGTCCCTGCCAACCCAATGAGCCTCGACTCATGGGAAAGCCCTGAGCCCCTGTGTCACTCCCTATGCCTCAGCCCCTGCATTCCATATCCCACTGAGTCCTCCTCGCGCACCCCTGAGTCACTCCAGGCACACACTTGGGGTCTGGCCCTGGGCTGGGGCCCTCTGCAGCGTGGGACCCTTCAGGCCACATGGTCTTGTTCATCTCATCACCCTGCACACTGCGGAGCACACGGCAAGTGCCTGCAAAGCTGGGCTGTGTCTTGGATATAGTGCGGGTGGCAGAAGCGGGCCACCTGGGTGAGGACGGGGGGTTTGTCCACTCACACGGGGGTAAGGGAGGACAGAGGCAGGGAAGAGCCATCTCCTCCTCGCCATGCAGTAGGCCTTGACCTTTACTTATTTAAATGAAAAGTCAACGTTTCCAATCAAGCGCCTATCCTTCTGGGAGGGGCTGGTCCCCAAGGCGTGCCACACTCTGTCCGGGTGACACTGACTGCCACAAGGTCATCGGAAGTAAGGGAAGCCTCCAGGCTGTGCTTGGGCAGACGCTCTCCCCTCCCCATCCGAGGACACAAACTTTTGGGTGACATGGTCCATCCAACCCCCCACGCCCCTGCCGCCCCCAACTCTGCACAAAGTGAAGGCAGGAAGCCGCTCTGGGGGGTGCATTTTGCAAATCAGAGCACATGGTCCCTGGGCGAGTTTTCCAAGCCAAGCAGTCTCCCTCAATGGTCTCAGTTTATGGCCCTGTGGTTCTATCCAGAAGTGTTGGCCTGGCTGAATCTGCCCTCAGGAATATCTCAGATGCCTGCAGAGGCCAGGCTGACAACCCCAGGCCGTGATGCACCCAGCATTCCACTCCCATTGCTTCCCTGAACTACCTCCTGCAGCCATGTATTAATGGAGCTCCTGTAATAAAGGTGCTGAGGATACCTGGGAAGTAAGTCCAAAATAAGTCCATTTTACAGATGAGAAAACTGAGGCTCAGTGGTCTTCCTGCCAGCAAGCAGTGGGGCAAAGATTTGAGCCTGGGCTTCTTCTCATTTCCAAAGTACAAGTCCCAGCCCAGTCGAGCACCTGAACATCCCAGAATGCCCCTTCCTCGGGACACTTTGCCACCACATAGCTAATCTTCCATAGGGGCCATAGGGACAGTTGGGACAGACATGCTGGCACTGTCCTGCTACACCCTTACCAGCTGGGTGATGCTGGGTGAGTCTGCAGCTTCCCTGGAAAACAGAGAAGACTTTCTATGCCTACCCAAGAGGCTTGGAAGAGAACCACAAATGCAGAAATGGCCTGGGAAGCTGAAAAGGTTTCTCCCAATAGGGAGGATTGTTGTTATTCAGTTTAACAAACGCAGAGTGTCCACCACAGGCAAGGTCAGGGACTTGGCTCTACATGGGATAGAGCGATAAGCAGATGGAGAGAGAATGAGGAAGCCAGGCTTCTCCCTGCTGTGGAAGGAAGGCATGAACGTGTAAAGGCATGAGGTGAGAAGGAACCCTGTGCTGCTGGACTGGAATCGGAGGCACTGCTGTGAGCTCGGGCTTTTGGGCAGGTCCAGGTGGGTAGGGTAAGCATGGACGCATGTGTGTGTCACACCTGCATACCATGCGCATCTTTCCTACCTCTGTCCACCGCCAGGGCCTGAGCAGCAATGCCCAGAGACAACACAAGCACACCTGGGGCCCTGGGCTGAGATTCTAAACAGTGCCCTCCACTGGAAGGAACTGGGGCTCCTTGGAGAAATGGCCGATTCCAGGGCTGAAGCAAAGACTGAACAAATGAACCTGAAACATCTTTTTGGGCCAAAATGCAAGGAAGGGCTCAAAGAACGGTGAGGATGTGCCGAAAGGTCACAGGGCCAGCCTGAAGGGGCTGCCAGTGCCTGCGTCGGGGACCATCTGAATATCCCAGTGATGACGGTTAACAGACGATAACCCACTGAATTACATAGGAAGCCACGAGCCCACACTGGCATACATCAATCAGTGGAAAGAAGAGAACATCTTTCCTTAAAGTAAAACACCAGGAGTAAATACAAGGAAGAATGATGGAGTTATTTGGCGACCATCATAGAAATCATTCATTCAAACAAGAAATACTAAGGGACACTAAAACTGGCAGATGAAAGTGGGACATCGCATCACCTCAAAGCATCTCCCCACAAATACGTATCAATCACAAAGGGGAAAAACACATTATGTGGTTGCCATTAAACAAGAGGTCAAGGTTAACATCAGCAATATTTGGGCAAACCAACATTACATGCCTATGAGAACAAGCACAGCACCACTTCTAAGCAATGCTAGCCCCAAACGCGTAACTTGGGTTGTATCATGAGAAAACACCACACAAAATGACTGTCTCGTAATCTTCAAAACTGGCAATCTGTGAGAACTGAGGCGAGGACAGGGAAGTGCTCCAGGACGGAGTCCAGAGAGACCAGAGAGAGCTGCCTGGCCCCGGACTGGGTCTTCCCCTCTCTAGAGGAGTTCATGGAATGATTGGCAAAGCTTGAATGGGGTCTGTCTCTGGGAGAAGGGTGTATGGAATTTCTTTCTATTCTGGAAATCTGAAAAATTATTTGAAAATGAGAAGGCTGCGGGAACTCCAGGGAGTGCCAGGTAATTCTTCTGGAGGTGAGACTGTGTTTTGGGTACAACAGAAACGAGCTTGACATGGCAGCCAGCCCACACCCCAGCTTGCACGGGATTAGCACATGACCTTGAGACGGGGTGTGGGGTTGGAGGGCAGCGGATCCCTCAGGCCCTTGCAATTGGGAGGACTCTGGAATTCCATCACCAGGGAAGGCCTTGAGGATATGGCAGGATCCAGGCAGGCCAAAGAAGAGGTGGTGGGACAGGTGAAGGGCGCAGACAGCATGCATAAAGGCTCCAGGTGGGACTGGCAGGAGGGGAGCTTGGCGGGTGGGCGTGTCCTCATCCCAGGGACCTGGCCTCTCCAAACTCGCAGGGAACACTGGGAGGCCCCCAATGCCCAGAGCGTGTTCTTAGGCCTCTCTCTGACAAGGTGCCAGGGAGACAAGAAGGACGGGCTGGTGAGGCTGATGAGGCTACCTTGGCCGCTCTGCCTGCTTCAGGCCCAGGGAATCCAGGGCTGCAGGAGACTCTGATGGTGGCCCTCGGCCCTGTGCGCTGTGGTGTTCTCCATGCTCATCGTCTGCACCCGTGAAGGGTGGCAGAGGAGAGGGTCAGTGTCCTGAGGAATGGGCAGGCTTGTGGAAGCCTGGCTAAAGCAAGCCCGTGGTTCTTGGAGCTGGGGCCCCAGGGCCCCGAGAGGCAGAGGGCACACAGGGCATGGGGGTGGTGCGGCATCTGGGAGGGAATGAGTGGGGTGTGAGCAGGCCCACATGTGTGGCCTGGGGCGTGGGGGGGTCTGGGCGTGAGTGTATGTATATGTGTGTGTGTGTGTGTGTGTGCATGCACTATGAGGCCAGCATGAGAGTGGGCACCTGTGGATGTGTGGCCTGGGCCTGAGAACCTGTGGGGCCTGGCGTGCGCACATGTGGATGCGGGATCGTGTGGGTATGGGGGCCCCTCGTGAGCACACGTGGGCCCGGGTGAGTGTATGTAGCTGTGCGTGCATCGGCCCTGGCTCCAGCAGGCCCGGCCTGTCCCATCCCTGGCAGCAAGGCGCCCTCTTGTGGCCCGAGCAGGTGGCGTGGGGAGGAGGAAATGAGAGTGAACCCTGAGAGGTCCACCAGGCTGGGACGCAGGAGGGGTGGGGCGGGAGGCAGGAGGCGGCAGGCAGGATGCCAGGTGGGCATGCAAGAAGGCCGGATGCACACTGCCCTGGGGGCCTGGGGATCCTTGCTGGCCCCTGCCCACCGCTCCTGGCTTCACCAGGTTCCTCCCTCCCCGCATTGGGGTGTCCTCTCTGATGCAGGGCAGACGGGCTTGGACGGCCTCATGGGATGCATGCGGGTGGCCTGGGCCCTGTGGCAAGGCACCTCTCCAGCCGCCCCCACTTGGGACCACACTGCCAAAGACCAGCATGCCATGTCTGCCCCTCACACCGCATCTGCAGGGCTGATTCCCCACACCCCTTCCCCGCTGGGGCAGCTGGGATCCTGCCCTCCCACAGGCAAAGAGAGTGCGTGGGTGCATGTGCGCATGTGTGTGTGTGTGTGTGTGCGTGTGTGTGTGTGTGTATGTGCATGAGCTGGTGTCTAGGACCCGCATGTGAGTGTGGGATGAAATGAGGCCATCTCTGCATGGCTCCAGGGAGAGGGGATGCTGGGACAGAGTGCAGGGCGTGGCCCCTCGTCCTCCCCCTCACGGATGGCTGTGGCCCAGGATGTTGAGTCTACAGTCATGGAGCCCCTGGCCCTCAGCTCCTGGATTAAACCCTTGGAAAGTGTAGAGCACTCCTCTGCACAAATTTTTGCTCAGTAATGAGGACAGACATGGGGGATGCCACAGTCGGAGAGCAGCCTCAGTGCCACTGACAGGGCTGGCTGGGAGGTTCCTCACCAGGAGGCCTATTTTCAGCAACTTTCACTCACCCATGAGAAGGGGGAGCCCTGGTCAGGTGGGAGCTGTGTGGGCTGCTCGTGAGTGGTGGGTGCATGGGTTGGTTTCTGTTTTTAATAACCCCGCACTTTCAGGTGGTTTTCCTTAAGAATCCCCCAACACCTGTAATCCCAGCACTTTGGGAGGCCGAGGTGGGCAGATCACGAGGTCAGGAGATTGAGACCATCCTGGCTAACACAGTGAAACCCCGTCTCTACTAAAAATACAAAAAAATTAGCTGGGCATGGTAGTGGTGGGTGCCTGTAGTCCCAGCTATTCAGGAGGCTGAGGCAGGAGAATGGCATGAACCCGGGAGGCGGAGCTTACAGTGAGCCGAGATCACACCACTGCACTCCAGCCTGGGCGACAGAGCAAGACTCTGTCTCAAAAAAAAAAAAAAAAAAAAAAAGAATCCCCCAAATTCACAAACCCAGGGCAGGGGCGATTGTGCCATAAAAAATAACTCTTATTCTTACAAAAGTGTTATGTGGTGGCCCCAGGGCCACTCCAGGGGACCAACAGAGCAGAGATCCCTGACGCTGGGAGGCCAGCTGGGCATCAGGAGAGGGGCTTGAACCTCCCTCCCTAGAAGGAAGAACAGCCCTAGAGGGCAGGGGACACCTGCCACATTCACTCGATCCCCCACATCCTCAACAGCGCCTGGCCATAGTAGGTGCTTGGTAAATATCTACGGGGACCAGGGGACTAACAGAGGACAGGGTTGGGCCTCCTCCCGTGGGCAGTGGGGACCATAGAGATTTTAAAGGCAGTGGGGAAGGCCAGGCACTGTGGCTCACGCCTCTAATCCCAGCACTTTAGGAGGCTGAGGTGGGCAGATCACCTGAGGTCAGGAGTTCAAGACCAGCCTGGCCAACATGGCGAAACCCCGTCTCTAGTGGAAATACAAAAATTAGCCGGGTGTGGTGGCAGACATCTGTATTCCCAGCTACTTGGAAGGCTGAGGCAGGAGAATCCCTTGAACCCGGGAGGCGGAGGTTGCAATGAGCCAAGATCGCACCATTGCACTCCAGCCTGGGCAACAGAGCAAGACTCCGTTTCAAAAAAAAATAAAATAATAAATAAATAAATAAAGGCAGTGGGGAAGGTCAAGTCTACCCTAGAAAGCCACCATGACCATGTGGTGGACCACACCCACGGGGTGGACAGAACCCCAGAGTCAGTGTACGTCCCACCAGCCTGGTCTAGCAGGACAGACCAAATGGGAACCGTTAGGGAAATATGCCATACGGGAGCCACCACCATGGCGGGCCCTCACTCTAGGGGCCGAGCTTAACCCTCCCCTGTTCAGCCCACACAGCTGGGGCTCAGCCCCACTTGACACATGAGGAAACCCAGAGCCAAGCAAGGCAAAAAGATCATGCTCAAGCCGGGTAATCCCAGCACTTTGGGAGGCCAAGGCGGGGAGATCACTTGAGCCCAGGAGGCTGGGCAACACAGGGAGACTCCATCTTTATAAAAAATTTAAAAATTAGTTGGGCGTGGTGGCATAAACCTGTTTCCCAGCTATTTGGGAGGCTGAGGCGGGAGAATCACTTGTGCCCAGGAGTTCCAGGCTGCAGTGGGCCATGATGGTGCCACTGCACTCCCACCTAGGAAACAGAACAAGACCGCATCTCAAAAAGAAAAAAACAAAAAAAAAAAAGCACAAAGAGATCACGTCCAAGGTTACATGGTTAGCACGCGGCAGGGGACTGGGTCTCATACCCAGATTCTGGCAGTGCTCTTGGGGTCTCCGGGCAGCTGGACTCCCCCTCTGGAGGGTGGGGCTGGGCTTTTCTGTCTCCCTGCTGCTCTGGTTTCAGCCCCCGGGCTCATGAAAAGTCAGGGAGAGCACCCGGGGCTACCAGGCTGGGCCTGGGCAAAGGGCACCCCAGCCTGGAACTACGTTTGGAGCTGGAGTAGGGGGCCTTGTCCCTGGCTGTCCCCAACCTGAGGACAGTGGAGCTAGAGGAGCACACCGGGTTCACATCCTGGGACCCACCCATGACACAGAGGAACCTGTGCACAAATAAAACCACTGCTGCAAGATGGTTGAAAATAAGAACTGCGTCCAGCTGTGCCTGCAAGGACAGGAGTCAGGGGCCTCTGAGCCCCCTTTCCTTCCTTCTTCACTTTTCCAGGCTGGAAAAGATGTAGCAATCAAAGGGTCAAAAATGCAGATTCCCTGATGCATCAGAACACAGCAGCAATGGTGAATGCTGTGGGGGATGTGCCCTCCCCTGCCCCTGGGCTGTAAGCGCCACCAGCCCTGGCCGTGTCCCCGAGCCGCAGAGCAGCAGCGGAAAGGCAGAGGCCAGCCCTGTGGGCAGCGAGAGGGCTCAGGTGAGACTCCAGGTCTCAGAGGGGCTCTGTGGCGGGCAGGCTCTGGCAGCCCTGGGGGCATCCAGCAGAGCCCAAGTGGCCCAGGTTCATGTTAAGGTTAGAGAACATTTTGGGCAGGTGGCCGGCCTGGCTAGGACGGTGGCCACAGCTCCTGCTGCAAGTTCACTGCGGGCCCCTTCTTCCCCTGCTTGCTGCGGCCTGGCCACGGCTTCCCAGATCTGCCTGGGTCCCCTCCCCACCTCCCCACCACACACTGGAGGGGAAGAGAGCGCTTGGGTTCAGCGGACTTTAACCACAAAGGCAGCAACGATGGGACTTCTGGGGCTGTCACCTGTCACATCTCCGCCAGGCTCTCAGGTGGGTGGGTGGGGTCTAATGACCAACTTCAGGGCCTGCCCTAGGTCAGAAGCCCCCAGAGCCAGGTCCTGCTTATGTCCAGCTCAGCAGCAGGTCGTGTGTGTGTGGAGGGGGCCAAAGCGGGGGAGGGCGGGAGCTGACCAGTCCTGTGAGCCCCCACACTGGCTACTATTGTTTTGTGAGGCCCGGCCCCTGCTCAGAGCTCCAGCAACACTTGGCTAATTGGGGGGTGGCTTGAGAATGTTCAGGGGCACAGGCCTTGGAGTCAGGCAGAGGTGGGTTCGAATCCCGATTCTGACACTGGTAGGCTGTGTGGCCTTGGGCAAGTTACTTCACCTCTCTGAGCTTCCATTTGCAAATCTAAATGGTAGGGGTAAGAAGGCGGGTGGCTTCTCTGGGCTGTTGCAGGGTGTAGACGAGCTGAGGCTGAGTGTGTGTAAGCATGAGCACTGGCCCCGCCATGAGGCATACCTGCGTTATCCCCCTTCCAGCTCCTGGGGAACGCGCTTCAGGGAGTGTCTTGGGAGAAGAGCACGTGTGAGCACCAGGTCCAGAGCACGTGCCTTGCAACACGTGTTGAGCGGCTCTAGGGAGAAGAGAGGGCCCTGCTGACGCTCCCTCAATCCCTGTCCCACCACTCCAGCGCCTTCCAGGACCCTCGAGGGACCTGCACGTTCCCAAGAGGCAAATTCCTGGGGTTGGGAGGCTGCCTACAGGGGTCCTACCTTCTGGGCCAACCCCCAGGCCTTGTGGCCTCACTCTGCAGCCACCTCCCGGCCTCCACCTGGGACCCCCTTCCTCAGCTCAGAGCCCCCCAGCCCTCAGCCCACCGGTTTTCCCACAGGCGGCACCAAGCCCAGCAGGGGGGTTCAGGTTTTAACATCTTTCCCCTCTTGCCCTGGACATGAAGCAGCCTTGCTCAGGAACCAAGAATGCTAATGAGGGTCAGTACCAGAGAGGGTGACTGTTCCCAATCCTGTCTCCCCTGCCCCAGCAGCCAACAGAAGGCAGGAAACCCAGCAGAGGAGGAAGCTGATGCTGCCCCAACCAAAGCCATGGGGGCCACGATGGGGTGTCTGCCCCTGGAAACCCCATGTTCACCTGCTGAGCCATGTGGACCCCACCAGCCTCCTTTCACACACTCGCCTCCGCCTCGGGTCTCCTCCCCACTCTCTCAGGAGGCCCAGCGTCCGGGACTGCCACATGCTGACAATGTCCAGAAACCTCCCAGGACCGTAAACTGGGAAGAACATGGGCCTCCCTCCCAGAACAGCTCGTGATGGTCGGGGCGGGGAGCAACAGGGTCCCCCCGTGGTGGGGGCATAAACCCGTCTGGCCTCATCTGGTCAAGTTGAACATATGCTCCTCCATGACCCAGCACTGCCATCTATCAGCAGATCCGCCCCAGAAGGACTCACGCCCATGTGTCCAGGAGACAAAAACCAGAACATTCCTGGCAGCCAGTGCAGAAGGGCCAAACTGGGACCCACCCAGATGTTCCCTCTGAGGGACGGGCAGAGAGGGGTGTTGGAGCCACAGAGGACACGATGAACAAGCCACAGCTCAACGGTACAGTGTGCGATTCCACTTGGATAAAGGTCAGAGAAGGAAGAGCCAGCGCCATGTTGGAGGGAAGCCAGCCATGTGGGAGAAGAAAGCAGGCCCAGTCACCGCGGCCACTGTGCCCACGGCAAGGCGGGGCCGCCTCTGCAGGACTGGGCATGTCAATCAGGGACTAGGTCTTCTGGGGAGCTGATAGCCTCCTAATTCTTGACCTTAGAGTGTTTGCTTTGTTATTCATTATGCTGTGTATTCAAATTTTATTCACTTCACATCACAATTGTTTAATGGCATATTTTATGTTATATATATTTTACCACAATTTAAAAAAATTTCTTTTTGAGACAAGGTCTTGCTCTGTCACCCAGGCTGAAGTGCAGTGGTATGATCACAGCTCACTGCAGCCTCGTGGACCTCCTGGGTTTAAGAGATCCTCCTGCCTCAGCCTCCCGAGTAGCTGGGACCACAGGTGGGTGTCACCACACCTGGCTAATTTTGATTTTTAATAGAAATGAGGTCTCGCTATGTTGCCCAGGCTGGTCTCAAACTCCTGGGCCAATTTAATTTTTCTAAATTTTTCAAATGAAAGTATGACATAAGGCCAGACACGGTGGCTCATGCCTGTAATCCCAGCACTTTGGGAGGTCAAGGCGGGGGGATCATTTGAGGTCAGGAGTTTGAGACCAGTTTGGCCAACGTGGTGAAACCCCATCTCTACTAAAAATACATAAATTAGTTGGGCATGGTGGTGCGTGGCTATAATCCCAGCTACTTGGGAGGCTGAGGCAGGAGAATCGCTTGAACCTGGGAGGCGGAGGTTGTAGTGAGCCAAGATCATGCTACTGCACTCCAGCCTGGCTGTCAGAGTGAGACTCTGTCTCAAAAAAAAAAAAAAAAAAATGAAAACAAAAGAAAGAAAGTATGACATAAAGTAGATTAGTGATTGTCTGGGGCTGGGTGGAATGTGGGGGGTCTTTGCTAATAATAGCTAAACGATTTGAGGCTTCTTTTTGGGGTGATGAAATGTTATAAAATTGTGGTGACGACTGCACAGCTCTGTGAATGTATGAAAACCACTGAGTTATACAGCGTGGGAGTGATTTCTCAATAAAGCTGTTACCAAAAGAGACAAAAGAAAAAAGTGTACAGGCTTAAATTGGGGTGGGTCCCACTCCGTGTGACCTCAGGTGAGCTAAATGACCCCTCTGAGCCCAGAAGTGCCCACCTACACCAGAAGCCACAGCCTCTATCCCGGGCAGGACCAGAGGGCTGCTGAGAGGATGTCTGGGATTCACGGACTCATTGCACAGTGGATTTTTCCACAGGCCTGTTCCCGGTGCCCTTCCCTGCACTGCCAGGATGAGTACCCGAGGAACTTGGGGTGAGCTCCCAAGCCCAGCACTGGCCCTTTCTCTCCACCGGGGCTGGCTCGGATTGCCCTGGCTGGTCTGTTTACACAGGAGGGCAGCAGGAGGGTCCTGACTCCTGGAAGGCTGACCAGGGCCACCACAGCCTGGACCCCCCTGCTTGCTAGCCACTCACTTTGACATGTGACTGCTGAAAAATTAACACCAGTTTCACTTCCTTCCCTCACACTCCACGTAGCACAGAAGAAAAATCTGTCATGTTCCAAAGCGAATCCACAGCCTTCTCGTAACAGGAAACACTCTGAAATCCGTCACTGCGAAGTCTGGGAAGACCCAGGACAAGCTGCTGCTTTGACGGCAGCCGCTTCCAAGGTCAAAGGCCAGGCGTGGGGGCACTCTCCCTCCCGACGCAGCCAGCTCCACAGCCATGCACCCTGCAGCCCCTCGTCTTCCAGCTTTGTGCAAGGCGGCTGGAATCCTAGATCGGCTGGCCACCCCACTGGGGGGAAACCCCTTCAGCACCCAGGCCACAGCTAGAAGGGACCTTGCAGGATGTCGGGAATCACGGTCCAGGAAACTTTCCCTCTCCGAAGGGCAAACTGTTTGTCAAGAACGTTCGGGGCTTATAAAACATCTGCCAGCCTTGGGTAAACAATAAGAGAAGACCAGAGGCGAGCTCCGCATCGCGGCTTTATTTACACAGCAGCACCAGGACTAGCGCAGGGGCTTCCCAGGCAGTGGCGCCTTTGACTGGGTGGTGGCTGCAGGGTGTGGCGTGGAACAGCGAACAGAGTGATGGGGTGGTGAGAGGCCACACGGCCTGGTTTCTGGCATGTCCACAGGAACACAGGTTGGTGGGGATATAAGAGGCAGGAAGGGTCTGTGGCTCAGATGTGCCAGCGGCTCTTCCTTCTCCACTGAGGACAGAGAGGGCACCTTGGAACTGGGCAAAACGTCCCTTCCCTCTACTCATTTGTCAGAATGGGAGGGCGCAGGCTCCCAGCCCAGCCCCATCCTCCAAGGAAGATGAGGGCTGCCTTGACAGGCAGGCAAGCAGGGAGGAGCAGACAGTGCTTGGGGGGGGGCGTGGGCAGCAGTGCACTTACCCACTGGGCCTCGCATCCAAACATGGAGCCCTGGAGTGAGGCCAGGCCCTGTGACTGCTGCAAAATGTGGCCCCAAGGGCAGGACATTCTACCAGGGAAAAGTGCAGGAAAAGCACCCGCCCAGGGGACTGGGGGCGGCCAGGTTCCAGTCCAGCTTCTGTAAAACCTTGCCAGGTGGCCTTGGCCAAGGTCCTAGCTGTCCCATCTGAAAAAGCCTCTCACGGCAGGGCAGCAGCACCCTCTGGGGCTGCAGGACTCATGGCATCATGAGGATTTGCCACCCATGGCACAGGACCCCCCACGGAGGAGACACTGTTGTCCAGGGCCTGGGCAGCAGGAACGCTGTGGCTGGATGGGACCTCGAGGAGTCTGGGGGAGCAGCCATGTCCAATGCGCCAGGAGTCCTGGGAACAGGGCAGGCAGGGAACACCCAGAAGGCCTTTACCTGCCAGCCAGGTGAGGGCCGCCCCCTGGCTGGGCAGGATTTCCACAGGGAGCAGGTATGAAAAGAAAGCTTTGTGCTTCCCTGTCCAGGGCTCTTGGGCAGCCCTGTTGGGCCAAGCTCCAGACACCCCTGCCCGGGGATGATGCTTTCCTGGGGAGCAGGCCCTGCAAAACTTTCCCTCCAGAGCTAAGCCACCTGCAATCTCTCCCAACCCCGAGGCTTCACTCTCTTTGGGCCATTTTATAATGAAAACAAGAGAAATGGATACATCTAAGGTGACAAGGAGATCTCACTGCCAGTCAGCGGCCGAATCCCACTCCTCAGCCACCTCTCGGCCTCTCAGACTCCTGACAGCTGCCTCAGAAACAATTGTGTGTGTGTGTGTGTGTACGTGTAAGTGCGTGCACGTGTGCGTGCTCCGTACTAGAAGACCTTGGCTGAGGGCACGTCCCACAGCAGGACCAGTGGGAGGCCTCAGTCATCCCTCTGGCTTCTCCCCCTTCCTGGTGCCAGTGACTGGCAGGACTGACCGCTGCCCCCACCCGCCAGCTGCCCCAGCCTGGACGGCCTCCCCATGCTGCCCTGGCCTCAAACCAAGTGTGAGCGCAGTTACTCACTGCAGGGCTCTCTGCCACCTGGGCCCAGGACAAGGCCACCCCTCCTCCCCCTTCATTCTCCCATTTCCGCCAAGGCCACCAACAGAGGACAGAGCCTGGAAGGCCTTCTGATGCCCAGCTGACCCATCCAGTGGTCATTGGCCCCTGTTGAGGCCTCTTTGGGCCACTTGCAGGAGAGGAGAGGCTCAGCACAGGGTTGCGACGACATGCCTCAGCTGCAGAGGAGACACAGCTGCTGCCCCTGGGGGGCTCACCGCTGTGCAGAATGGGGCCGTGCTGAGGTGCCAGAGGGCTGGGGGTGGCCCTGGAAGGGCGAGGTGCTGCTCCATAGAGCCTGGCTGGGGGTATTTCCTGGAAGGAAGGGATGCCGGCCCAGCGGCAGGTGCCCGGCTGACTCCAGAGGCTGTGTGCTGGCCCCAGGCTGGCCACACATCCATAGGGAGCACCACGCAGGCAATTCCAGTCCCAAAACAGCCCTCCAGAGAGCGAGGCCCCATCAGCCACTCATCCAGGACCCCACGCCCCTCCAGCATTTCAGTGTATCTGTGTACCAAGAGTACCATCTGGAGGGAGAAGGGGACAGTGCAGGAGGAGGGCAGCTGCCACCTGGGGCCACCAACACTCCTGCAGAAGCCAGCGAACCTTTTCTAGTAGCCACGTTAACAAAAATTTAAATAAATGGGTGAAATTAACACGAAATATCAGCATTTCAACATGCAGCCGATATAAAAAAATACTCATGAGCTCTTTCACAATCCTTTCTCCCCACCCAGTCTCTGAAATCCAGTGTGTATTTTACACTTCCTGCACGTCTCACTGTGGGCGAGCTACAAGTCACCCCCTGCGGCTCGCCGCTACTGTGTCTGACAGTGCAGCTCCAGAGAGTCACCAATGGCTGGGAGACCTCCCATCCCTTTAACTGGGGCACACCTACACACGCAGAGCCCCACCTCCTTTGATGCCCATGTGGCCTCCCCCAGCGACTGGGTCCCTACCTTAGCCAAGCTAACACTCTTCTCCCTTTGTCCTGCATGTTAACAAAGGCAGATTTGCATCCTTACAAACAAATCAAAAGGTCTGACATTTTAAATCTCGTTAGGAACAAATGGGCTAAGTCCCATCCTCTTCAATGGAGGCAGGTGACTCCATGTCTGGAGCTTGGTGGATATGGATGGATATGCATGGATACGGATGGATATGGACAGTAGTGGCCGCACGTGCTCCCCACCCTGGCCATTTGCTGAGGGCTTGCTGTGTGCCCGGCACTACACTGATTCCTTTCCTACAGCATCTGAACACATGGATACACAGGATAACACACACACTGGGGCCTGTTGGAGGGTGAAGAGGGGAGGAGGGAGAGGATCAGGAAAAATAACTAATGGGTACTAGGTTTAATATCTGAGTGATGAAATAATCTGTACAATAAACCCCCATGATACATGTTCACCTATGTAATGAACCTGCACATGTACCCCTGAACTTAAAAGTTAAAAAAAAAAGAAAGAGGCCGGGCGCGGTGGCTCACACCTGTAATCCTAGCACTTTGGGAGGCCGAGGTGGGCAGATCACGGGGTCAGGAGATCGAGACCATCCTGGCTAACATGGTGAAACGCCGTCTCTACTAAAAATACCAAAAAATTAGCCGGGCGTGGTGGTGGGCGCCTGTAGTCCCAGCTACTTGGGAGGCTGAGGCAGGAGAATGGCGTGAACCCGGGAGGCGGAGCTTGCAGTGAGCCGAGACTGCGCCACTGCACTCCAGCCTGGGTGACAGAGCAAGACTCTATCTCAAAGAAAAAAAAAGAAAGAAACAAAGAAAAAAAATGTGGTACATATACACCATGGAATACTACTTAGCCATAAAAAGGAACGAAATAATGGCATTAACAGCAAACCTAGATGGAGTTGGAGACCTCAAGGAATGGAGGTAACTCAGGACTGGAAAACCAAACACTGTATGTTCTCACTTATAAGTGGGAGCTAAGTTATGAGGACGCAAAGGCATAAAAATAATACAATGGACTTTGGGGGCTTGCCGGGAAGGGTGGGAGGTAGGTGAGAAATAAAAGACTACACACTGGGTACAGTGTATACTGCTCGGGTGATGGGTGCACCAAAATCTCAGAAATCACCACTAAAGAACTTATGCATGTAACCAAACACCACCTGTTCTCCAAAAACTACTGAAATTTTAAAAATTACCAAAAAAATCATTATGAAGACACTTGTAGAAAGAGGCCATAAAACAGTGTTCAAGGAAAAAGGAGGCTGCAAAACAATATCATCCCATTTTTATAAAAAGAAAAAACCAAAATATTACCAGTCTGTTTATCTATGCAGAGAAGGCAGTGTGGAAGGATTCGGCAAACTGTTGATGGAGTTTCTCTCTCTGGGGCCGGGCGCGGTGGCTCACGCGTATAATCCCAGCACTTCCGGAGGAAGAGGCGGGTGGTTCGCCTGAGGTCAGGAGTTCGAGACCAGCCTGGCCAACATGGTGAAACCCCGTCTCCACTAAAAATACAAAAACTAGCCAGGCGTGGTGGTGCACACCTGTAGTCCCAGCTACTCGGGAGGCTGAGGCAGGAGAATCACTTGAGCCTGGGAGGCGGAGGTTGCAGTGAGCTGAGATCGATCGCACCTCTGTACTCCAGCCTGGGCGACAGAGGGAGACTCTGTCTCAAAAAAACAAAAACAAAAACAAAAAAACAGAGTTTCTCTCTCTCCGGGAGACAGTGTCATGGGGGATGCCCACCTCGTACTCTTCTTTAAATAGCATGCAGGTAACCGGAATCTGAAAAGCACCAACCCTTGCTGGCGTAGGGTGGGCACAGCCTCCCTCGTGCCCACCTGCATTCGTGGGCTGTGGGGGGCCTTCTTCAGAGGCCCATTCTCAGTTTATAGGGGCACCTGGCCTGGGCTGGCCAGAAAGACCCCAACTGAGGTGGCATTCAGGACAGACATGTTTCTCCTCCAAGGAACTGGAAGAAGCCCAGTACACAACACAGTACGGTTCTCCCTTTCCACCTCCTGCCGAGCCACACCGCTGTGCTCCCAAGCAGGGAGGTGTCACTTGTGCTCACGGGTCACAGGTGTGCCCTGAGACGCATGGGGCGCCGGGCTGGGCTCCTGACGGCTGACGCCAGGCAGCACCCGGCATCAACTATAGGGCCCCGAGGTCCGCTGTCAGCGGAGAGCCCCTCGCCTGGGAGCAGCAGCAAGACCAGGCTCTGCGACCTTTGCAGGAAAGGCAGGATTGGGGACTGGGGGACCCCTGGCTGGTCTCTTGGAAAAAAACGTTCCTGTGGCTTGTGAGTGGGGTCTCCCTCACTCCCTTAGGCCAGGCCTAACCAAGGGGAGCCACAAAACCCAACTTCAAGAAAGAAAGAAGGCCCATATGTCATACACGTCGGGGGAAGCCTGGGAGGGTCTGGGAGGTAGCTGGAAGGGACCAACTTCCTGACCCTGGACCCAGGTGCGCTGAGCCTTCCTCACTCACCTCGCACTCAGCCACAGCTCCCAACCCGCAGGAGAGACTTCAGAGCGACGGTCGGGCCCTCTGATCTGTCTTCTCTGGTCCTGCCTAAGCAGATCTCTCAGGACAAATGTAACTGCCCCCACCCCAAATCCAAGTACCTCCAGGTAACCATGTTTCAACCAAGTCTCCCCAGCATCTGCAAAGATGTACTTTCTCTGAATGGCCACAATCGAAACCATCTAGCATAAGGCAAGGCAACACTCTGATGTCCAAGATCCTCTCGATGACCAGGCGAGCTGGAGCTTGGGTACCACAGGGCCCTCCACATGCCTGGGAGCTCCCAACCCCTGACAGCTGCTCCAGACCAGGCAGACTTTTGCCAGCAAATAAAACACAACCTTCTTCTTGAGATGGAGGTTCTGCTCCAGGGCATGCCTGAGCAACCCTCTGTCGTCTCCAGGCTCTCTGTGTCTTACAGAGTGGAGAAAGTGAACAAAAGGAGAGGGAGGCTGTCCAAGGGGCTGAGTGCCCACAGCTGTAACTGCCGTAGTGCAGGGTCTGATCAAATTGCCAAAGGGACAGCAGCACAAATTCGGCCCAACTCCCTGGTGGGCCGCCGCCAGGATGGATAGTGCCTTTGCTTATTTCTCTCTGCACTGCACGCCATTCCAAAACCCAGACCCTGTATCAAAAGCCACTCTACTTTATCACTGTCTGCTATAAAAGACCACTCAGCCCTGTTCTTAGAGGTCCATTACATACAAGATAGTGAATGCCCACATACTGCTCTTTGATTTGGAAAGAATATCCCCTTTATTTTGAAGAACAAAACAGAATGAGAATGTGGTCATCCCCTGGAAGGAAGGTGAATAAATGACTCCAGCTGGCACTGACCTGAACTTCCCGGTGCGCACCTGCAGCGCTCTCATTCCACACCGCTGGGCACCGCCGACGTCGCCCACGATATCGTCCCCAATCATGACGGCCTGTCACGGCAGTGAAATACGCTCAGAAGTGATGTCAGGAGAGTTTTATTCCCGGGCTCCTTCATCTTTTTTTGACATAATAAATGGCTTGATTTGATGTTTACAACCACCATCATACAAATTAAACAAGATAATATTGTCATCGTATTGATTAAAAGTCAACCCACCTTGAATATATCTCACACTGCCCCCGTAGGCCACAGCTTTGAACAGTATATATCTGTGCAATTTGAAATCAATCAGCAGACGTCAAAGTGATTTGGCGCCCCAAGGACGTGCGGGGATGCTGAACGCTGTCTGGCCTCTGCTGGAACACAGGCTAAATTTCACCTGACCCTAAAGACTCTGTAACCTGGTTATTTGCCCTTGATTCCATGAAAGTGAAGCAAATCTCTGGCAAATCTTTGTAAGTTTTGCTTTATATAGGTTTTGCTTTCAATGGTGAAGGTATTGCCTTAAAAACAAAATAATATATACAAACCAAAATTCACACACACACAGAGGAAATGCTCACAGCCTGGGTATCATTTCAAAAACTAGCCTCTGGGATAAACTCTCTCACCTGAAAAAACCAGAAAACCAAATTATGAACCAACAGCTTTCAGGACACCGGACATCAAGCAACGAAGGACAATGACTTCTGAGACGCAGGAAACAAATGAGGTGGCTCCTGTGACTGCCCCCAGCCTACTGCCTTCGATGCTTCCAGACTGTGGACACAGGAGGGGTGCTGTGAACTCAAGTGTGTCCCCCACAAATTCACTAGCCCGCAGCGTGACTGTATTTGGAGACAGGGCCTGTAAGGAGGTAATTCTTTAAGGGCGAATGAGGTCAGAGGGGGCCCTGATCTGATGGGACTGCTGTCCTTACCAGAGGAAGAGGCACTGGAGTGCCCTCTCCATGCAAGCACAGAGGAGAGGCCATGGGAGGACACTGCAAGAAGGCGGCCATCTACAAGCTGGGAAGAGAGCCCTCACCAGAAACCGGACTTGCTGGCACCCTGATCTCAGGCTTCA
Organism: Homo sapiens; assembly: GCF_000001405.40. Taxonomy (NCBI): domain Eukaryota; kingdom Metazoa; phylum Chordata; class Mammalia; order Primates; family Hominidae; genus Homo; species Homo sapiens. The sequence goes on along the minus strand of NC_000010.11, from coordinate 124,516,163 downwards.
AGCCTCCAGAACAGTGAGAAAAAAAGTTTCTGCTGTTGAATCCACACAGTCTGTGGTGTTTTGTATGACAGACTGGGCTGACTAATACCAAGGGAAACCCAGGTAGAGCCCAGTAGGATCCCTGAACTGGGGAGACAAAGCTAGGATTCTGGGGAGACCCAGGAGCAGAGTCCACAGGACAGGGAATCAGAGAGGAGAAGGCTGCATGGAGAAAGAGCTGTGGAGATCGTGGAGGGTCCCCTCAAGTACTCAGCAGACCACTGCCAGCACACGTGAGGGAGGAAACTCCCTGAGCCTGGGAAAGAATCACACCAAATAACTAGGGAAAACGGTGCCTGTGTCTCACGCAGGACTGCGTTATGTCCCCACCAGCCAGGCTGGGAAAGCTCACTCACGATGCACAGGGCATTGAGTGCGATCTCAGAAGCCGCTGGCTTCACTATGAGGAATGATTCACCCAGGGCAACCCTGCTCTGGTGCTGCCCCCAAATCTTAACAGCAAGATCTGGAAGGATCAAACTGTTTTCAAGTAATTTAACTGCATCCCACAACAAAGTTCGAAATTCTTTATGGGCACACAAAAATATCCAGCACCCAAAAAGAAGGTAAAATTGATCACGTCTGGCACCCAATAAAAAATGATCAGACGTGCAAAGAAGGAAAGTATCATGCAGAAGGAGGAGAAAGATGAGTTTATCCAAACTGAGCCAGAACTGACAGAGAGGTGAGAATGAGCAGACGAGAGCATTCAGTCAGCCCTTGTAATGGTATTTCATGTGTTCCAAAAGTAGAGAAATGGAAGATAAAAGAAAAAATCCAAACCAAGCTTCTAGAGATGAAAACTACAATGTCAGGGATCAAAATACACTGGGTGGGATTAATGCCAGAAGAGATACCGCAGAGGAAAAGATGAATGAACCTGGAGACATGGCAATAGAAACTGCCCAAAATGAAACAGAGGCAGAAAAATTATTTTCAAAAATGAACAGAGCATCAGTGAGCTATGGCACAACTTCAAGCGGCCTGATGTACACGCAATTAGAGTTCCTCAAAGTGAGATGAGCTGGGGCACAGTGGCTCACACCTATCATCCTAGCACTGTGGAAGGCTGAGGTGGGAGGATCACTTGAGCCCAGGAGTCCAAGGCCAGCCTAGGCAACACCGCAAGACCCTGTCTCTATAAAAATTTAAAAAATTAGCCAGATGTGGTGGCGCACGCCTGTAGTCCCAGCTACTTGGGAGACTGAGGTGGGAGGATCACTTGAGCCCGGGAGTTTGAGACTGCAGTGAGCTGTGTTTGTGCCACTGCACTCCAGCCTGAGCGACAGAGCAAGACCCTGTCTCTAAATTAGATTAAAAAAAAAAAAAGTGAGATGAGAGAAGACATAAATATATTTGAAGAAATAGTGACTGAAACTTTTCCAAACTTGATAAAAATAATAAATCCACAGATCCAAGATCCCAATGAACACCAAACACAAGAAACACAAAGAAAACTGTATTAAGGCACATCATAATCAAATTGCTCAAAGCCAGTGACAAGGAGAAAATCTTATAAAACAGTCAGACAAAAGAGACATGTTATGTACAGAGAAACGAAGATTAAGACGTTAGATTTCTTGTTGGAAACAATGCAAGTGAGAAGACTGTGGAGTGCCGTCTTTTAAGCAGTAAAAGAAAAAACTGCCCATCTAGAATTCTGTACCCAGCAAAAATATCTTTCCAAAATGAAGATGAAATAAAGATATTTCAGACATCCGAAGCGGAAATAATTCATCACCAAGAGATCTACCCTACAAGAAATGTAGAAGAAGTCCTTTGGGCGAAGGGAAAATGACAATAGCTGGAAATACACATCAACACCAGAAAATTACCTTGTGGGCACGTGCTGACCTTCTGCCTGCTCACCTCCCTCCTCTGCTGGCTAATTCCCCCCAGGCCTTCAGGACTCAGCTCTGGTGACCACCACCTTTCCTCTGCCCCCAGGCTGGGTTGTGTGGCTCTCCCAAAGCACTCTGGGATCACACCCTGGTGCCACCCGTGTCATAGTGCAGCATAATGGACTCTGCTCATCCCACCCTTCCAGAAGTAGGAGCTCCTTCAGGACAAGGAATCTGGGTTGACAACTGGCACTTGGTTGACGCTCAGCAAATGTGTCTTGAGCAGCTGAGTGCTCTGCATTACGGCACGGCTGGCTGTGTCTGGACACACTTATGAGGCGCAAACAAGACTTCCCATTGGTCACCTACATAGAGTGGAGGGAGTCATACAGTCCTCGCCAGTGTGGCTGAAACGTCAGTCATTTGTGGGTCTCCTTTTGCCACATTAACATGTGTTATTGCTTAAATGGACTCATGCTCTTTTTTTTTTTTTAATATAAATAAATATATGTAATTTAAAGAAAAAACAGCTGGGAGTGGTAGCACACACCTATAATCCCAGCACTTTGGGAGGCTGAGGCGGGTGGATCACTTGAGGTCAGGAGTTCGAGACCAGCCTGGCCAACATAGTGAAACCAGTCTTCACTAAAAATATACAAATTAGCCCGGCATGCACCTGTAATCCCAGATACTCGGGAGGCTGAGGCACACGAATTGCTTGAACCTGGGAGGTGGAGGTTGCAGTGAGCTGAGATTGTGCCACTGAACTCCAGCATGGGCGATGGAGTGAGACTCGGTCTCAAAAAAAAAAAAAAAAAAAAGTAATAATAATTTTAAAGAAAAAAAAAGTAATAATAATTTTAAAGAAAAAAAAACCACCACCAACCAGCTCCTCTCACTCCCCTACTCCAAAATCTGATTAAAAGCTGGGCGCAGTGACTCATGCCTGTAATTCCAGCACTGTGGGAGGCCGAGGGAGGCAGATCACTTGAGCCCAGGAGTTCCAGACCAGCCTGGGCAACATGGTGAAACCCGTCTCTATTAAAATACAAAAAATTAGCCAGGCATGGTGGCGGATGCCTGTAATCCCAGCTACTTGGGAGGCTGAGGCAGGAGAATGAGCCAAGATTGCAACCATTGCACTCCAGCCTGGGCGAGAAGAGCAAAACTCTGTCTTAAAACAAACAAACAAACAAACAAACAAACAAACTACATGTCTTCTCACTGGAATTCAGATGCTAAGAGGGGCTAACCGATAAATACACAAACCAAAATCAAGACAAAATGAAACGATGACTATGAAGCATGCCCAAGCCAGGGGAGTCTTACTGAGTGTGTGTCCCATAGATTTGGACTCTGCCTGCAAGGACGGGTCCAGGTGGAATTTGCTCTCCATCTGGGGGAAGGGGACCACAGAAAGAGGGGGCGGGCCCGATGTGGCCAGCAGATGCACAGACTCACTCCTGTCTCACGCTGAGCTAGAGCAGTGGGGTGGAGATCCCAGCTCTCCTGTTTGCTGGCTGTGTGACCTTGGGCCAGCCTCCACCTCCATCTGTAAAATGGGTATAACAGGTGTGGCGTTTAAAGGAAATCATCTTAGTGAAGCACCCAGCACAGGGCCAGGACATAATACATTACCTAAACTTTTTTTTTTTTTTTTTTTTTTTGAGACGGAGTCCCGCTCTGTCACCCAGGCTGGAGTGCAGTGGCGCGATCTCGGCTCACTGCAAGCTCCGCCTCCCAGGTTCACGCCATTCTCCTGCCTCAGCCTCCTGAGTAGCTGGGATTACAGGCGGCTGCCACCATGCCCCGCTGTTTGTTTTGTATTTTTAGTAGAGACGGGGTTTCACCGTGTTAACCAAGATGGTCTTGATCTCCTGACCAAGTCATCCACCTGCCTCAGCCTCCCAAAGTGCTGGAATTACAGGTGTGAGCCACCGCGCCCGGCCTAAACATGTTACAAAGGAAACAGAAACATGAGGAAATGTTTCGTTGAGGAAATTCCCTATCTCACCACATCAGAGAGGCCCCCGACCTGCAACAGGCACCCTTGCCCTGGTTACTTGATACCTTTGCCCTAGGCCTTCGCAGGCCAGTGCCAGGCCAGGCAGTGGGCACACAGTGTGAATCAGACACATGCAGTCCCAGCACTTACGGAGCTCACGACAAGTGCTAAAGACAGACATTAATCAGGTAATTCCACAGTCTCATCATCAGGGCCTGGGATAACACACAGGAGGCTGTGAGGCCTGACCTCCTGACCTACTGGGCTTGTGGGTGGTCAGGAAAGGCCTCCCAGAGGAGGTGAGGTTCTGAGCTTTGCTCTGACAAGCAAAAGGGGCCAACCAGGTTGTAGGACATGGAGGACAGGTGGGACACGCCCAGCAGGGGCTACCACACGTGTTCACTACCCATCTCCCCACCACTCACCAGGGCACGCCATGCTGTGAATTCCAGAAAGCACACACATATAAGCCTGAAGCAACTGTCCTGGGAACCGTCTCCCAAACAGGCCTTCAGATAACCAAGGAATCATCAGGAGCCATTGAGAAAGTACAAAGACAGAGCCAATGAGGCCCCCTGAGGCCAGGGAGGTAGTTTCAGCTGAAAACGGAGCTTTTCTGCCACTCGGCATGGACTCGACATGTATCATAGTCAAGCAGAGGCCAGAGGGGCCTCCCTCAGAGAAGCCACGGCGGATGGTGGTGCTGAGAGAGAGCTCGGAGGAGGTGGCTGAGGGCCACAATGTTGAGAATTCTGCCAGTTACTGGTAGCCGCAAGCCACCGCGAGACATGAGGTACTGAAATAAAACCACGTCTTCCTGGTGTGGTGCTCTCTACTTCATACTTTCCACGGATTTTCTCTGATCTTTCCTCCACCCACCCCTGTGCTTCCCAGAGTGTGTCATGCACACGGGTGACATACTATTTGACTCCAGGCAGAGCAAGGACATACATTTTAATGTAATCATGTGGTCTTTATTTTTAGATTAATCTATTATGGTAAGTGAGAGATTCTGGTTTTCCATTTATAGTAGTCATCAAAAGTTCCTTTTAAAATACATTTATTTAAGTAATAAAATGAATCAATTTTAAGAAACGTGAAGTAAATAGAGCTAGTGGCAAGTACCCAGATATGGTAAAAATACCCAGATATGGTAAAAATTCAAAGTGTTTTTTCCAGAATGACTGATGTTAGGGAAAATCCTGCCAAATCCAAATGAGGTTTTCGAGTCTATCAAACCAACACCTGGCCAGGCAAGACACAGCCAGTGGCACCGCGTGCTCCCGGGAATGGGACCAGCACCAGTGTCTGCTGCATGCACAAGGGGCACTCTGAGGGTTGGGAAAAGCCAGGGCTGGCCGGGCAAGCCCCCACGGCTGCTGGCATCTGGCAGCAGGGCCGGCCAGAGCCCCCGTATTCGGGTCCCCTCTGCCCTTCTCAAGGAATTGTCTTCAAACCGTGAGGTCAGCAGTGAACATTCACAGCACTCCAATTCAGGACCATGTCCACTGCTGCCAGAGACTCCAGGGCCATCCTGCTAGAAGGTTCCTTGGAAATGCAATGGGTCTTCCAAATATTACATGTCATCCTACACCTCCATGCTTCCGGGGAAAATGAAACTGTGTGCATGCTCCTCCCACATACAAAACCAGACAGCACACAGGTTTCCCTCCCAGAATACAGACTTGGTTCTTCCTGGGCTGGAACATTTGTGGATGTGGCCCACGGAGACAGGACCAGAGGAACGTGGTCTCTTGGAGGAAGAGTTCTCATGCAGGAACAGCGTGGAGGTTCTGCGGGATAAAGCGAGGCTGCCTCCAGGCAGAGCCCCGGGAAGCTGTCGGCGAGGGAGGCGGAGGCTGGGGGCCGGGACGCCAGGGCCGGCTGGGTGCACAGCTGCCTGGAGCAGTGATGCCTGTCCAGGCCAGCTTGTGGGCTCCGCATACCAAAGTGCGCTCAGGACCCCAGGGGATTCCCAGATTTACTATCGGTGAAGGGCAATAATCACGCAAGGAGGAGCAATTATTGCCAAATCATTTAGGATTTAAAAAATCACTGGCAAGAAGATAGAGGTCAGGAGGTGCGCTGTCAGGGGAAATAAAAATACTCCACCTGCCAGGGCTGGGCTTCGCTTCCTTTCAGACACGACATGGTGGGGTGTGAGGCGGAGAAAAAAATGAAAGGTCGGACCCCCCAGAACCCAGGATCCAGAGAGCCGGATGGAGGCGCCACAGTCCCAGAGGCAGGTGTCCTGGGTCGGGTGCTACAGCAGTCAATCCTCCCTCTTACGCATCTGCCTGCCTGCCCTGGTCTCCTCTTCAGTGTCCTAGGTGCTGGAGGGAAACATCATCTAACAGGCGGCGATGCTTTGGAGTGCAAAATTCCAGCACCAAAGAGCTTCCGTGGTTCACAAATATTTTCCTTATCCAGGGGCTCTGCCAGGAGGATTAGGGCGGGAAGCAGCAGGGCTGGGTGGTGAAGGTGGAGTGAGCTCAGTGTCTGTAACTGCAGCTCTGGGGTGCACATATCCCCCAGGGAGATGCCCTGAGATGACAGCTCACTCTAGGATGAGCCCTGAATCCAGGCCCCAAAGGAACCCAGGCTCCCACAGAGACCTGGAGACAGTGCAATGCTGAGTAATTGCCACTGTGGTCGGACACCTTCATAAGGAACAAGACTAACAGCAAAACTCAAAGACCACTTTAAAAAAAAAAAGTCAGAAATCATGGTGTTGGTAAGGATGTGGGGAAACAAGCATCTGTATACGCAGCAGGTCAGGAAGGTGAACGGACACACCTTTCTGAAACAGAAATAAGCAACATGCATCACAGCCTCCCAGCCACACCACTAGGATTTGGAGCAAATAATTAGAAATGTACAAGAGGATGTACATACAAGATGTGTTCATCAGGGTTACGCACAAGAGCGAAACTGGAAGCAGCCTCATCTCCATCAATAGGAAATGGTCAAGAATATGACGGGAGTCTGAACAGTGGAATAGTATGCAGCTGTGAAAACTGCTTCGTTAAAGTGCTTCAATAAGCACAAAGACAGCTGTCCCCTAAAAAAGAACAAGGTCATGTCGTTTGCAGCTACAGGGATGGAACTGGAGGCCATTATCCTAAGCAAACTAATGCAGGAACAGAAAACCAAATACTGTGTGTTTGCACTTATAAGTGGGGGCTAAATACTGAATACACATGGACACAGGGCAACAACAGATACCAGGGCCTACCTGAGGGTGGAGGGTGGGAGGAGGGTGAGGATTGAAAAACTACCCCAACAGGTACTAGGCTTATGACCTGGAGGACAAAATAATCTGCACACCAAACCCCCAAGACACACAATGTACCTGTATCACAAACCTGCACACGTATCCCTGAACCTAAAATATAAGTTAACAAAAATTGTCCCCAATAGGATATTAAGGGGGAAAACTCAGATTTCAAACAGCAGATACAAGATTATCCCAATTTTGTGTTAAAAATGTATATATAGACACAAAAAATTGGCAAGATCAAGCATGATTTGTGTTATTCTGGGCTGGTGAAATGAGTGGTTTCTTTTCTTCTTGTACTTTCCTGAATTTTTCTTAGCTCCTTTAATGAGCATGAGTTGCTTCATAATCAGATATTTTAAATACTTGTGTTTTGAGAAGAAAATAAAATCTACTTAAAAAAAAAAAAAAGCCTCCAAGGGAGAAAAAACTCTGAAGGAAAACTAAGCCATGAGGTCTCAGAGCACCTTATGACTAGGACACATCACAAAGACAAAGCCAGGGCCGGAAGCTCCTGCAACTCCCGTCAGTTTCAGACCCACAGCTGCAGGGCTAGGTGCCAGGTGCCAGGCATCGGTGGACAGAGTTTCCAATTCAAACCAGGGCTGCAGGAGGGCTGACCCCCGTCCTGGGCCCATTCTTTCAGTGCTGGAAGTGGGCACGGCCCAGCAGGCCAGCCTGCTCCCAGTCAGGAGTTGAGCAGGGTCATCCCCACACTGACAATCCAAAGAAAATGCCCACGGCTGGGAGGTGGGGCTCAGCCAACAGAGTTCGTGGGGAGGCCTCAGTGGAAACACCCATGGGGGAGGGAGGCCACAGCAGAAAGAACTGGGCCGGAGTGGCCCCCATGTGGACAGACATGTACTCCCCACTCACCAGCCTCCCCCTAGGGGTACAGACTGTCCCCAGACCCCTATAGTCAGGACTGATGCCCTGAGAATCAGGGAACGAAATGGTAGGGCACCTTTGAGTTTATATGGCCAGGCCTCTGGATAAGCCTGCAAACCTCACCCCCATTTTTCACAGGCAGTTCTGAGGGTGCGAGCCATGAAGATCACTGCAGCCCTCATGCCTACCCTCCCCACCTGAAATCCTGTCTACCCCCCCGACCTGAAATCCTGCCTACCCCCCCACCTGAAATCCTCCCTACCCCCCCACCTGAAATCCTGTCTACCCTCCACACCTGAAATCCTCCCTACCCCCCCCACCTGAAATACTCCCTATCCCCCCACCTGAAATCCTGTCTACCCTCCACACCTGAAATCCTCCCTACCCCCCCACCTGAAATCCTGTCTACCCTCCACACCTGAAATCCTGTCTACCCTCCCCACCTGAAATACTCCCTATCCCCCCACCTGAAATCCTGTCTACCCTCCACACCTGAAATCCTGTCTACCCTCCACACCTGAAATACTCCCTATCCCCCCACCTGAAATCCTGTCTACCCTCCACACCTGAAATCCTCCCTACCCTCCCCACCTGAAATACTCCCTATCCCCCCACCTGAAATCCTGTCTACCCTCCACACCTGAAATCCTCCCTATCCCCCCACCTGAAATCCTGTCTACCCTCCACACCTGAAATCCTCCCTACCCTCCCCACCTGAAATACTCCCTATCCCCCCACCTGAAATCCTGTCTACCCTCCACACCTGAAATCCTCCCTACCCCCCCACCTGAAATCCTGTCTACCCTCCACACCTGAAATCCTCCCTACCCCCCCACCTGAAATCCTGTCTACCCCCCCGACCTGAAATCCTGCCTACCCTCCACACCTGAAATCTTCCCTATCCCCCCACCTGAAATCCTGTCTATCCCCCTGACCTGAAATCCTGCCTACCCTCCCACCTGAAATCCTCTCTAACCCCCCGACCTGAAATCCTGTCTACCCCTGCACCTGAAATCCTCCCTACCCCCCCACCTGAAATCCTGTCTACCCCTACACCTGAAATCCTCCCTACCCCCCTCACCTGAAATCCTGTCTACCCCCCGACCTGAAATCCTCCCTACCCCCCTCACCTGAAATCCTGTCTACCCGCCCACCTGAAATCCTCCCTACCCCCCCACCTGAAATCCTGTCTACCCCCCAACCTGAAATCCTCCCTACCCCCCAACCTGAAATCCTGTCTACCTCTCCACCTGAAATCCTCCCTACCCCCTACCTGAAATCCTCCCTACCCCCCCACCTGAAATCCTCCCTACCCCCCCCAACCTGAAATCCTCCTTACCCACCCCACTTGAAATCTTCCCTACCCCCCAACCTGAAATCCTCCTTACCCACCCCACTTGAAATCTTCCCTACCCGCCAACCTGAAATCTTCCCTACCCCCCAACCTGAAATCCTCCCTACCCTCCCCACCTCCCTAAGAAATTCTGCTGCACCGCTGGTCCTCCCTGAGAGTTGGGCTATGGCAAAGAGCACTGGACGGGGCTGGAAGACGATGGTTTGGTGCCTGGCTTCACTCCTCATTGGCAAAGTAATCTTGGGTTCAGTACTAGAGTTCTCCGTAACCGTTCTCTTAATACCGCTTAATGCTGCGGTTCTCCCCAGGGCACATCTGGCAATGTCTACAGACAATTTTGGTTTCACAGCTTGGGAAGGGGGTGGTCCCATGTAGTGGGCGGACAGTGGGATGCTGTTTAGCACCCTACAATGCATAGGACATCCCCTCACCACAAAATGACCCAGTCCAAAAACACCAAGTGTCGAGGTTGAGAAACCGCGGGGTGGGGGGGGGGTTTGTTGTTTTTTTTGAGACAAGGTCTTACTCTCTTGTCCAGCCTAGAGTACAGTGGTACCATCTTGGCTCACTGCAACCCCTGCCTCCCAGATTCAAGCGAATCTCGTGCGTCAGCTTCCTGAGCAGCTGGGACCACAGGCATGTGCCAGCCACCATGCCCAGTTAATTTTTGTATTTTTTTGTAGAGACAGGGTTTCACCATGTTACCCAGGCTGGTCTCGAACTCCTGGGCTCGTGATCCACCCACCTCGGCCTCCCAAAGTGCTGGGATTACAGGTGTGAGCAACTGCGCCCAGCCTGAGAAATCCTGTCTTAACCTCATGGTGGGAATGCAAAGCGCCTATGACAAGGTGTTTCATCTCTAAGCTTCAGGCTCCTCACCTGTGAAACGGGCCCCTCCAGGCGAGGGTTCTTGGCTGTCACATATAACTAAGTGCTCTGGTTTGAACAGTCTCAATCTCCACTAAACCTGCAGGATTTGCATCCCACAGAACTTCTTATGATGATGGAGAACTGCCAAAACCTTCACATCACTTGGGTGCTCATATGAAGCTATAAAACCATCCACTGATTCAGAAGCTTAAACCGTGAGAATTAGATATTTCTAGAAGTAACCTTTAAGGTATGTTATTCTTTGCCTTATTACTGAATCCTAGAAAGGGCCAGGTTGCCTCTAAGAGGTTTGAATTTCCAATCTATTAGCATAATACCAGCAATCTGTGATTTCTAGGCCACTGAGGAAAGGTTAAAATGAAAATTGGATTTGGGGAGTTATATCTATTCTGAGTGCAGACTGAAAACTCAGCAGCAAGAAGCAGGTCAGGGTCTCGGGAAGCAGCAGTGATCAAGGGAAATGACTGGTGATAACTTTATTGATTAAAGCAGCTGGAAAAATTTAAGGTTTGCCACAGCCTGGCATTCAGCAGCAAGAGAGGTCCTTGCAGGCATTTTTCATTAAAAATAAAAAAGCCAGGAACAGAGAATTATTACCCTGTGCATAAGACACAGTTCATTTGAAATGGCCTTATCTTGAAATACAGCTTTAAAATGTCTACACATCCTGAGAGTCAAATAACGTTAGTGAGCATTTTAGGAAAATGGCAGGGTGGGGACGTTCGGAACATGCAGCTGCTACTCCACTGTCAAGGGGACAGGCAGAAATGTCATATGAGGGTAGGAGAGGATGATGATGTGGGAGGTAAATAAGACACAGCTTTGCCACATATGCTCGGAGCCACCAGAGGAAACAAGTCTTTCGCTCTCCAGGGCCACAGATGCTCAGGGTGGATGGCAGCGGCAGGGACCAAAGCCTCAAGCAGCCACGGTGACCCACCAGGAATCCACAGCCCCGCTCCCTCCCAGACGCACTGCCCCAGCATCCGAAAACGACAAACCCAGATTCACCAGACCCCCATGAGGGGTCTTCTTTCGGCGGTGAGGTGGGCTGTATCTCATTCGAAATGTGAAGGAAGCTGACTGTGAAAATAACTGAAAATGCCACAAGAAAAAGGCAGGGAGACCACCCAAGGTCAGACCATCCAAATATCACCAGCAATGCCATCTGGACAGCCAGTCTCGTCTCCTCCCCTCTCTTCCCTTCCCCTTCCCTCCTTCCTTCCTTCTTTCCTTCCTTCCTTCTTGCTTTCCTATTTTTTTTTTTTTGAGACAGGGTCTCGCTCAGTTGCCCAGGCTGGAGTGCAGTGGTGCAATCTCAGCTTGCTGCAACCTCAACCTCCTGGGCCCAAGCAATCTGCCCACCTCAGCCCCCCAAGTAGCTGGAACCATAGGCACATGCAACCACATCTGCCTTTTTTTTTTTTTTGCATTTTTTCTGTAGAGACGGGGTTTTTCCGTGTTGCCCAGGCTGGTCTCAAACTTTTGGGCTCTAATGACCTGCCCACCTCGGCCTCCCAAAGTGCTGGGATTTCAGGCGTGAGCCATGGCACCTGGCCAGGTCTTATTTTCCAGGCAGTGGCAGGGTTTTGTTTTTGTTTGGGTTTTGGGTCGGGGGAAGGGGGCTGTTTGAGATGGTTGTGATCATACCACTTATATTATTTTATTTTATTTTTTGAGACAGAGTCTCACTCTGTCACCCAGGCTGGAGTGCAGTGGCAGGATCTCGGCTCACTGTAACCTCCGCCTCCTGGGTTCAAGTGATTCTCCCACCTCAGCCTCCTGAGTAGCTGGGATTACAGGCACCTGCTGCCAGGCCCGGCTAATTTTTGTATTTGTAGTAGAGATGGGGTTTTGCCATGTTGGCCAGGCTGGTCTGGAACTTCTGACCTCAGGTGATCCGCCCTCCTTGGACTCCTAAAGTGCTGAGATTACAGGTGTGAGCCACCATGCCCAGCCTACTTATAAACTTTTAAATACTGATTTTTAAACTTAAAGCATTAGCCTTTCTCTCTATATATAAAACACATTATTTTGAGAATTTGTCTCTTAAATTCATCCTATGAGGGGAATACAAATATATACATAGTTGCTTATTTTTTAAATAAAAAAAGCTATAATATTTATAAAATATTTATAGCTTTAATATTTATAAACATGGCTACCTACCAGAGACAGGTAAAAACAAAATAGAAGGAAAAGAAGTTGGACTTCTTTGAATATGTCTTGCTTTGTGGATTTGATTTTAGAACCATATAAATGTTTTACATAACTACAAAACAAATGTAAATGTTAAGCCAATTCCCTAAACATCAAAATGAAAATGAATTCAAAGAGCGTCCACTTGGGGGAATACCACCCACAAAAAAGAATTATTCCCAGCAGCTTTAAATACAGTATTTTGGTCATAAACCTCTAGAGCAGGGGTGTCCGATCTTTTGGCTTCCCTGCACCATACTGGAAGAAGAAATGTCTTGGGCCACACATAAAATACACCAATGAAGGCCGGATGTGGTGGCTCATGCCTGTAATCCCAGCACTTTGGGAGGCCGAGGCGGGCGGATCACCTGAGATTGAGAGTTTGAGACCAGCCTGACCAACATGGAGAAACCCCGTCTCTACTAAAAACACAAAATTAGATGGGCGTGGTGGCACATGCCTGTAATCCCAGCTACTCAAGAGGCTGAGGCAGGAGAATTGCTTGAACCCAGGAGGAGGGGGTTGTGGTGAGCCCAGGCACCACTGCACTCCAGCCTGGGCAACAGGAGTGAAACTCTGTCTCAAAAAATAAAAAAATAAAAGAATTATCAAGAGATGCCAAAATTAGAACTAATGATCAGAAAGAGAATATTTACATAGTGTCAAAGAACTTTCCCACAAGATACTTATTAGGGTTGGATGCAGTGGCTCACGCTTGTAATCCCAGCACTTTGGGAGGCCAAGGCAGGCAGATCACCTGAGGTCAGGAGTTCAAGACAAGCCTGGCCAACATGGAGAAACCCTGTCTCTACTAAAAATACAAAAATTAGCCGGGCTTGGTGGCAGGTGCCTGTAATCCCAGCTACTCAGGAGGCTGAGGCAGGAGAATCACTTGAACCCAGGAGGTGGAGGAGGTTGCAGTGAGCTGAGATCATGCTATTGTACTCCAGCCTGGGTGACAGGATGAGATTCCTGCTCAAAAAAAAAAAAAAAAAAAAAAAAGGCTGGGCGTGGTGGCTCACGTCTGTAATCCCGGCACTTTGGGAGCCGAAGCGGGCAGATCACGAGGTCAGGAGATCGAGACCATCCTGGCTAACATGGTGAAGCCCCATCTCTACTAAAAATACAAAAACAAAAATTACTCAGGCATGGTGGCGGGCGCCTGCAGTCCCAGCTACTTGGGAGGCTGAGGCAGGAGAATGGCGTGAACCCAGGAGGCGGAGCTTGCAGTGAGCTGAGACAGCGCCACTGCACTCCAGCCTGGGTGACACAGCGAGACTCCGTCTCAAAAAAAAAAAGATAATTACTGAAAGGGACAAATAGCAATGACAGTAGAGAACTCTGGAAGACACCTCCTCAACAGGTGATCAGAGTTCACAGATAAAGGACACTAGGGTCATGACTGCTACATGCAACGTGTCCCCAGAAAGCCATGAGTGGGATGACTGGTGGTGTCTGAATAAGCTCTCTAGGTTAGCTAACCGCCTTGTGCCAGTGTTGATTTCCCGGTTTTATCACTGCTCGATGATGATGGGGAAGCTGCTGAACGGTACACGTGAACATTTTGTACTATGTTTGCAACTTTTTGTGAGTGTCAAGTTACTTCAAAATGAAAAGTTGAAAACAATTTTAAAGTGGTTATTAGTTGATAATTATTAAAGCACAGTGATGGGTACCTAGGAGTTCCCTGAGCTGCCCTCTCTACTGACATAGATATTTCAAATGTTCTATGATGGAGGGCTAAAAAGAGAGGCTCAGAAAACATAAAAACGACACACAAGTCACGGAGCTTCTTCAGATTGGATTCCAACAGATCAACGGTAAAAGAGCATTTCTGAGACAGTCAAGGAAATTTAAATATGGGTTGCTATTAAATAATACTAACAAAAATCACTGTTAATTTTTTAGGTGGTTTTAAAATGTTTATTGTGGTAAAATACACATTACATAAAATTTATGACCGTGACCAGAGTATTCAATTCACTGGCATCGAGCACATTCAGAACGTCGTGCCACCATCATCACTGTCCAGTTCCAGAATATTTTTCTTTTTTTTTTTTTTTTTTTTAAGACAGAGTCTGGCTCTGTCGCCCAGGCTGGAGCACAGTTGCACGATCTCGGCTCACTGCAATCTCCACCTCCTGGGTTCAAGCAATTCTCCCACCTCAGCCTCCCGAGTGGCTAGGATTATAGGTGCACACCACCACGTCTGGCTAATGTTTGTATTTTTAGTGGAGACGGGGTTTCACCATGTTGGCCAGGCTGATCTCGAACTCCTGACCTCAAGTGATTCACCCTCCTCAGCCTCCCAAAGTGCTGTGGTTACAGGTGTGAGCTGCTGTGCCCGGCCCAGTTCCAGAATATTTGTATCATCCCAAAAGGAGACCTCGTACCCTGAAGCTGCACTCCCCATTCCCCTGCACCCGACCCCTGCCAACCACTAATCTCCTTTCCATCTCTATGGATTTGCCCATTCTAGACATTTGCTATACATGGAAGAATACAATATGTGTCCTTTTGTGTTTGGCTTCCTTCACTTAGCATAATGCTACCAAGGTTCATCTACACTGTAGCATGTGTCAGAACTTCATTCCTCTTTATGGCTGAATAATATTCCACTGTATGGACATACCACATTTGGTTATCCTTTCATCAGTTGATGGGCAGGTATCTTGGCTTTTTTTACCTTTTGGCTATTGTGTATGGAGCTGCTATGAATATCTGTGTACAAGTTTTTGTTTGAACACGTGTTTCAGTTCTTCTGGGTATAGACCTGGAAATGGGTTGCTGAGTCATACGGCAAATTCTATGTTTAACTTTGAGGAACCACCAAGTGGCTTTCCGTGGCAGCATTGTCATTTCACCTTCCCAGCAGCAATAGAGAAGGGTTCCAATTTCTCTACATCCTTGCCAACACTTGTTATTTTCTATTTTTTTTTTTAACTATACAGTCATCTTAGTGTGAAGTGGTATCTCACTGGAGTTTTGATCTGCATTTCCTGATGAATGATGATATTGAGTATCTTTTTGTATGCCTGTTGGCCATGTTAGGAGTTTTAATGTATTGTATTTACATCCAAAAATCGTGATTTTTAAATGTCATGCTACAACATGAAAGGATACAATTGAGATTTGCTTTAAAATATGAAGCAAAAAAATAAGTAAATTTATTATTATCATTACTATTACTATTACTTGGAAATAGAGTCTCACTCTGTCGCCCAGGCTGGAATGCAGTGGCACAATTTCGGCTCACTGCAACCTCCACCTCCTGGGCTCAAGCAATTCTCCTGCCTCAGCCTCCTGAGTAGCTGGGATTACAGGTGCATACCACCACACCCGGCTAATTTTTATATTTTAGTAGAGACGGGGTTTCACCATGTTGGCCAGGCTGGTCTTGAACTCCTGACCTCAGGTGATCCACCTGCCTCAGCCTCCCAAAGTGCTGGGATTACAGGCGTGGGCCACCACACCCAGCCAGTAAATTTTTTAAAAGGAAAAAAAAGAGGATAGAAGAAAGGAATGTGGCAAAATCTTAACCACTGAAGCTGGATGATGGATATAATGGGGTGTCTGTATCATTCTCTCTACTTTTCTGTATGTTTGAAATCTCTAATAAAAAAAGAAATTCTGCCCTATGAAGCAAGGTAGTAAAAAGCCAGGTTATTTATTGCTGCAGTTCTCACTCATTCAAAACACAAACCTTTCCTTCTCAACAGACTAATGTGACATTTCCCAGGTGTTTTCTGGGGACTCCAGACAGCCTGCATCTTCTGACATCTCTATGGATCTCAGGGCAGGTGCAGGTGCAGTGTCTAGATTTTGGCAGCTTTGGGCCATCTTTCTCAAAGCACCATGAGGCACCAGTGTTCTGGACCGAAATGCACACAGGGGAAACATGCACCAGGCTTGACACCTGAGGGACCCCCAACCCATGCTTCTGCTGCCCACTTCTGAGGAGGCAGCAGGACAGCCTGGGGCAGCTGTGGACTCTGTTTCTTTTTTCTTTTTTTTAAAGAAGGAGTCTCACTCTATCACCCAGGTGGAGTGCAGTGGCATGATCTCGGCTCGCTGCAACTTCTGCCTCCCAGGTTCAAGCAATTCTCATCCCTCAGCTTCCCAAGTAGCTGGGATTACCAGGCATGCACCACCTCGCCCAGCTAATTTTTTTTGTTTTTCTGTATTTTTAGTAGAGATGGGGTTTCATCACATTGGCCAGGCTGGTCTCAAACTCCTGACCTCAAGTGATCCACCTGCCTCAGCCTCCCAAAGTGTTGGGACTACAGGCGTCAGCCTCCATGCCGGCTGCCCACTATTCCTTACAATCTTTCAGAAAACCTGCTGGAGGGGGCTGTGTGTTGGTGGCTCATGCCTGTAATCCCAGCACTTTGGGAGGCCGAGGCAGGAGGACGGCTTGAGCTAGGAGTTTAAAACCAGCCTGGGCAACATGGCAAAACCCCATCTCTATGGAAAATACAAAAGTTAGCCGGGGCTGGGCATGGTGGCTCACACCTGTAATCCCAGCACTTTGAGAGGCCAAGGCGGGCAGATAACCTGAGGTCAGGAATTTGAGACCAGCCTGGCCAACATGGTGAAACCCTGTCTCTACTAAAAATAAAAAATTAGCTGGTGTGGTGGTGCACACCTGTAGTCCCAGCTCATCAGGAGGCTGAGGCAGAAGAATTGCTTGAACCCAGGAGGTGGAGGTTGCAGTGAGCCGAGACAGCGCCACTGCACTCCAGCCTGGGTGACAGAGTGAGACTCTGTCTCAAAAAAAAAAAAAAAAAGTTTGCCAGGCGTGGTGGCATATACCTGTAGTCCCAGCTACTCAGTTGGGGTTGGCGGGGGGGGGGCCTGGTTAGTAAGGGGGTTAAGGGGGCACTGAGATGGCAGGATCGCTTGAGCCTGGGAGGTCCAGGCTGCAGTGAGCCATGACTGTGCCACTACACTGCACTCTAGCCAGGGTGACAAATGGAGACATTGGCTCAAAAAAAAAAAAAAAAAAAAAAGAAAAAGAAAAGAAAACCCACTGGAGGACGAAGCCAGACTCACTTAGGGTTGGGGTAGGTGTAGACAATAAAATCATAACCGATTCTTTTTCCTTTCTAAAATTTGGAAGTTTGAAAGGCAATCTATCCCAAAATAGTCAAAATATAAAGGTCGCAAAATGAGTGACTTTATTATTTCCTCCATATTGTTGTAATCTTGCTGTTACACTGTCTTGCCAGTGAGATATATTAACACACTGATAGGACTTGTCAATTCTTATCCTTTCAGAGAAGCAGCAAAAACTCAGGAAAAGCCGCAGGCATTTCTGCTTCTTGCTTTCATACTGAAAGTAACTTCACGGTTGAAACTATTCAGTGGATTTCGTTTGCTGTCTTCCCCCTCCTTCCCAGCCAGGTCAGCTTTCACAGGGAGCCCACGCTTGGCTGCCTGGCCAACCCCACAGGCTGCCTGAGTCCTGTAATCCATTCCAAGCTCCAGGGCCTCCCTGACGGGGCTGCCTCCCCTGACCCACTTCACAAGGCGCCAACCTACCTGGTGGGCTTCCACTCCTATCGCTTGCAGGGCAGACTTGAAAAACTCAGGAGAAGGCTTCCCCACCACCTCGGCTTTGATGCCACAGGCATACTGGGAAAAGAGAGAGGGACATGGCATAAGTTTGGGATCAAGGAACAGGTGTATGCCCAGCCACGGAAACACTGTCCCAAATGTGCCCCCAAGAGTCAAGGGCCTTGAAGAAGCAGGATGCTGTGGGCCTGAGAACTCATCTCACAGGCAGGAGCCTCACAACTCCAGAAAGGGCTGCCCGGGTCACTCAGGTCCCCTAGCACCAGGCACCCTGCCATCCACTCAAAGGCCTACCCACAGCAGAAGGCATCCAAGAGCTGGCAAAACTACAGGGCTCCCAAGGGCCAGCAGAGCAGTGCTCTGCTCACTCGCCTGCAATTCCGTCCTCTCATCCCTTCTCCCCCTCTTCTCCCCTGCCCACTCGCAGCTCATCACAGGGCTCCATCTGCTCGTCTGCCTCTCCCTCCCACCTGACGGCAGGCAGGCAGGAGGGGCTGCAGCTGTGAGGATGGGACGGGATGTGAGGCTGACCTGGGGCAGCTAATGGGACCTGGGCCAGAGTGGACCCAGGGGAGCCCCACCCGGAGGCCTGGCCACAGATGGCCTTGGAAACTGAAGGGGAAGTCAGGAAGGAGGCCAGTGAGGACCCGTCAAGCTTGAGGTGCTGCAGATGCCCAGGGTCAGGAATGAGAGCGGTGGTCAGCACTGATACAGAAGCCACAAGCCCGAGAGGAGTGTGGCAGAGAGCAGCTGGGAGAGCGGCAGGGTCCACGGCGGGCAGGGGGGGCTGCGCCCACTGGAGGATGGGGAGGATGGGGAGGATGGGGAGGATGGGGAGGATGGGGAGGATGGGAAGGATGGGAAGGGAGAGATGGGGAGGGAGGAGGACAGCTGAGGGCCTGAGGGCCCGAGGGCCCGGCCAGGGGAGCCCAGAATAGGAAGGCAGCCTTTGTGGAAGCCCAAAAGGCCATTTGTACGTTAATTAAGCACAGCCTCTTCTCAACAAAGACCCAAAAAGTCCCAGGTGCCCTGAGGTCTGAAGAGAGTTTGGGACAGAACCAGGGCTGGTACCTCAAGCGCCTTCATGTAGGGACCAACGTCCAGCATCAGGCCAGAGGTCTCCTTGTAGTAACGCCTAGGAGAGAGCAGAACGGAGCACGGGATGCTGAGCACGGGGAGCTGACCGCAGGATGCTAAGTATCGGGAGCTGAGCACCGGGCCTGTCCCGCTGGCTGCAGAGCCAAGCCGCGGCTGAGGGGCAGTCCAGGCGCTACGCTGAGAATGACCGCAGGGGACCAGCACCACAGAGCCGGGCGGCAGGCCGCCACACCCAGTGGGGCGAGCGCAGCAGCCAGCAGCTCCAGGGATGCCACAGGTCGCACAGAACGCAACCCTGCTGTCAGACTCGTGGGGACCCTGCTGCAATGATTAACAGGGGACCCAGAAGGCAGACGGTTTCAGTTGCTAACACAGAGAATGACAAGTGACCTGTGTCCTGGGAAGGAACAGCAGGTCCACGGGGTATGTGGCGAACCCCTAATTGCTAATAATTAACCCCTAATTGCTGGCTGAAGAAGAGAACTCCATTAGTTCCACAGCACCCTGCCGCATCCCGTTAGCCGGAGGTCAAGCGAGGTGCCAGGTTTCATGGGCGCCAGATGCTTTTATGAGAAGACAACTGTTCCTTCCCGTCTCATGGAGGTGGAGACAGGCTCTGCACGAGGGAGCATTCCTCTCTCAAAATGGCCTCACTGCTCTTTGAGCCCAGGGCTGGCTTGGTGGCTGGCTGCAGCCCGGCCAGGCTCACCCTACGATCGCGTCACACTGAGCCTCAAGGCACTCACAGTCCAGACACATGGTGGGCCAGACCTGGCTCTGGCTGAACTAAGCCAATTGACTACAATGAGGCGAGAAAGTGGTTTAACCTGCGCTGCTCTGAAGACGCAGTTCATTGAAAGCCAAGAATACACAAGGGGGCTTGATTCTTGGAACCACTAAAATGTTTTGCCATCCACCATCACATCAGTTTCCCTCTCCTCCTGCCATGCCCTTACGATATGGGAGACGTGGAGAAAGCACGTATGCAGAAAACGAGAGGGAAGAAGAGCGCATGCTGACTTGAGCATTCAGATCTCACTGCCTTCTAACGGTGTGACTTTGGGTTGCTTACGCCTGTGGGCCTCAGTTTCCTAATCTGTAAAATGGGCAAAACGAACAACAAACAATACCTACCTCACGGATTGCTGTGAAGCTTGAACAAAATAACGCATGCAAAGTTATTAACTCGGTACCTTCCATGCAGAAGCTGCCCAGATGAGACAGGAGAATATTATTATAAATAACCTTTCACCCAGGCTGACACAAGCAATAAGATGAGCTGGGGGAAGGAAAAAATGAACACAGCCCTGTTCAATTTGGGGGCTGAAATGTGTTCTGTGACCACCTGGGGTGTGAGAACTGAGCTCCTCGGGAGCTGCCCTGGGGCTGTGCCCTTCCTCCAGCTCCGCCACTCCTGGGCACCCTGCCTGTCCCTTTCTGCCCCACCTGATGCCTTGAAGCTGTAGCAGGCACCCAGCCACACCTGTGAGATGAACCGCTCACCCCTGTGCGTCCTCCACTGCCTGCCTCAGATGCTTCCCGGCTAAACTTACAAGCTGGGCTGCAGGTACGGGCTTCAGCCAAACCTGGGCCTTGCCAGGGCTGGTCCCCCTGCCACTCCTGTTAGGCAGCTTTGGAGCTTGGAGTCTGTTTGTTGAAGGTGTGGGCATCTCCTGTCATGACGTGGGCTTGGGACTCTCCACGTGAACCCCAGGCCTGTTCCACAGCCTCTGAGGCTCTGTGCTCTGGGGTCACGGCACAGGGATACAGGCTGGCTGGGATGCTGTGAATGCTCACAGAGGGGGGACCTGAAAATGCCCTCCCTTTTAGAGTGACCCCCAAAAACAGGCTTAGAAATCTCTAAGTTCATGTCTTAAACGCAGACTTCAAATGTATATTTTGCATTTACATGGCCTAAAAAAGTACTGCTTTTTCTTTTTCCCAGTTGGACAATCAGCTACTTTGGTCTGATGGTTTCCTTAGTGGGGTCCAGAGTTCTCAGGAAACAGTGAGGGGACACCGGGTCCTGGGGCCTGCACTGGCTGGTGCTGCAAATGGCCCAGGTTACCTTGGTCCCCCTTGGCATTAACGATCCCAGATGCTCCACAGCCCTTTGCAGGACTCAGGGATACTCCCAGCCCCAGCCTGCTCCACAGGGACTCACAGTCTGGTGGGGAAGCAAAGAAGCCCACAGACAAACTTTAAAGGGCAGGACCCAGGGGAGGGGCAGTCTGCTTGAACAGGGCGGGGGACAGGCTGGGTTCAGGGAGGCAGCAGAGGCATGGAAAGCTGAGACCTGAGCTAAAAGGAAGTGAAGGGGAGGTCCGGGTCCAGGGAGCACCTTGGAATCCACTGAGCACCCTGCTGAGGACCAGGGTGGCCACGCCACCACAGGCAAGGCCCTCTGCAGGCCCTCAAAGGCCATGACCCTCGTCCCCTCCTGCCCACCTGTGCCAGGAGAAGGAGGGCATCGAGGTGGGTAGGGAGGGCCTCCCTAATGAAGTGATGTGTGGAAGTAAGCCAGGACGGAGGAAAGAATATACCCCACACAGGAAATGCTTACCCAGCAACAAAAGAAAACCTGAAATCAACAAAACTACTCCATTGCGACAGGTACAGCTCTGTTTGGAGCTGAGGATTCTGGGGGCTTCTGGGCCCAGACCCCTGTCCCTCAGCTACCCTGGGGCCGGCTGGAGGAGCTAGAGGTTGGGTGGACGGGAGCAAGCACCTCCCATCATCTGGCAAAACCTCCTAAGGGGACCCACGCGGCGCCACTTCCTCTGGCCTCAAGTTCCCTGCAGCCTCTTCGAAAGCGAAAGAAACCTGGATTTTCTTATGTTTAAATTTAGTCCTGGATGGGATTTTAAAAAAACTGAACGTGCAACTGAAAATACACAATCAAAACCTTGTCTTTGCATGCTAATCTTTAGAGTCCAAGGAGAACACGAACTTCCAGAAATCAAAATGAGAAACTTTAACGTTTATTTTTTAAAAAACTGAATCTGGGCTTGATTTTATAGTGCCCAGAATTTTTCTTTATTCCTTATTCATTCAGAAAAACAAAAAGGCATCTTGAGGCCAACTGTTACCTGGAAACATTTTTTAGAGACAGAGCAAATATAAGCACTTAAAATTTTTTTTTAATATAAAGGCCCGGTAATCTCCACACACTAGAGATGCGACGTATTTCTCCTGTTACTGGTTACTGGTTTAACCCAGCCAACGGCAGCCCCACTTAGGACGTGAATGTTCTAGCCACAAAGAGGAACCCGTGGATGCTGGAAAGAAAGGGGGAAGCCCGGGAGGAGGAGTCAGATGCGATTTTATGCTTTATTCTTCTGCCGTTTCAGATTATTCAGCACAGCCTCCCTGCAAATGACCACTTGACCTTTCCCAGAAGAGCCGTTAACCTTCCATAGTCTGTCGGGTAAACAGCTTAATTTTCTGAGAGCGGCATGACAGAAGAAATTACAAAGCCAATTCCCACTCTGGGGTCCAAACAGATGCCAAATGTAAATCACTCCATTTCCAGGAGAGGGACAGTCTGCCCCGGCGCCTCCACCCGCTGCTCCTGCCTCCTTGGTGGGCACCGCTCAGCCTGTGCCCCTGTGTCCCGCAGTGCAGGATGGACCTCACCAGCAGTGACCCACAGCCGAGGACGGCATGGTGATGGCAGCTCTCGGGGGGTCCTCAGGCTGTCCTGAGAAGCTGGGACCTAGTCCCTAAAACCGCCGGTTCCTTTCTCTGGTTTTTAAACACCCAGAACCCCCATCAGCAGAGACGCCACTAATCTCCTACTTTAAAAAAACCCTTGTCTACTATGACATTTGCTGCGGTATTACAAAGCTGAAAGCGACTGCTTCCGGTTTTTTTTTTTCTTTTTCAACAATATACCTGTTCTGACTATTATTATCCATGATCTGGAATAGTGGTTTTTAATAATTATGAGACAACTTTTTTTCTTTTCTTTTTTGTAGAGACGGAATCTTACTATGCTGCCCAGGCTGGTCTCGAACCTCTGAGCTCAAGCCATCCTCTCATCTCAGCCTCCCAAAGTGCTGGGATTATAGGCGTGTGCCACGAAGCTCAGCATGAGACATCTTTAAAGAAAAAAGTGTTAACATTAACGAATTACAGCAGAGCTTCTTCATTATGCTTGTTCTCTAGTGAGGTGTTGGTGACTCAAAGGCCTAATGGGTCAGCCCGGGTAAATGAGTTAAGAGGCCAGGTTCTGTGGCTTGCTCCATAGCAGCGACCTAAATTGCAATGGGTGTAAGTTTAAAAAGGGACTACAAGGGTTAATTTAATATGTCAACTTGGCTGGGCCACGGTGCCCAGATATGTGGTCAAACATTATTCTGGATGTTTCTGTGAAGGTGTTTTTGGATGAGATTAACATTTAAATCGGTGAACTAGGAGGAGAGTACATTCCCTTCCGCAATGTGGGTGGACCACATCCAACCAGTTGCAGGCTTTACAAGAACAAAGACTGACCTTCCCCGAGCAAGAATCCCACCAGCACACAGCCTTACGACTCTGCTGCGCGCATTCCTGAGTCCCTAGCCTGCCAGCCCTGCCCTGCAGATTTTGGACTCGCCAAGCCTCCACAATCTCTCTACATATCTATATCCTGTAGCTTCGGGCTTCTCTGAGGAACCCTGACTACATACAGGACACATTTTATTTATATGAGAAACATACTAGAAATTTTTTGTCACTAAAAAAATCTTTTCATTTCTTGAAACATCTTTCACTTGTCCATTTTTGATAGAGACACAGCGTGAAGAAGTACTTCTCTACTTTGAAAAAAACAACAAATGGCACACGATCAATGACAACTAACTCTGTGGTCTGGAGACAGGGACGACAGGGAGGAGTGGGGTCTGCAGTAAATTCAAACTAATGGAGGCAGTGGCTCCAGCTATGGCTGCTGTGTGTGCAGGAATGTGAGGCTCCGTATTGTCAGATCTTCTGATTCTTCAAAAGAATCCAGAAATCTGGATATTTTGTGTAAAATATCCCCATTTTTAAACACAGCCTCAAAAATACATTTAAGGTTTTGTTGTTTTTTTCGAGATGGAGTCTTGCTCTGTCGCCCAGGCTAGAGTGCAATGGCGCAGTCTTGACTTACTGCAACCTCTGCCTCCCAGGTTCAAGCAATTCTCATGCGTCAGCCTCCCGAGTAGCTGGGACTATAGGCACGCACCACCACACCTGGCTAATTTTTGTATTTTTAGTAGAGACAGGGTTTCACCATGTTGGCCAGCCTGGTCTTGAACCCCTGGCCTCAGGTGATCTGCCCACCTTGTCCTCCCAAAGTGCTGGGATTACCGGCGTGAGCCACTGTCCCCAGCCCACATTTAAGGCTTGTGTGGGCAAAAAGTCTGCTCTAGAATGTAGCTTAGAGGTAACACGCACAGGGTCTGGGGTCAGCCACACCAACTGGCACTCCTGATCCTATCAGCACTCAATGGCTGGGGGACAGCAGCTTATTTCATCTCCTGTGGCTTCAACAACCCCACTTGCAAAACAGCAATGACCTGCCTAGATCCCACAAGGTTGTAGTCAGAATTACACAAAACGGGGTACACAAAGTGTGTGGCAGTGGCCAATGGCCAGATAAAAAGTCCCTCCCTGTCGGTTCCATCAGCTGGTCCCGTACAGCAAGCAGAGGCAGTGAGCGCTGTCACCAGAAGCAACGAAAGCACCGAAGATGGAAAACACTTCCTCCGCCACCGCCTCGGAATTCCCACACTTCATGAGATGCTGAGGTAGACACTCCAAAGTGTCCTTGCAACCCTGGGAGCCTGTGATTCTAGAATTCTAGCTGTGTAGAACCCTGTGATTCTAGAATTCTAGCTGTGCAGAACCCTGTGATTCTAGAATTCTAGCTGTGCAGAACCCTGTGATTCCAAAACTCTAGGCTGTGCAGAACCCTGTGATTCCAGAACTCTAGGCTGTGCAGAACCCTGTGATTCTAGAATTCTAGCTGTGCAGAACCCTGTGATTCCAGAACTCTAGGCTGTGCAGAACCCTGTGATTCCAGAACTCTAGGTTGTGCAGAACCCTGTGATTCTAGAATTCTAGCTGTGCAGAACCCTGTGATTCTAGAATTCTAGCTGTGCAGAACCCTGTGATTCCAGAACTCTAGGTTGTGCAGAACCCTGTGATTCTAGAATTCTAGGCTGTGCAGAATAAGTCTGTGCAGCTTTCTGGAAACAACTTGGCAACATGCCTCAAGAACCTCAAAAATACTCGTTCTGTAACTGTATCTGGAGACGTCATCCGAAATGCACCAAGATGCTCATCACAGCCCTGGTATGGTGAAAAACCAGGAACAATCTAGATGCCATCAGCAGAGATCAGTTAGAAAAAAATCATGCTTTCCAGCCCCGGACCTGGACCCTACAGCTGCAGAGATGTTGATGCCTAAGAAGAACCAGATTGCTATTTATGAACTCCTTTTTAAGGAGGGAGTCACGGTAGCCAAGAAGAATGTCCACCTGCCTAAGACCCGGAGCTGGCAGATGAGAATGTGCCCAACCTTCACGTCATGAAGGCCAGGCAGTCTCTCAGGTCCTGAGGTTGCAGGAAGGAGTTTGCCTGGAGACATTTCTACTGGTACCTCACCCACATGGGGATCCAGAATCTCTGCGATTACCACCATCTGCCCCTGGAGAGCGTGTCTGCTACCCCATGCCACAGCGGTCTGGAGACTGGCAGGCTGCGGCCTAAAGGTCTGGAGCGTGACCGACCTGCAAGACCCACAAGTGGGGAAGCCAACAGAGACACCCACAGACAGGGAGAGATACCCACAGACGAGGAGAGACACCCACAGACAGAGACACTCACAGGGACACTCACAGAGAGACACCCACAGACAGAGACAACCACAGACAGAGACACTCACAAAGAGAGACACCCAAAGACAGAGATGGACACCCACAGATGGGAGAGATACCCACAGACAGAGAGAGATACCCACAGATGGCGAAAGACACCCACAGACAGAGAGAGACACCCACAGACAGACAGCCATAGAGAGAAAGAGACACCCACAGATGGAGTGCTGTCCCCCTGGTGCCAGTGAGAAAGCTGAGGCTGGGAATGGGTCAGCAACCGAATTTCAGTTTACAGGCGTATTTGGTCGTGGACATGGTCAGCCACCTCAGTAAAACTGGTGAGGGTTATTTTGCATTGAATAAACTTATAAGCAGAAAAAAAAAAAAAGAAAAAAATTACAAGAGGTTGGGGGCGGTGGCTCATGCCTGTAATCCCAGCACTTTGGGAGGCCAAGGCGGGCGGATCACAAGGTCAGGAGATTGAGACCATCCTGGCCAACATGGTGAAACCCCGCCTCTACCAAAAATATAAAAATTAGCTGGGATGGTGGCGGGCGCCTGTAGTCCCAGCTACTCAGGAGGCTGAGGCAGGAGAATCGCTTGAACCCGGGAGGGAGAGGTTGCAGCGAGCCGAGATCACGCCGCTGCACTCCAGCCTGGGTGACAGAGCGAGACTCAGTCTTAAAAAATATATATATATACAAGATAGCCACACCATAGATAACCATGCCCCAAGACATATCCATTTGCTGCATGCTAAGTCAGTCACAAATATTGTTTGGTGAACAATAAAAAACAGATGACAAAACAAGGTCAAGTGTGACATCGATGCTGTGAACATCTCCATCCATAATAGTCTATTCGCACAGGAAGCCACTTGCAAGGACATACACCAAAATAGGGACAGGTGTTTTCCTCGTGCAGTGGGACTAAAAATACTTTCTGGTTTCTTCTTTTGCTCATCTGTATTGTCTAATTTTTCTTCAATGAACATGTGCTATCTCAGTGTAAGAAAAATGTTAAAAATAACCAACACTGTTTTGTTTAAGAAAGAGATGGCAAGGCATGTGCTAAAGGCTCAGACAAAACACTGATCACAAAATCACAACTTCACAGAGACAGTGATCTGTGGCCAGAGACTGTCGGTGCCCAGACTGGGTAGGCCCTCAAGCCTATGTTTTACTAATTAGACAACCCTTGAGAGCATTCTCCAACACCCTGCTACATCCTATGCAAATGCACCTTCTCCTTCTTTGCTCTAAACTTGGGACAATCAACACTTGGCCTCTGAGATCTCCAGAGGGTCTCCCTCTGCAATGACGCCCTCTTCTAGTCTAGACTCCACATGGAAGCTTGATCAACCAGCTCCTGAAGACAGTGTTCCTATTTCCTAAAGAAATGATTAAAGGAGAGGAATAAAGAAATGAAGAGAGAAAGCATGAAAAAGGGAGGGAAAAGAAGATCACCGGTGCTCCTCCCACCTCCCCTTCTGCATCCTTCTCTGCCTGATTCCGCAAGTTGGAGACTGGCACAGCATCATCTAAAGCACCGAGAAATGACTCTCCCTGGAGCCAACTTACCCTTTTCCCAGTGATATGAGCACAGGTTTTTCCAGCTCCATGAGCACCTGGAAGGCGTTATTCATGTTTTGATAAGAAAAGCTTTCTCCTGCGTCTGCAATTACCACACAGTTTGGGTTGGATGTGTCGATCTGATCAAATTCTGAGCGGACTCCTGGAAAGAGAGAGAGAGACAGAGTGCCACGGAGCCCTGGGAGGACATGGCCTACCTCCCCATCTCCTACCAGGGACACCTTTCACATGTCCTCCCCCTTTCTCAGATGCATTTCTTTCTGATCATCACAGCTGCCATGGGAGGTAGACACAGAAGGGTTATTCCTATTTGACAGAGGAGGGAATTCGGCTCCTCAGAGAGGGCTTATGAGGAGAAAGGTGGACACACCCAGGACCCTCCATCCCAATACCACATCAGCCCCAGGAGCTCCCTGAGGTCACTATCGCAGGCAGGAAACCCACAGCTTTGCTACTGAGAAGGGAAATCTGCTCAGAAGACACTGAGAGCCTGCAGCAGGAGGAAATGGGGCTGCACAAGCCTTGGAGGGTTGGCACTACTGGTCCCAAACTGTAAGAACCGTTGACACATTTCAGGCAACCCCACACATATGTCCTGAAGAAAAAGCAGAATTCCATCCCCACAGGTCCAGTTCACCAGCTCCCTTAGGAAACTCTCTTCCTCCTTCTCCTTCTTTGTCTTCCCCCATTTTAAATTAAAATAGGAAAATTTGCAAGGATACATCAAATCATTGGATCTGTGTTTTCAGATCCTAGAAGAAACATGCTGTCATCTCTCTTAGGACTAGATGTTGACCTTTCTAAATTGAAAAGAAACTGAGGCCAGGTGCGGTGGCTCATGCCTGTAATCCCAGCACTTTGGGAGGTCAAGGTGGGCGGATCGCCTGAGTTCAGGAGTTCGAGACCAGCCTGGCCAACATGGTCAAAATCCCATCTCTACTAAAAATACAACAATCAGCCCGGCACGGTGGCGGCCGCCTGTAATCTCAGCTACTCAGGAGTCTGAGGCAGTAGAATCACTTGAACCCGAGAGGCAGAGGTTGCAGTGGGCTGAGATTGCACCACTGTATTCCAGCCTGGGCAACAGAGCGAGACTCTGTCTCAAAAAAAAAAAAAAAAAAGAAAGAAAGAAACTGAAATACACAATGAGATACGATTTCATACCCACCAGAATGGTGAGAATTAAAAAGACTGATAACACCAAGGTCTGGTGAGGATACTGAACAGCTGCAGCAGATGGAGGACGTGTAAAATATTGCAATCCCTCTGAAAAAAAGGTCTGGCAGAATTTTACAAAGGTGAACATACATGTACCCTATGACCCAGTAATTTCGCTGCTAGGTATTTACCCAAAAGAACTGTGTAAGAATGTTCATAGCAGATTTGCTCATAATAGACTGAAACTGGTCACAATCCAGGTATCAACAACATGTGAATGGATAAACTGTGGTCTGTTCACTCAATGGAATACTATTCTGCAATAAAAATGAACAACACTGCTGATACATGCAATAATATGGATGAGTCTCAAAAACATTACGTTGGGTAAAAGAAGCCTTACACAAAAGACTACTGTGACGGAAAGGGTTAACTCAGCAGGACTAGGTTGCTCAAACCCTGTACATTCCAAAAAAGGCCTGTCTTCAGGACTGGCTCCTGGGAGATAACCTCTGAGCCACTGCAATGTTCTACCTGATAAGGGGTTTTGTATGCTCAAGGCCTCGGGCCCTGCTCTCTCAGTCTGACCAGATCATTTACGCTAACAGCTTGGCTTACAGTGAACACCTGTTTCTGTATCCCTGCGGCCCTGGCCCAGCTGTATCAGTTTGGACTCTGTGGGGCTGGAGACTGAGTCGCTAAAGTCAGTCACACAGGTGCTAATGTCTACACAAAAACCCTGGACACTGAGGCTCCAGTGAGCTTCCCTGGTGGCCAATGCTTCCCATGTGTTGTCACACATCATCGCTGGGAGAATCAAGTGTGCCCAGTAGGACTCCATTTCGAAGGGACAACTGGAAGTTCATGCCTGTCTTCTCCTAGACTTTGCCCCATGTGTCTCCTCTCTTCGCTGAATTTAATCTTTATTCTTTCACAGTAATAAGTCTAACTGGGAGTGTAATACCTTTTCTAAGTTCTGTGAGTCCTGCTAATGAATCATTCAGCCTGGGGGTAGCACTGGAGGCCCCAGCACAATTATATACTGTATGATTCTATTTACATAAAATTCTAGAATAGGAAAACTTATTTATAACGGAAAAAATCCAAACAGTGGTTGCCTCTAAGGGGACAAGGGGTGAAGACCACCTGGGCAAGGTGCGAGGTAGCTGTCAGAGCTGTCAGTGATGGTGATGGTCTAGCTCTTCACGGGGTTGGGTTCCATGGGTGCATGCATATGTCAAAACTCAGCAAAAGTACACTTGACGTGTGTACATTTCATTGTATGTAAATTTTACATCAAACAGGAAAAACCGTAAACAAATACCAAACTCCAATGATATGCTGAAGTGTATAGGGGAGTATACCCGTGTCTGCATTTTACTCGGAAATGCATCTAAATAATAACATGGATAGACAGACGGAGGGATGGATGGATATAAAGTGAAGAAAATATCAAAAAATGTCATTGACAATCTAGGTGAAGGGTATAAAACTATGCCAAGTAAGACCGGAGGCGGTGGCTCACGCCTGTAATCCCAGCACTTTGGGAGGCCAAGGTGGGTGGATCACCTGAGGTCAGGAGTTTAAGACGAGCCTGGCCAACATGGTGAAACCCCATCTCTACTAAAAATACAAAAATTAGGCGGGCGTGGTGGCACACACCTGTAACCCCAGCTACTTGGGGGGCTGAGGCAGAAGAATCGCTTGAACCAGGGAAGCGGAAGTCACAGGAAGCCAAGATCACACCACTGTTGTACTCCAGCCTGGGTGACAGAGCAAGACTCTGTCTCCAAAAAAAAAACCAAAACTATTCCAAGTAAAAATTATTTGAACTTTGTTGGATGCTTGAAAATTTTCATAAAATGTTAGACAGAAAATCCACCAATGACTGAAAAAAAAAATTCCAAGTCTGAAAACAAGGGTCTAGTTATTGAAAACACGGATGCAGGATTACAGCTGAGGAAGGGCATTCATCCTCCCTTCAGCCTCCCAGCTTTGCCGTCTGCTTGTCTGATTCACTGGCCAAGGCCACCCTCCAAGCGGATGCCCACTTCCCTCTCCTGCTGGCTTCTTCCAGCTCCACTCCCGGGTCCAGCAACCCTTTTCTGGAGGGTGGGGCAAGATATTTTTCTTAAATCTTCTTTCTTTGAAGACCATGTTCTAAAGGCACTAGCAGGGATCCTAGATTACAGAGAAGGAATTTTGAGAAACATGATTTCTAAAGGCCAGGCCTGTCACCCTTAACTGGCACCAGGGCTATGAAGTCGACATCTAGGCTTTCCAGGGAGCACCCGCCACTTCTTGAGAGCCCCCACCTTGCCCTGGAAAGGAAAAAACCATGTTTGCCTCTGCCTAGCAGTTTGTAAAACTAAAAATATCAAGTGCAGAGGAAGGAAGAAGGTGCAGTGGACCAATGGAGAAGTGTCTGGAATTGCTAATGTCTCTTCTTTTTAAATATTCAGGAGGCACCAGTAATATTGTTCCTTCTGCTTCATTCCAAGAAAACCTCCCCACTGAGGGTCAAAGGGGCTGTCTGTTCTTGCATTCAGACTAAAATCAGGATGCAAACCTTGTTCCTACGCCATTTGCAAACTGTTCCAAAGAGCAGGGCTGGTTTTCACATAGTTGAAGGCTATGGTGCCAGACGTTAGAAGCTATGGACCTCAATGTAGCTTCTCATTTATATTCATTCATTCTCATTCTCATTTTCTCTCTCTCTCTCTCTCTCTCTCTCTGTCTCTTTCTCAACAGGAGCTAGAACTCCGCCACCTTGACAATTCCCTGGCCGCTTGGTCCATCCTAGATCAGGAAAGAGAGCCTAGGATTTTCCTCCCAGGAGCCATCCAGAACCTGCTCTAAGGACCCTCTGGTGTGAGGCCAAGGAATGGACAGAGCTGGGTCCTAACCTGCCCCCAGCCCCCAGCAGGAAGTCCCATGAGGTTTTTACCCCCAACCCATGAGTGTTGGTGGCCTAGCTCAGTCAGTGGTTTGGCCCAGTGAAAGAGGCTCTCTGCACAGCCCCCACCCTGGGAAAGGGGAGCTTTCACCCCCGTGAGGTCCTGGTGTCCGACAGGCCTACCGTCATGGATGAGCAGGTATGGTCGCAGGCCTTGCTCCTTCAGGATCTGGCAGGCAGCTGGTGCCGGGGCGGTCACCTCCTGCTCAGAGATGTCAAATCCCAGCCTCTGAAGCTGCCCCACCAGCTCTGCCCGGGACTTCTGCGACTCGTTGGTGCAGAACCTCACCTTCAGCCGGGAACGCTTCAGTCTGCGGCAGGGGAGACACAGGCCCGGGAAGTCAGCACGTGGAGTGTTGGGCCTCTGAAGGAGGTTGCGCGGTGATTCTCGAAGGGCATCCAGCAAAGCCCAGAGCAGACTAGGCCACTGCGAGCCCCTGAGGGGGTCCTGGCTGATCCAGGATGTGTTCAGGCTGGGATTTCTGAGCTGAAGCAGATCCCTTCTCAGAGGACCCCCATACCACGCCCCGACAACTCTTTTCCATCCTCACTGGACTTCATACACCTGAGGCTCCCCGAGGTTCCCCACCTGACCCCCCTTTTCATTGCCTCTCCCCTTGCCTGGAATGCAACTCTGTCCCCCCGCCTCTCTACCTGTGCCACTTCTTTATTTTTTTTATTTCTTTATTTTTGAGATGGAGTCTCGCTCTTGTCGCCCAGGCTGGAGTGCAGTGGCATGATCTCAGCTCACTGCAACCTCCGCCTCCCAGATTCAAGCGATTCTCCTGCCTCAGCCTCCAGAGCAGCTGGGATTACAGGCGCCTGCCATCATACCTGGCTAATTTTTTGTATTTTTAGTACAGATGGGGTTTCACTATGTTAGCAAGGCTGGTCTCGAACTCCTGACCTCAGGTGTCCCAAAGTGCTGGGATTACAGGTGTGAGCCACCGTGCCTGGCCCACCTGCCTGGCCACTTCTACCCAGCCCCTGAGATCCATGCAATACCTCCTCTCCACAATCCTGCTCAGCCTGGCTAGGGGCCACCTCTGAATGTCCACAGCTATTTCTCTGTCCCTTTCCACCACATTTGGCATTTCCACTTGCAAGTGAGCTGCACACGTCCACGCCTTACTAACTCTGGATCCATACTTCCCAAAAAGTACAAAGGCAGATGGCCCGAGACAGGTTTGTCTTCTCATCACTGTCAATGGAGAAAGGTTTGCCAAAGTCATCAGGGACACCAACATTCCGGGATGGACAGACAGGACGTGGACCCTGCCCAAACCCAGCCTGGAGGTCTCATGAACTTCAGGATGCTGCCACTGGCCGGCGGCACCGAGCTTCTTCCCTCCTGACTTCATAGGAGACCCGCGAATCCAGGCTGCACCTGGGCAAGTTCTCAGAACGCACCAAATGAAGTAACATCCACCCTTCTGCAAACTGTCACTGAGCGCCTACTACGTGCCTGGCACTGGCCTGGTGCACAGAGCTGTAGTCGTGAGCATGGAAAAGTTCCCTGATCTCCAGGCCACCATCCAGGTTGGAATAGGAGGAGGTTGGAATAGGAACAAGAGACCCTGCAAAGGAAGGGCAATTTGTGACTGAGAAGAGAGAGACGCTATGCAGAATATAAACAGGGTGAGCAGACAGAGGGTGACAAGGTGGGGTAGGAAGGTCAGGGGAGGCCTCCCTGGGGAAGCAAGAGAGAGGGCCAGGGTGTGGTGCTTCTGTGCAGGGAGAGGAGGCTGGAGGACCTGGCGCCCACCAGGAAGGGACCCGAGCGTGCTAGAGGAACCTACAGAGGCAGGCGGGGTGGGTCACTCAGACCTGGGGGGAGGGTGACAGGCAGGACCTGGCTCCCTCGCCAAGATCACAAGATCCCTTCCTGGACAAACCGGCCCCAACAAGGCAGCGGTCATATTTGACATCTGCATGGAGCTGCAGTGTGGACTCGTGGAAAAGACATCAAGCTGCAAGCCCAAGGGCCGGGAGGCACTTTTAAGAAACCCTAGTAAAATTAATCAGCCATGCTAATTGCATCTGGCACTGTTCTCAGACAGGTCCCGAAACACACACATTCCACTGATCTCCAAAGATGCAGACATCTTGGCTCTTCACCTATTCTTTCAAGTTGTGTATTTTTTATAACCTAAGCAATAGTGTTAAATGAATAATTTAAAATTTATAGAAAACACACATAGAGAGGAGGCATGTGCTCAAGTTCTGTTTACAGATGTGGCCCAATGAAATGAATACACGCAGATTCAACCCAGTTACTAGAACTACGGCTTGAAATCAACTTCCATCTGAGCAAGTGAGACCCAACTAAAAACTCAACTCAAACTGAACCCAGTGTGAATGTAATTTATCCATGTTATGGGTGAGGGACTGAATCCCAGAAATGTCAAGGGCTTTCTGTTCCGCTCTTGAGCCTGAGACTTTGGAGATGGAGCTGATATCTACACACAGTGGAGTCAGGAACAGGAAATCAGCACTCCTGGAGCTCTCCCACATAGTGGGGAAAGGACACAGCCCAGTGTGGGGTCTTAAAAGACTGGGGATTCAGGCCCAACTGGAGACCTGAGGGACGGACAAGGAGATGGCAGGAAAGGGCAGGCCAGGTGGTGGGAAGGGCCACCCACCTTGCGCACAGGCAGGTGTGCACTGGCCCCACCCTCTCGGATAGAAAGAACTCGAGCAGCGTGGGGTATGTGGAAGGTGGAGCCAGGAAATGAGGCTGGAGTGGAGGACCACTGAGAGGGCAGATAAGGCAGAGCATGGTGGCTCAGTCCTGTAACCCCAGCACTTTGGGAGGTCGAGGTGGGTGGATCACTTGAGGGCAGGAGTTTGAGATCAGCCTGGTCAACATGGAGAAATCCTGTCTGTACTAAAAATACCAAAAAAAATTAGCCAGGTGTGGTGGCGGGCACCTGTAGTCCTAGCTACTCGGGAGGCTGAGGTAGAAGAATCTCTTGAACCCAGGAGGTGGAGGTCACAGTGAGCCAAGATCAAGCCACTGCCCTCCAGCCTGGGTCACACAGTGAGACTCTGTCGCAAAAAAAAAAAAAAAAAAAAAGGGGGCAGATAAGCCAGGCACGATTCCCCACCAGTGAGAGAGGGCCCCAAATACAGCCATGAGTGGTAGTGACAGCTACTACAAAAAGGTGGCAGGACTCAGGCCAATGTCCCTTCCTCCCACCATCCAGTGTGCCATTGCCTCCGCCCTGTCTCTGTCAGTTTTTGTTTGTAACACTAACCAGTGTCTCCAATCATCTGATTTACGCAATTGTCTTTCTCACTGGCCTACGAGCTCCAGGAGTTCAGGGATGAATCTATTCGGGTCTCCACGGCATCCCCAGGGCTTCCCACAGGGCTTGGCACTCCACAATCCCCCATTAACATTTGCTGAATGACTGACTGACTGAGAAGTCTAAATGACCTCACCCACTACTTCCCTGAGGGTGTCCTGAGCCTGCAGCCTCCTTATAACCCCCAACAGAAACAGACAGGCTTCAGTGGTGAAAACACATGTTTCTGCACTGAAATGAGCCTCCAGACCCCCAGCCCTGGAGCTGACAGGTGCAATTTAGGAAGAAATCTGTAGATCTGCTGACCACATAGTGAATGCAGACCAGAGGCTGGCAACGTCTTCTTCAATAGGATGGGTGATTCATTCCTTTCTTATTATTTGTCTTTCCTAATCAGAGGTTTATGAATTATCAATTACACTTAGTGGTTAATTGCCCTTCATAAAGATAGTTTTATTTTTAAATTAGGCAGTTAATATATTGTAACTAATAGCGTCACCTTGTACATTATGGATAGATCTCCATTGATTGGCACCTGGAACGTGTGATTTGCACCCAAGTTAATGGAGCAGTTGAGTGAAGAAGTGCAGGGGGTCCCCTGGGACTAATTATTGCTAATGAATGATGATGTGACCTTCTCAGAACAGTGAGCAATCGATGTGACAGTGAGATGACAGTGCCTCACATCTGTTATTCCAAACACAACTTCAGATGTGGATGAAACATGAGTAAGTCACAGAACTCACTTTGGGACTCTTAAGCCACTGGCCTCCTCTGAAATAGCAATATAAGTTCATTCAGCCTATATGCTCTTATAATATCAAGTGCTAGTTTTAGAGACGAAATCTATCCCTGAAAAATCGGATGTGAAATGCTGGGGTAAGTCCGCTCCCATTGGGTTCTGTCCTTCTGCGCCCCGGACCACACCCCCCTTTGAGCCGTCACCAGAGACCCATTCTGACCACCAGGGACCAGCCCCAGGTTGCCTCTTCCTTATTTTAAATTACTGAAAATAAAGAAAGTAGGCACTATTGTTTAAAGAGTAAAATATTAATACAACATTATACTGAGCCTTGCATCTGGGTAAGGACGGTGGTGTCACTCAGGATCCATGATCTGATTTTGTCCTCGTGCCCAAGGTATTTGCTGTCCCTAATGGACATCCCCAAGGCCCAGGTGCCTGGCTGTCAGGTGGCCCTCAGTAAGTCGTACCCACTGGGTAAACGAGCCTATGAGGCAAGAACCATTATCTCCACTCTAGAAAGGAGAAGATGGAGGCCCCAGGAGACAGAGACCTGACCAAGGTCACACAGCTTGTAAGCAGCAAGGCCTGTGAGCCCAGATGGGGAGTCCTAACCCCCAATGTGACTGCATCTGGAGACAGGGCCTTTGTGGAGTAATTCAGGTGAAATGAAGGCATAAGGGTGGGACTCCCACATGACAGGATCAGTGTCCTAGGAGGAAGAGACACCAGAGAGCACCCTCATGAATGCACAAAGAGGCCATGTGAGCACACAGCAAGCCGGCACCTGCTTACAAGCCCAGAAAAGGGGCCTCACCAGAAACTGGCCATGCCGACCCCCTGATATCAGCCTTCCAGCCTCCAGAACTGTGAAAAAATAAACGTCTGCTGTTGAAGTCCCCAGTCAATGGCACTTGTTATGGCAGCCCAGGCCGACTAGGACAGCTAAGGAAGCAAACCCTTGTCATCCCTCCGTGGGGCCTGCCACCAGATGTCACAGACTAAGCCTTGGGAGGCATGAAGTACAAGAATTCCAAAATATCAGGAAAGCCCTAGTCAGGTGCGGCTCCAGGACCCCAGCAAGGCTTGCAGAGAGCTGTACAAAGAGCCCCTGCAAAGAAGGACAAGCCCAGCTCTGGGATGGGCTGTTCCCACCCCACCACCCAAGAACCTTGGGGAAAGGGGCCTTCTGCAGGGTCCTGGCTGCCAGATAGCCCCTCTGAGACCATGGCCCCCACCTCAGCACGCTGCCTCCTCCCCAGGAGTCCCATGGGAGTGGGGATTTGCTCCCACTTCCTGTAGCCAAACTGGATCTTTTTTTTTTTTTTTTTGAGACAGAGTCTCACTCTGTCAGCCAGGCTGGAGTGCAATGGCACAATCTCAGCTCACTGCAACCTCCGCCTCCTGGGTTCAAGCAATTCTCCTGCCTCAGTCTCCCGAGTAGCTGGGATTACAGGTGCCCACCACCATGCCCGGCTAATTTTTATATTTTTAGTAGAGACGGGGTCTCACCATGTTGCCCAGGCTGGTCTTGAACTCCCAATCTCCAGTGATCCACCTGCCTCGGCCTCCCAAAGTGCTGGAATTACAGGCGTGAGCCATGGCACCCGGCCTGAGCCACCGCGCCTGGCCCAAACTGGATCTTTGAACTGACCTTTACCTCATCTCAGCAGGCCAGGACGAGCCTCTGAGTGACAACATCGCCCGGGGCAATTACCGTGCATCAGATGAACCGGCCCTTACAAATCACCTCGGACTCTCCACATCTGCTGGCTGTTGGCATCTGCCAGGAGCGCTCACCCGCAAATAATGAAAACCCTCTCATTACTGTTCCACAGCAGGTAAACTGTTAGGACAATTATTGGACATCCTGAGTGACCTTGGGACAGCTCAATAGCTAGCCCTCTGGGGACCGCCGAGGGTCCTGAGGCTGGAGGGAGAATGGGATCCCTCGGAGGGGAGACTGGGCAGGCAGCAGGGGGCCTCAGGAAAAGGGCAGCATGAGCCCCTCCCAGCTGGGCCCCCTGCCCTCTAGCCCCGGTACTGGTCACCTTCGTGTGACCCAGAGGCCCTCATAGCACCCTGAGTCTTTGCTTTCATGCTCCCCTGGGGCCTGACCCTGATCATCCTACAAAGCAGGGTTCATACACCTCTTCCTCCTGGAGGCCCCACAGCCATGCACCCAGCCAGATCCCATCCTCCGAGCTGCGCCCACACAGCCCTTGGTGCTGCTCTGGTCCTGACATCACCACCTCCCTCCTCCTGCCTCCTCTGCAAGCCCGGGGCTTGGGAGGGCAGGGTTTTGTCTGCTCAGCACCTCTGCCATGCCTGGTGCCCAACCACAGTGGAGCCAAGATCAGCACCTGGGGGCACCCTGGCGCAGGACCAGCCCCATCCTCAGCAACCAGAGCCTTGGTTTACCAACAGAGGAGTCACCCCAGCATCTCCTGTGTAGGGATGAGGGGCAGTGAGCACCCAGGCCAGGGTCTCGGAGGCCACAGAGGGGCCACCAGGTGCTCAGGAGGACATAGGGCTGCAGGGAATCCTCGGGGGCAGTGTCATCAAAAGGCTCAGTTTGGCAGCTCATAGGTCAGAAGGGCTGCCTGGCCCACAAAGTGAGGCTGGAATTTGAGAAATGTCAACTCGTGCATTCACAGGGGCCGAGACTGGCAGGCAGTGACTGGCCCTTTCCTGCAGCAACTTTGCCAGATGCTCTCTAGAATCCTGCCCAAAATCTACCGGGCACAGTACCCAGTACCCAGCACAGTAGGTGCTTTACTGGGAGAAGCACCTAACTGACCCAAGTTCCAGATCTGACGGGCCCACTTGGTAATGGAGAAATTCACAGCCAGAGGAAAGGGGTGTGGAGGCAGCAGGGCAAAGGGGTGGAGGGTTGGTTCCCAGGGAGTGGGGTTGGGGGGCAGCGCTCCCCCACATCAGGCTTCAGCCTCCTAACTCCCAGCCTGCTCCTGCCTCTGGGGCCACATTGCAGACATCACCTGGTGTGCTGGAGGGTCCCTATTACTACTGAAATGGGAACCAGTGCAGAGAAATACAAGCTCAATGCCTCAGTTTCCTCAGAGAGGGGAAAGGACATTGACCACCCCCTTCCCCGGGGGTTGTAGTGAAAAGAGATGCAGGTGCAGCACCAGCCCCAGGCCCTCAGCAATGCCACTGGCATGAAATGTTTTTGTTTTGAGACAGAGTCTCACTCCGTTGCCCAGGCTGGAGTGCAGTGGCACAATCTCAACTTACCACAACCTCTGCCTCCCAGGTTCAAGCGATTCTCCTGCCTCAACCTCCCGAGTAGTTGGGACTACAGGCGCGTGCCACCATGCACAGCTAATTTTTGTATTTTTAGTAGACGGGTTTCGCTATGTTGGCTAGGCTGGTCTTGAACTCCTGACCTCGTGATCCGCCAGTCTCAGCCTCCCAAAGTGCTGGGATTACAGGCGTAAGCCACCGGCACCCGGCCTTGAAATGTTTTTAATAACGGGGCCTCTGGGCAGTGCTAGCCACTGTCTAATTTTCAGATCTTCAGTCGCTCCCCTTTTGGAAAGCAATGGAGATTGAACACGCATGTTTGGAGAATTGAAACCCACAAGGTGCTGATTTCCTCCAAAAATCCAATTTTCCAAAACAGAAGGTCAAGCAGGAGCCCCGTAAGCAGAGCAGAGTTGTTTTTTCAATAGAAAAATACAGTTATTCACATATGCCCCGGGGACGCCCACACTGATGTGCGCATGAGCCCACCCCGTGCCCTGCACCATGAAGCACACCAGCTTGGGCTGGGGGACCACCTGCAGGTAGGAGCAGCAACAGATCGGCATCTGTCCCCTGGGCGTGGGGTCTGGCTTCCCACCCTGGCGCGCGCACCAGGCTGGTGGAGTCTTGGAACCCGAGCCATAAACAGTGATGGGTGATGGTGGTGCCCAGCCTTCCAGCTCTCCAGGGCTGCCATGAAGGAGACGAGGTAAAGGCTGGGCACAGCAGAGATGCCACGGGCCCCTGGCACAGGGCACGGCCTCACACTGGCTCCAGCTGAGCCTCCTGCACTTGCTCCTCCTTCCAGCTGACCGGCCAGGGCAACAGGTCCACTAGACGCTGTTGAGCACCTGCACAGAGCCTTGAGTCATCAGAGTCCAAAGTTTGAATGGAGAGAAGAGACACAGTGACGCAGGAGCTGGGACCTAGCTGGGCCTCCTGGTCTGGGTCAGCTGGGCAGTCACCTTAGCGGGACGGCAATGAGGTCAAGCTGGGGCCGGCCCCCAGCTAGGGCACTTATAAAACACGCAGCACACCCTCCCGTACCTGCGCCTCCTCACCTGCCGGCAGAACTCCCATCTAGAGTGTTCTCTGAAGTGCCTGTGCCACGGAGCCCAGATCACAGGGACATGTTGATCCCACAAGCATCGATGTCCCAGGAATCAATAAACGCAATTTAGAATGAAGTACATGGGAATCGGCAGCCAGAGACTTTGGAGACCACACAGCCCGAGTGTCTCATTTCACAGAGGGGGATACTAAGGCCCAGAGGGACAGGAAATGCCTCGTGGCATGTGGGGGTGAGGGGTGGGGATCCTGGCTCCTTTCTTCCACTCCTCAGCCTAGGAGCCTCAGCAGCAGCCCGACGTCCCTGAGGGCCATGGTGGCTGCAGGGGACAAAGGCCAGGCCCCTGTAAGTAAGGTGGGAGCTCAGCTCGGGAAGCAGACACACCTCCTCCCTGTATGACTGTGGCTTGTCACCTAACCCTCTGCAACCTCAGTTTCCTCACCTGTAAAATGAGGCACCAACAGTAGCTACTGGACAGGGCTGTCATGAAGATCATATTATTTATTTTTTATTTTATTTTATTTTTGAGACGGAGTCTCACTCAGTCACCCAGGCTGGAGTGCAGTGGCATGATCTTGGCTCACTGCAACCTCTGCCTCCCAGGTTCAAGTGATCCTCCTGCCTCAGCCTCCCAAGTAGCTGGGATTACAGGCACCCGCCACTATGCCCAGCTTATTTTTTGTATTTTTAGTAGAGATGGGGTTTCACCATGTTGGCCAGGCTGGTCTCGAACTCCTGACCACCGGCTCATGCCTGTAATCCCCAGCACTTTGGGAGGCCAAGGCGGGTGGGTCACTTGAGGTCAGGAGTTTGAGACCAGCCTGGCCAACATGGCGAACAACACAGTGAAACCCCATCTCTATTTAAAATACAAAAGTTAGCTGGGTGTGGTGGTGCACACCTGTAATCCCAGCTATTCAGGAGGCTGAGGCAGGAGAATCACTAGAACCTGGGTGGCAGAGGTTGCAGTGCGCTGAGATGGCACCACTGCACTCCAGCCTGGGCGACAGAGCGAGACTCCATTTCAAAAAAAAAAGACATGAGAAGCACCTGGCACATTTCAAATACTAAATAAATGGCAGTAATTGCTGTGGTGGTGACAATGACAACCACGTCTCTGACAAACCCACTGTTGGGGCAGGTACATTCTGAGAGGAAGCCAGGTGCCCTGGGAAGGAGGCCAGCAGGAGGAGCCCAGAGTGTATCGCCCAGGGGCACCTTTAGAAAGAGGGGAAAGTTTACACCAGCAGGGAGCCCAGGGTGAACTGAGCCCCAGCAGTGGCTACAGCAGCGCCCGGTGACTGGCTCCTCCTCCACCGAGCCCCAACGGCATGTTCACATCGAATCCTCTTGACAGTCTGAGAGGTGGGTTCATGTTTCCATTTACAGATGGGACCTGTGGTTTGGAGATGGGACCTGTGGTTTAGAGATGGGACCTGCTGTTTGGAGATGGGACCTGTGGTTTGGAGGGGTTCAGTGACTTGTCTAGGGACAGAACTGGGATGAGAATCCTTTTATGTTGGCTTCATGAAAATACAAACAGATGTGGAAAATACAGCTCCTTGAGCAGAACTGTGTGCTTTGGTTTAGCATGTACACCGAGTTCAACAACTACAAGACTTCATATGGCCGGGCACGGTGGTTCATACTTGTAATCCCAACACTTTGGGAGACTGAGGTGGGCAGATCCGTTGAGCTCTGGAGTTCAAGACCAGCCTGGGCAACGTGGCAAAACCTTGTCTGTACTAAAAATACAAAAATTGGCCAGGTGCAGTGGTGTGCACTTGTAGTCTCAGCTACTTTGGGGGCTGAGGTGAAAGGATCGCTTGAGCCCAGGAGGTCGAGGCTGCAGTGAGCCAAGATTGTGCCACTGCACTCCAGCCTAGGTGACAAAGTGAGACCCTGTCTCAAAAAAAAAAAAAAAAAAAAAAAAAGGGCAAAGCAACCCACTCTTCAAAATTATTTGACCCTTCAACAACAAAATGCTCCTTTAGCTCCTAGATATGGAATAAGTAAAACGTTGGCTTTTATCTCCTGATAGTTTAAGGTAAAAAGGAAAAGAAAACAAAAACTTAAAAAAAAAGGAAAACGTTGGCTTTTGTTTGTTTTTGCTTTTTTGAGACCGAGTCTCGCTGGTATTGCCCAGGCTGGAGTGCAGTGGTGCAATCTCAGCTCACTGCAACCTCCGCCTCCCAGGTTCAAGTGATTCTTCAGTCTCCTGAGTAGTTGGTATTAGAGGTGCAAACCACTGCACCCAGCTAATTTTTTTATATTTTTAGTGAGACGGGGTTTCACCATGTTGGCCAGGCTGGTCTTGAACTCCTGACCTCAGGTGATCCACTTGCCTCGGCCTCCCAAAGTGCTGGGATTACAGGCATGAGTCGCCTCGCCCCACCCAAACATTGGTTTAAGAGAAAATATTTCACTTAATTCTTGCAGCCTGGGTACAGGAATTACACATAGGAAACTGGGGCCCTTGAGCTGCAGCCATAATGGGGTGACGGAACGCTAAGGGACTTCCTTGAGGCCACATGGCAACTATGGGGCAGAGCTGGGATTGGAAACCCACGCTCTCACACTAGAGCTGACACCTGGCACTTTCTGTGACAGGATTAAGCTTTGCAACAGGTAAGAGGTGGTGCCTGCCCTGGCAGAAGCAGCAGCCCTCAGTCCCCCTCAAAAGGTGTCTGAATAAGTCCTATCACTTCTGTGAACCTTAAGTTCCTCCTCTACAAGCTGGACAGCAACGTGCCTGTTGCCGGGGGCCTGGGAAATCACCCTGCACACCACAGTGGGCAGGTGTGGCACTGCTTTGCCAATATGGCTTCTTGCACGTTGTGGGGCACTGGGGGTAGGGGCAG
Organism: Homo sapiens; assembly: GCF_000001405.40. Taxonomy (NCBI): domain Eukaryota; kingdom Metazoa; phylum Chordata; class Mammalia; order Primates; family Hominidae; genus Homo; species Homo sapiens. The sequence continues at coordinate 124,473,205 of NC_000010.11, read as the reverse complement.
GACTCCATTCATGAGCTTTGTAACTTGTGCCACACTCCCCTTGTAATTGGCCAAGGGCTTCCAACCAGAGGCAGCACCTGCAGGGTAAACCAATAATCCTGTGCCAGACCCACCCTGGCTGCCCTTGATTTTCACAGGGTGACCCCCGCCCACCAAGGCTGAGATCAGAAACTGAGAAGCAGACCTTACTCCTGCCAGCAGAGCCACGGGAAAGCTTTCAAGCAGCCATCAGATTTTCCTCAGTCTCTTTCCATACAGTTCAAGTTTGTGATTCTATTATGACTCTACCCCAGATATACGGGGGTGGTTGTGTTTCCTTTGTTTTCTCTTAACAAAAATGGAAGTTTAGGCTGGGCGCAGTGGCTCACGCCTGTAATCCCAGCACTTTGGGAAGCTGAGGCGGGCGGATCACCTGAGGTCAGGAGTTCAAAACCAGCCTGGTCAACATAGTGAAACTCCGTCTCTACTAAAAATACAAAAGTTAGCCAGACGTGGTGGCAGGCGCCTGTAGTCCCAGCTACTCAGGAGGCTGAGGAGGAGAATCGCTTGAACCCGGGAGGCCAAGGTTGCAGTGAGCTGAGATCGCACCACTGCACTCCAGCCTGGGTGACAGAGCGAGACTGCGTCTCAAAAAAAAAAAAAAAAGTAAGTTTATACACATTATTCTACAGCTTTTTCACTTGGTATATACAGCACTCATATCATATAAACTAATGTCAGCACCAAACAGAGCGAAGTCATTCTTTCATAGCTGTCTAACAGTCTGAAGTCTGGATAAACCAGAAAACATTCACTCATCCCTCCTAATAAGCTCGCTTCCAGCACTCACATAAACTTCTAAGCATATAAACTGTGTTGTGTGGTTCACTGCTGCAGACCTCAACATTTTTTTTGAGACAGAGTCTTGCTGTGTCTCCCAGGCTGGGGTGCAGTAGCACAATCTTGGCTCACCCCAGCCTCTGCCTCTCGGGTTCAAGCAATTCTCACGCCTCAGCCTCCCAAGTAGCTAGGATTACAGGCGCACAACACCACACCCAGCTGATTTTTGTATATTTAGTAAAGACGGGGGTTTCACTATGTGGGCCAGGCTGGTCTCAAACTCCTGACCTTATGTGATCTGCCCGCTTTGGCCTCCCAAAGTGCAGGGATTACAGGCGTGAGCCACTGCACCCAGCCCAACATTGTTATTCATAAAAACACTTCCATCATTCTCATCAGTTGACCTCAGAACAAACATTATAAATTTGAACACAGAAAACATATTCCATTCTGAGCTAGACACGGTGGCACACACCTATAATCCCAGCTACTGGGTAGGCTGAGGCAGGAGGACTCCTTGAGGCCAGGAGTTTGAGACCAGCCTGGGCAATATATTAAGATCCCATCCCTATTAAAAATAATATACTATTCAAACACTGTTCTCATAAATATTTATATATAAATATATATATATACAAATATATATACAAATATATATATACATAAATATATATACAAATATATATAAATATACATAAATATATATACAAATATATATAAATATACATATATATAAATACATATATAAATATATATAAAATATAAAAATATATGTAATATATATAAATATATAAAAAATATATAAATATAAAAAAATTTATATATATATAAATATATATAAAATATATATAAATATATATAAATATATAAATATATATAATATATAAATATATATAAATATATAAATATATATAATATATAAATATATATAAATATATAAATATATATAATATATAAATATATATATAATATATAAATATATATATTATATATATATAATTTTGGAGTTCTACTCAAAATTTCATTTGGTTGGATAAGTGCTCTGAGGCTACAAAGAATTCAAAACTCCTGGCCCGGGGACCTGCAAGGGGTCTCCAGCCTCCAGTGACCTGTGACTAACCAAACACATGCCTTGGGCAATGGTGGGGCGGTGGCATTCAAGAGTGATGGGGCAGGTGCCCGCAGAACTGGACAAGAGTCAGGGAAGGCTGCATCTCAAAATCCTCTGTGCTTTTGAGGAATACGAAGGAAAAGGATGTATTGTGTCACCCTGGGGAAGTCACTGGGACTTGGTCGAGGATGGAGGACTTGGACTTTTCACTCTGTATATTCACAGGCTGGTGAGAATGTTTACATAAGGAGGCCACCTATTTCTTATGAAACTTAAAATGTTGAAATGACAGCTGAAATCACAGAACCCAGGGTGAAAGAGCACCGGCTCCCATCTCTGAAGACAAAGTGCTTCACCTCCTGACAGCAAATGGGACCACAGGTGACGACAGCACGTTCTCGACAAACACCCCTTGTCCAAGGTCCAGGTTGCATCAGGAAAACTCCTGTTGGCTTAAACAAATGCAAACAAATGGCCCTCTCCCTACAATGTCCTGCCAGACCCCTCCGGCAGGTGCCACACCGCGTGTGGGGGTTGGATGAGGCAATAGAGATGAAGTTCCAGCCCAGGCCCACAGCCTACATTATTATTATTGTTGTTGTTGTTGTTGTTGTTGTTGTTGTTGTTACTATTGCTGCTACTCCCAGGGACCTGTGTCCCTAGGGCTGGATGGTACCAGGGAAGCCGGGCATGAAGGAGGGGATACTGGGGTGCCAGGACCAGCTGGACTTCAAAGATCCCCTGGCCCTGGCCTTCGCTGTTCCAGACCTACTAGGAGGCACCTACGTTTTATCAGGATCCCGAAGGCACCCAGACACACAGGGGATTGAGAGGTGCTACTGGACGGAAGGGCTGTGGGCCTGGCTCCACAGCACCAGGCCGATCGATCGGGGCGGTCCTGGGTGGGAATTGCTTTATGAGGCTGCCCTGGGCCAAGTCTTCTTCCTTCCGCCGGCTCCAAAAACGCCGAGCCGGGCCTGGGCTGGGCCCAGCAGATGTGCTTTAGTGGCCCAAGACAGGATGCAGTAAATGCCCACCCCCTTTCACATGCAGATGCCTCCCAGCCATAGGCCCAGGGCCCCGAGGCCGGCCTCTGCACCCCTCGCTGTGCTGGGCCCTGCCTCTGAATGGCTCCCCTCGGGGAACCCAATCCGCCCATGAAAGGGCTTCAATAAAGGGCCTGTTGGGGGGACACGGCCGGTTACAGATGTCCTCCGGCCTGTGACCACGCCCACCCACAAGTCCTAGAGCAGCAAGTGGGCCCTGCCTGGCCAGCAGCACCAGTGTGGCCTCAGAGGTTTGGGCCTCCTGCTCCTTCATCTGGGATGCTCTTAGCCCAGATGCCTGCCTGGCTGGCTCGCTCAGCATCCTCCAATCCCAGCTCCCTCGCCATGGGATCTGCGAGGCCAGGTACCCAGCCCAGGGCTCCCCACCTCACTGCGTGTCTCAGATGCTCTAGCCTTCCCGAGTGCACGCTGTCGCCTGCTGGTCCCCCATGACTGCAGCATCGGCTCCACCTGTTCACTGCTGCACATCCCCAGGGCCTAGGATGGTGTCTTTAGTACAGCAGAGGCACTCAATGTTTGCTTGTTGAGTGTATGAGTAAAGGAATGAATGAATGAAAAAAAAATAAAAAAGGAATAAATGAACGAATGTGTGTGTGTGCATGCATCTTTAATGAGGGCTCGGCAACATTTTCTACTTCTGCCAGTTCCTGAATCTCTCCGATTTTTGGTCCTCACTTTGAAAAGAGGAAGCCCCCCCCACCTCAGGGGCTGGTGTGAAGGGAAGGTGGGTGGTTAAGCACCTGCCTGGCGCACGACAGGCCTCCCTCGATGCGGGGTGACTGCTGTTGCTGTGGATATTATTTTAAAAAGTTGAGCTTCTACTTCCCCCGTGCTCCGTGGCCCTCAATAAAATCGGAGGACCCATCATCACAGAAAATCCAAGAAGAAGAATGGTGACAGTGTGTCGCCCCTCGCAGGCTCAGAGAACGGACGATGCTGCCAGGGAGCCCATGGTGCCGGGAGCTGCCACGGAGGCATGTGTTCCCCCTGCCAACCCTAAGACCCCCCACCCCACTCCAATCACACTTTTCCCTCTGCGGCGGCTGGTCTCACCCCAGGAACTTCCTTTGAGCTCCTGCAGGACTTCAAAGCAGGCTGTACATATCAAGGAGGCCACAGCATGAAAGGCGCAGGGCCACTCGCCCCCGTGGCTGCAGGCCACACAGACTTCACCTGGGCAAGTAGGGCCTGCTCCATGAAGGCTTCCCGGCTCAATCACCAGGCGAGGAAAACAGGTGTCCTGCATCTCTGGAAAATCCCCAGGGAAAATTCCAAAAGCAGGCACACTTTCCTGGAGGGGGCGTTTCCTGCACCACCTTCGCAGCCACTCTGGGCATCTGCCACGAGCCCCACAGGCATGCGAGGGAGGGTGTACGGAGCTTCCCGGGCCCTGAGGGTGATGATCTGGCCCCAGAGGCACTGGGCCAGAGTGGAGGGGCCTTGCCCTTAAAAGCCAACAGAAAGGCTGAAGGGGGCCCTGCCAAGGTCTGCCGAGAGCCGAAGGGCACGCTGGTGTGGGCGGAAACAGGTTTGTGGGTGCTGGACAGCTCAGCGGCCCCTTCAGTGAAAACCCCACCAAGAAGTCTGTGTAACTGGGGGCCAGTGGAAGAGGCCACAAAGGTCAGTTGAGAAGGTCCTCGTGGACAAGGCAGGACATGGGGACTTGGTCCTATGGCATGGGAAGCCCATGGGGTTGAGAGACCAGGCCATCGGTTCTGCAGGCCCACAGACAGCACAATAACAAAACCTCCCATATCACGGGTGTGATGTCCCCTCACCAAAAATAATCCCATATGCTTTTGGGAAGGGAGATTTTAGCCTCTCCCAGCTACATAACAGGCTGTGGTGTATTTCGGGATTGTTATTACATTGCTGTTAGATGTATACAGTATAGCTGCTACCAGAGACACCCCCAGCTAGATAAATCTGCAGGAGCCAAAGCAAATCCAAACAAAACCCTCCTGGCAATCAATCAGTCAGAAGACACCAACCCAGAACCCAGAGAAGTTAACAGAACCCTTTCCAATGTCACAACCTGGAATCTGCACGTTTGTTGGACAGTTCTATATCACGTGGGGGTCATCTGCTCAAAATAAGCTGTTAGAGAAGCCTGTGACATTTCCCAACACCCCCTTCTCCCTGAAGGATTCCAAGTAGGGGTCTGGGTTGGGCAGACCAGGGCTCAAACTGTCCCTTGGGGGCTGGGCATGGTGGCTCATGCCTGTAATCCCAGCACTTTGGGAGGCCCAGGCGAGTGGATCACTTGAGGTCAGGAGTTTGAGACCAGCCTGGTCAACATGGTGAAACCCCGTCTCTACTAAAAATACAAATGATTAACCAGGCATGGTGGCAGGCACCTGTAATCCCAGCTACTCTGAGGCAGGAGAATCCCTTGAACCCAGGAGGCGGAGGCTGCAGTGAGCCGAGATCATACCACTGCACTCCAGCCTGGGAGACAGAGTGAGACTGTCTCAAAACAACAACAACAACAACAACAAAAAACACACACACACACAAAAGAAAAACCTGCATGTGGAGGTATACCTGTAGTCCCAGCTATCTGGGAAACTTGGGTAGAAAGATTTTTTTGAGCCTAGGAGGAGGTCAAGGCTGCAGTGAGCCGTGATTGTGTCACTGCACTCCAGCCTGGGAGACAGATCAAGATCCTGTCTCAAAAAAAAAAAAAAAAGAAAAAGAAAAGAAAGTGGTCTTTAATGTTACACTGTTGTGGGTCTACTGTGTGCCAAACACCAGGCCAGGAACTTGACATACATCATGAGCCATCATGGTTCCCGCCCCATGACCCCCTCCCTGCCCCCTCTCCACCCTGCCAGCTGTTCCAGTCAGACACCGGAAACCACCCTTTATTTCAAGTTCTCCCTGACCCCCACAATACCCCGTATGTCCGCAGGTCCCATAGGTCCTGCTTCCAAAACACCTCTTTAATTCATGCCTTCCTCCCCATCTCCATTGCCTTCTACCCAGTCCAAGCCCCCCCACCTCCTGCCCTACTGCCAGCCTGTTCTCCACACTGCAGCCAGAGAGATCTCCTTGAAATATTTTATTTAAAAAACAATGGTTTTTTTTTTTAGAGTCTCACTCTGTCACCCAGGCTGGAGTGCAGTAGCACATTCATAGCTCACGGCAGCCTCAAACTCCTGGGCTCAGGCAGTTCTCCTGCCTCAGCCTCCCAAGTAGTTGGGACTACAGGCGTGCACCACCATGCCCGGCTAATTTTTGTATTTTTTGTAGAGATGGGGGTCTCGCTGTGTTGCCCAGGCTGGTCTCAATCCTTCTACCTCCAGCCTCCCAAAGTGCTGGGATTACAGGTATGAGCCACTGTGCCCAGACGTTAATATTTTGAATTTTAATATTCAATTTAATATTTGAATTGTAATATTTTGAATAGAAAACACATTCACATAGTTTAAAAATCTTAAAAATGATATGCAGGCTGGGCGCGGTGGCTCACACCTGTAATCCCAGCACTTTGGGAGTCCAAGGTGGGCAGATCACATGAGGTCAGGAGTTCGAAACCAGCCTGGCCAATGTGGCAAAACCCCATCTCTACTAAAAATACAAAAATTAGCCAGGCATGGTGGCAGGTGCCTGTAATCTCAGCTACTCGGGAGGCTGAGGCAGGATAATCACTTGAACCCAGGAGGCAGAGGTTACAGTAAGCCAAAATTGCACCACTGCCCTCCAATCTGGGTGACAGAGCAACACTCTGTTTCAAAAACAAAAACAAAAACGTTGGTATACAAAGTTATACAGTGAAGAGTCTTTCTCCTACCCTGTCTCCAACCACACAGTGGCCCCCACTTTCCTTATCCTCCAGCTCTTCCCAGACTCTGAAGCAGCCTGCGTCCTTCCAGTGTCTTTATGCAAACACAGCAGGAGAAATACATTCTTGCATTTCTGCATTTTCTATACCAGAAACAGCGCACCGTGCATCCTGCTGTGTGCTTGCTGTCTCCACTAGTAATATGTCTATAGACAAGGTACTCATTCCTTCTTACACTGCATGTTATTCTGCTGTATAAACAGACAGACCCTAAAACTCCCCTACTGATGGATATCTGAGCTGCTTCCAGTCTTTTGCTATTTAAAAGGCATTGCCAGGAATGACCTTGTACTTGTGTCCTTTCTCACACGAGATAGGACAAATTCTCAGAAGCGCAACCACTGGTAGATAATGTCAAATGTATCTTCTGCAAGCAATGTGTGGCAGGGTCTGTTTCCACAAACTCTCACAGAGAAAGTGTTCTCAAACTTTTGGATTTTGGCCAATTTTGTCAAATTGATGAAACAGGGCAGCTTGATATAGTTTTAATTTGCATTTCTCAGGCTGGGCGCAGTGGCTCACGCCTGTGATCCCAGCACCTTGGGAGGCCAAGGTGGGTGAATCACTTGAAGCCAGGAGTTCGGGACCAGCCTGGCCATCATGGTAAAATCCTGCCTCTACTAAAAATACCAAAAATTAGCTGGGCACGGTGGCATATGCCTGTAGTCCCAGCTGCTCAGGAGGCTGAGGCACAAGAGTGGCTTGAACCCAGGAGGCAGAGGCTGCAGTGAGCCGAGATCACACACCTCTTATTTGAGTAAGGCGGAGCCTCTCTCACTTCCTCTTCCATGACCTGTTTGCATCTTTTGCTCATATTGCTATTGGGCTGCTTGTTCGTTGTTTTTGCTTTCTAGATTTCAAGGCCTGGATGTAAAGGCCTTCTCTCCAAGGTTTCAAAGGAAATCTCCCTTGCTTTCATTTGACTTGTATGTCTCACTTTTTACATTTGTATTTCTTTAAAACATATAAATCAGACCACATGATATGCCTATCTAGAGTCTTCACTGACTTCCTGCCACTCAGGATAAAGTCCGGACACCTCTCCGTGCCCCTCAAGTTCCTGCCTGGTGTACCCACTCCCCCACCCCACGCCCTCGAACTCGCCAAGTGCTCTCTTCCTGAGGTCTTTGCAGCTACCATTCCTTCTGCCTGGAATGCGCTTCCTCCGCCTCTTCCTGCAGACAGTTCCCTCTTATCCCTCCGGGTCTGTCCAGTGCCTTCTCCTCAGAGCTGTCCCGACCCCCTCTCTAGCACAGGCCACCCTCGTCCATCACACTCTCAGTACCCTCCCGTCTTCACACCCCTTAGGCCTACCTGTGATGATGCGCTTTACCCGTGTGCCCACCTGTGAGGATGATTTACCTGTGTGCCTGCAGCTTTACTGTCCCTCTCCCCTCCACACATCAGACCCTAATACTCCCCTACTGATGGGTATCTGAGCTGTTTCCAGTCTTTTGCTATTTAAAAGGTACTGCCAGGAATGACCTTGTACTCATGTCATTTCTCACGCATGAGACAAGGACAAATTCTCAGAAGTGGAACCACTGGTAGATAATGTCAAATGTATCTTCCGCAAGCAATGAGTGGCAGGGTCTCCCATGAGGCCTTGCCTGCCCCAGTCACAGCATTGAGCTCTGGCTTCCTGCTCCCCAGATGAGGCCCACTTCACCCCAAAACACTGCCCAGAGCCCTCTGCTGGATTCCCACCAGTGCCACTCACAGAATGCTCTCATCTGTGACTGAGCTAGTCTAAAGCTTTGGAGTAATGGAGAATAAGGTCAGGAATGCACTTAACCCTGAACTTCAGCCAACACTGAGAGCAGACCCAGGACCCAGCGGAGTGTCCTAGGTCTGGGCTGCCCTTTGTGCTTGCTCCTGGAAGCCAAGTCTCCCTGTTCCCAGTTCCCAGCCTCCCAAACACCTCCGGCTTCACTATGCGGGACCGTTTGGGTCCCTATTATCTCAGCAGCTCCCAGACATCAGACATGCAGATTGGTAGAATGGGGTCTCTAAGAAGGACCAAGAGACTCAGTTAATTGCCACCTACAGATAGGTATATTGAGTCCCAGTGACATCAGGCTACCAAGCCAGGGTGCCTCAGCTAGTGACTCCGGGAGGCCAAGTCCTGGCAGTTAGCCCTTCCCGGCTGCCTATCAACACATGGCAGTGCTGACCTGGGATGCCAACAGGAGGCCTTACAAAGCCCAGGTCCAGTGGTGCCAACCATGCTACTGAAAGTGTCCTTCTGGCTGGCCACAGTGGCTCACACCTCTAATCCCAGAACTCTGGGAGCTGAGGCAGGCAGATCACTTCAGCCCAGGAGTTCAAGACCGGCCTGGGCAACATGGCAAAACCCCATCTCTACAAAAAACACAAAAAAATTAGCTGGGCATGGTGGCACGTGCCTGTAGTTCCAGCTACTTGGGAGGCTGAGGTGGGAGGATCTCTTGAGCCCTTGAGGTAGAGGTTGCAGTGAGATTGAACCACTGCACTCCAGCCTGGGTGGCAAAGTAAGACCTTGTCTCAAAAAAAAAAAAAAAAAAAGAAAAAAAAATTAGGCCAGGTGTGGTGGCTCATGCCTGTAATCCTAGCACTTTGGGAGACCAAGGCAGGAGGACTGCCTGAGCCAAGGAGTTCAAGACCACCCTGGCAACATAATGAGACCTTGTCTCAAAAAAAAAAATTATACAAAGAAAAGTGTCAGCCAGGTGCGGTGGCTCACGCCTGTAATCCCAGCACTTTAGAAGGCCCAGGCAGGTGGATCAGTTGAGGTCAGGAGTTCGAGACCAGCCTAGCCAGTATGGTGAAACCCCATGTCTACCAAAAATACAAAAATTAGCTGGGCGTGGTGGCGGGTGCCTGTAATCCCAGATACTTGGGAGGCTGAGGCAGGAGAATCACTTGAACCTGGGAGGCAGAGGTTGCAGTGAGCCCAGATGGCGCCACTGCACTCCGGCCTGGGCAACAAGAGCAAAACTGTCTCAAAAAAAAAAAAGTGTCCTCATGGTCAAGTCTTGGCTGGCACGATGTTCTCTTCCTCCTCCTCTCACCTAAACCAATGCAGTCCAACAGAATTATAATGAGAGCCACAAAGGTAATTTAAAGTTTTCTAATAAGCACATTAACAAAAGTTAAAAAAAAAAGGTATACTTAATTTCAAATATTTTAACCTAAAACAGTATATTAAAAATATTATCAACTGGGCATGTGGCTCACGCCTATAATCCCAGCACTTTGGGAGGCCGAGGCAGGTGGATCACCTGAGGTCAGGAGTTAGAGACCAGCCTGCCCAACATGGTGAAACCCCGTCTCTACTAAAAATACAAAAAATTAGCCGGGTGTGGTGGCACATGCCTGTAATTCCAGCTATTCAGGAGGCTGAGGCAGGAGAATCGCTTGAACCTGGGAGGCGGCGGTTGCAGTCAGCAGAGATTGCACCACTGCATTCCAGCCTGGGCAACAAGAGCAAAACTCCGTCTCAAACAAAACAAATAAAAAAAGTAACTGGGCATGATGGCGGGTGCCTGTAATCCCAGCTACTCGGGAGCCTGAAGGGGGAGAATCACTTGCACCCGGGAGGCGGAGGTTGCAGTGAGCCGAGATCGTGCCATTGCACTCCAGCCTGGGCGACAGAGCAAGACTCCATCTGAAAAGAACAAAACAAAACAAACAAAAAGTATATCATTTCAACAGGCAAACAACATAACCCATTTTCATGTTTTTATTTTACATTTTACTCACGAAGTCTGGTGTTTTTGGGGGTTTTGTTTATGAGACCGTCTCGCTCTGCAGTCCAGGCTAGAGTACAGTGGGGTGATCACAGCTCACTGTAGCCTTGACCTCCTGGGCTCAAGCGATCCTCCTGCCTCAGCCTCCCAAGTGGCTGGGCCTACAGGCGTGCACCACCACACCCGGCTAATTTTTAAATTTTTGGCAGAGACGGGGTCTCCCTATGTTGCCCAGGGTGGTCTCCAACCCCCTAGCCTCAAGCGATCCTCCCTCCTCTGCCTCTGCAAGTGCTAGAATCACAGATGCGAGCCACCGCGCCCGGCTAAGTCTTGTTAATCGGTATGCATTTTACGCTTACAGCACATCTCAATTCAGACTGGCCGCAGGTCAAGCGCTCAGCAGCGCACGTACCAGGTGGCCGCCCTGTCTGACCGCGCAGCCCTAACCAGCAGAGTCCTGGTGCTCGCCGGGGGCAACAGTGGGGTCGTCCGTGGTCAGCACTGTGCGCGCACCGGGGTGGGAAGGGGGAGACCGAGGCGGGGCCTGCGCCGCGGCCCCGCCCCCTGCCGCCCCGCCCCCTGCCGGCAGCCAGGGAGCGGGCTGAGCTTAGAGCTCGGCGGCCCCAGCGGCGTCCCGGGGCCCACTCACCTGGCCACCGCCTCCACCGAGCCGGCGATGGCCGTGCCGCCGCCCGCGCCGCTGTCGTACAGCACGCCCGAGATGTCAAGCAGCACCCCGCGCACGCCAGCCAGCCGCTTGCCCCACGGTGCCATGGCGCCCGGCCCTGCTCCTCAGCTCCGCGTCCCAACCGACGCCGGCGCCGGCGCCGCGGCCGCGCAGGGGCGCCTGGGAACTGTAGTCCCGCGGGCGGGGCAGGGCAAGAAGACCGGGTGCAAACCCGGAACTGGGGCGCGGCCTGGGCACCCCGGCGTCACTCGCCCCTGAAACGGTGTCCTTTTCGGAAGCTTTCTTCCCAGGAGATCAGCGGACAAAGAGCAGGAAAAGCAGAAAACAAGTCCCTAAGAAAGGTCAAAGGCAAATTGAGACAAGAAGGCACCTGTAGCCAGGGGCGGTGGTTCACGCCTGCAATCCCAGCACTTTGGGAGGCAGAAGCGGGCGGACAGCTTGTGCCCAGGAGTTCTAGACCAACCTAGTCAACATAGTGAGACCCTGTCTCTATTAAAGAAAGAAAGAAAAAGTACAATACAAAATTGAGGCCGGGCGTAGTGGCTTATGCCTGTAATCCCAGCACTTTGGGAGGCTGAGGCGGGTGGATCGCTTGAGATCAGGAGTTCGAGACCAGCCTGGTCAACATGGTGAAACCCCTGTCTCTACTAAAAATACAAAAATCACCTAGGTGTGGTGGCGCATGCCTGTAGTCCCAGCTACTCGGTAGGCTGAGGCGGAAGAACCGCTTGAACCTGGGAGGCGGAGGTTGCAGTGAGCCGAGATTGCACCACTGCACTCCAGCCGGGGCGACAGAGCAAGACTTTGTCTTAAAAAAAAAAAAAATTATATGCAGATAACAGCCCTGCATAGATGAGGATGCATAGGACCTGGGCTGAGAAGAAAACGGGACTATCACAATGCGTTAAACCCAGGAGGTTTTTGGATAAGCTATAAAATACCACTCGATGCTACATTATTTTTGCAATAAATACACATTGATATTAAAAGGGAGGAGTTTCCTCAATGGCCCCTCGGAACCTTTCAAGTTATTAAATAGAAACGAGAACACTTTACTTCTGGTCCAACATAGCTTTGAGCTTTCAAAGAAGAGAGGATCATATTATTTCACCATTTCTTTTCAGGCTCTTGATTCACAGAAAGGATGAGGAATTCGTTGAAATGTTATGGGGTTCAATGAATTGTGTATATTTTGTTGACATGCTTACTAGGGGAGCTGTTTACAAGTGAAATAAAATACAGTTCCTACCCTTTGGGATTTCCACTAATGGGGTTGGGGAGTAGTATACCTTATATAAGGGTTCTTAGTCGCAGACAATAGACACCACTCCAGCTAGAGGGGTTTTGTTTACATGAGGTGAAGGAGCTTACAGATGACGGGTCTAAGTCCTACACAGCCAGGAGCCATGCAGCCACGAGAAACACTTAATTTTACTACTCCATTGGGACCACTGCCCCATCACTTAGTGCAGCCCCCAGCATAGCTGCCCCCAAAAGAACAAAACATATCCACCACTGTGCCCTCCACCTGTGGCCACCCACTCACTTTCACTGTGTCTGGCTTGGTGGAACCTAGCCCACGCTGCAAAGGAGTCTGGGAAATGCAGTTTTTAGTGTTCCAGGGGCTGAGTGAGTCAGTTTGGAGAATCTGCTAGGAACATCATGAACCGTACACGTATTGAGACCCTACTCTGTGCAGTGGGCACAAAAAAGTTCTAGGGTGTGATCCTTGCCTTCCAGGATCAAGACTGGGCAGAGAACAATGGAAGACCTTCACGACTGCTGACCAAATGTGTGCCAAGTGGCAATGAGTGACACAGACACAGTCAAGAGGATGACCTCTGCAGGCCTAGGAGGGCAGCTGTGGCTTCTGGGCAGGGGCAGCCTGAAATGGACCTTGGAGAATGGCTGGGCTTTAGCTTCATGCCAAGGAGGAGGAAAAGGGGTGCTTCTGCCAGTGGTGTGAGCCTACCCATAGTTGTTTCTTTTCAGTCAGCTCTGTGGGTACTCTTGGGCAAGTCCCTTTTCATTTCTACGACTACAGTAGACAGAATAGTGCCCCCTTGAGATGTCCACCTCCCAATCCCCACAACCTCTAAATATATTACCTGACATGGCAAAAGGGACTTAGATCTTGCAGAGCCTATGCTCCTGTAGGGAGATTATCCTGGATGGTCCAGGTGGGCCCAGTATAATGACATGAGTCCTCATAAGGGAAAGAGGGAAGCAGGAGAGAGTCAGAGTCAGAGAAGGAGGTGTGACAGCAGAAGCAGAGGTCAGAGAGAGAGGTGTGAAGATACCGTGCTACTGGCCTTGAATACAAAGGGGCCATGAGCCAAGAAATGCAGGTGGCCTCTGGAAGCTAAAAAAGGCAAAGAATTGGATTCTCCCCTAGAGCCTCCAGAAGGAATGCAGCCCTGCTGGTACTTCAAGTTTAGGACTTCTTACCTCCAGAACTATAATAATAAATCTGTTGTTTTAAGCCACTAAGTATATGGTAATTTCTTGCAGTAGTGACAAGAAACAAATACAGGGATCCAGGTCCCTCACCTGAAAAATGTGGCAAGTCTCTAAGTGTGGGCCACTGATAGGCTAAAACTTGATCTGAAAATTCCAGGCTTTTCTTGGGATGCAATGAGTGTAGGGCATTGTCTATGTTAGGGTTGCATTTGGCTACATGTAACAGAAACCCAGCCATAGTTGCCCAACCAAATCAGATTTTACTTTTCCTCATATATCAAGAAGCCAAGAGGGAGGAAATCCTGGATGGGACAACAGCTCCCAGGACCATCAGGCTGCCTCCTGCTTTCTGCTCCACCACTCTCTCAGCATGTGGCCTGCTCCTCACGCTAGCAAGATTCCTGCTCCACCCGAGGCATCATGACTGCATTTCAGGCAGGAAGGAGGGGAAAGAAAAGAAAAAAGGGCATGTGACAGCTGAGTCTGACCCTTTATACCCAGAAAGCAAAAGCTTTCCCAGAACCCTGATCCAATGGACTCTCATTTGCATCTTTTGGGCCAGAGCTAGCCAGGTGGCACATGAACACCATAGTGTGCCAGGAAGCATACACCACTGACTGAGCTTTCAGCCTGTTATAGCAAATCTACAACTCATGTCTGAATTTCAGCTCAACTATGAATCTATCAACCATCTATTGCTATACTAGACATATGCCTCATCCTTTCAGATTTGCTTGTCATAGTCAGGACTCTTCGGCTGCCAGTGACAGAAGCCAAATTTCAAATGGCTTCAATTTAAAGGAATTTATTGGCTCGCACAACCAGATAGTCTAGCAATGGACAGCGTCAGGCATGGCTGGTTATCAGCTCTGGGCTCACAGAGTCTCCGGTACACCACCTGGTGAGGATCCTTTTCCTCAACTTGGTCTGGCTGTTCCAGAAAGAACTCTGATTGGCTCTCTTGGGTCAGTGTCCCCCATTGTCTGTGTTCCAATGGAAGTGATACTGTGATGTTCCAGCCTGACTGGTGCCCTTACCAGGGCTGGAGGTGGGACACTTGCCTATAGTCCCACCATGACCAGAAGGAAAGGGAGAGGACAAGCCCTCCAGCAAAAAGCAGGGCGCATTAGCCGGACGTGGCAGCACATACGTGAAGTCCCAGCTACTCCAAAGGCTGGGGCAAGAAGATCACTTGAAGCTGGGCGTGGTGGCTCACGCCTGTAATCCCAGCACTTTGGGAGGCTGAGGCGGGTGGATCACGAGGTCAGAAGATCAAGACCAGCCTGACCAACATGGTGAAACCCCCATCTCCACTAAAAATACAAAAATTAGTCAGGCGTGGTGGCACACGCCTGTAATCCCAGCTGCTCAGGAGTCTGAGGCAGGAGAATCGCTTGAACCCGGGAGGCGGAGGTTGCACTGAGCCAAGATCACGCCACTGCACTCCAGCCTGGGCGACAGAGCGAGACTCCATCTCAAAAAAAAAAAAGAAGATCACTTGAACCTAGGAGTTGGAGGCTATAGTGTACATGACTGCAACTGCAACTGTGAATGGCCACTGTATCCTAGCCTAGGCAATATAGCAAGACTTCTCTAAAAAAAAAAAAAGAGAGAGAAAAGAAAGCAAAAAAGCAGGGCACTGTGAAAGAGGAATAAGGAAGCAACATGGTATAGGCAAAAGTAGCAGGTGCCCACCAGTCACCAAGACCTTTCTTATTATCAAATCCCATCTCCCTGGAAAGTGAGACCAGACCAAGTGAGGGCCATATGAGCCAAAGAATCTTCTGTTTTATTGAGATGGGCTATAGTGGAAAAAAAAATCAGAGCACCATTAATAACAGAAATGCTTCTCAGGCCGGGCACAGTGGCTCACACCTTGGGAGGCCAAGGCGGGCGGATTACCTGAGGTCAGGAGTTCGAGACCAGTCTGGCCAACACAGGGAAACATCGTCTCTACTAAAAATGTAAAAATTAGCTGGGCGTGGCGGCACAGGCCTATTGTCCCAGCTACTCGGGAGGTTGAGGCAGGAGAATCACTTCAACCTGGGAGGCAGAGGTTGCAGTGAGCCAAGATTGCGCCACTGTGCTCCAGCCTGGGCAACAGAGCGAGACTCTGTCTCAAAGAAAGAAAGAAAGAGAGAGAGAGAGAGAGGAAGGGAGGGAGGGAGGGAGAGAGAGAGAGAGAGAGAGAGAGAGAGAGAGGGAGAGAGAGAAAGAAAGAAAAAGAAAGAAAGAAAGAAAGAAAGAAAGAAAGAAAGAAAGAAAGAAAAAGAAAGAAAGAAAGAAAGAAATGCTTCTCAAACTTTAATGTGCATTAGAATCACCTGGAAGGCTTTTTAAAACAGGTTTAGATTCAGGAGGTCTGGGTGGCCCTAGGAACCTGGAAGATGGCTGTCAGTTGATGTGGGCTATTTTCTGGAGTCCTACACATGGCCTCTGCATGTGGCTTGTGTATCTCACAGCATGACAGCAAGAGTCAAAGAGGAAATGTCTCCAGGGCAAGTGTTCCCAGGGAACAAAGTGGAGGCTGCAGGGCTTCCTGTGATTTAGCTTTGGAAGTCACAGAGTCACTTCAGCCATGTTGTACTGGTCACCCAGGGCCAGGCCAGGCTCAGTGTGGGAGTGGATGACACAGGGGCATGAGCACTAAGCAGCATGGTTGATTAGGCGTGGCCATTTTTTGAGGCTAGATACCGCAACAAGTATACCAGTGTCAGAAACACCACACGGGGTTAAATTCATGGTGGTTCTACGCCTGCATTTTTATTTTCTGTTCCCTTCCCTTCCTCCCTTCCTTCCTTCCTTCCTTTCTTCCTTCCTTCCTTCCTTCCTTTCTGAGACAGGGTCTTGTACTATGACCCAGACTGGAGTGCAGTGGCATGACTCATAGCTCACTGCAGCCTCAAACTCCTGGGCTCAAGTATCCTCTCGCCTCAGCCTCCCAAAGTGCAGAGATTATAGGTGTGAACCACTGTGCCTGGCCCCTGCATTTTTCTTTATGAAAAGCATGGTACCCAGCATGGATGACCTGAATAAAAACATAAGCTTGTTCCACAGATGCTCAGCATGGGAGTCAGACCCTTTATGAACCTCTATCCGTACCTAAATATTTCTTGATCCGATTTTTGTCTTCAGCCTATATGGTCTCTCATGGGTTTCCAATCCATCTTAGTCAAACTGTGGAGCTTTGGGTTTGTGTTACTGGGCCACCATTTATTGCTTTCGACTCTTCAACCTACCAAACACCAAGGTACTGGTGGGCACAGGGATGCACGCTCTGCCCTCCCTGACTTTAAGACAATCCAAGGACCAGAATCTGTATGCCAGGCAGTGTGATAAAGGCTGTGCCTGTCAGGGTTCCTTGACTCTGGCTAATTGAATTCCAAAATGCAGAGGGGAAGAGAAGGTTGGGAAGAGTGTAGGCAATTTACAAAATCAAAGGAAATGCTGAACAA
This sequence comes from Homo sapiens, assembly GCF_000001405.40. NCBI lineage: Eukaryota > Metazoa > Chordata > Mammalia > Primates > Hominidae > Homo > Homo sapiens. The sequence goes on along the minus strand of NC_000010.11, from coordinate 124,456,033 downwards.
CCAGACCTGGGCAAGTACTGGAACCATCAGCGTCAAGAGTGGGAAATAACAGATTATTTAGTTTTGGGCACCACTGCCACAATGAAGCGGTGTCACTCTGCTTCAGATACTCCCGGGAGAGAGGCCAGTAGGACTCTACTGCAGGGGCTCACTCTTACCTCCCGGCCAGAAGAAGGTTGGGGGGCCTGATTGGCAGTCCCATCACTACCACATACAAGGGTGGGGGCCCAGGGGGATCTCATCAAAATCAGCTACAGACACCAGAAAAGGGGGAGTGGATCCTCAGATCAGGCAAAACCAAGAGATGTCCATCAAGGGCTATGATGGCAGCGTGCCCCAGAAACAATGTGGGAAGGAGTGCTCCAGTCCGCGTGGGGTAAGTCAGGGAAGCCCTCAAGAAGAAATAGTATTGTAGGGATGCAGTGAGGCTCCCAGGGAACCCGGAATGGAACAACCAGCATCAGGAAGAAGTCAGCAACAGTGGCAGCAGCTGGAACCCACCTGTCTGCCTGTCTCTCGTGGCTTCTCCGCTCTGCTCTGCACTTGTTTTTGTTGTTTGTTTGTTTGTTTTTGAGACGGAGTTTCATTCTTGTTGCCCAGGCTGGAGTGCAATGGTGTGATCTCGGCTCACTGCAACCTCCGCCTCCCAGGTTCAAGTGATTCTCCTGCCTCAGCCTTCCCAGTAGCTGGGATTACAGGCGCCTGCCACCACACCTGGGTAATTTTTGTATTTTCAGTAGAGACAGGGTTTCGCCATGTTGACCAGGGTGGTCTTGAACTGCTGACTTCAGGTGTTCTGCCCGCCTCGGCCTCCCAAAGTGCTGGGATTACAGATGTAAGCCACCACGTCCAGCCTGCACACTTGTTTTTGACTCTCCATGTCCCTGCTGAGTCTCTGCATCTCCATAACTTCTGTGAGCATGTGGTCCTCAGCGGCCACCCGTCTCCATTTTCCTTGCCCATTAAGCTCAAGCACCCACCAGTGGCAGGGAGCATGCCCTAAGATGAGGGAGTTGATTTTTTTTAACTTTGGTTTGGGGTCAGGTGGGAAGGCTATATTTTCAACTCAGCTTTCACAAGTTAGTCTATGAGGTGTTTTTTTTTTTTTTTTTTTTTTGCCGGGGGGAATACTTGCTGTGCTTGGCAGCCAGAGTTCAAAGCTCTGGTGGGAAATGGTAAATGCTAGCCTTTAATTGTAAATGACCTCTCCAGCACCAAGGGAGATAGAGTCCAGTAAACAAACAATGGATTCTGCTATCTGTGGCTTCCTTCTAAAACCTAGTGCTTACCCTCTCCCATATTACAGACCAATTTGAGTAGAAGAAGCACATCTTGGGGAAGGTGGCTGAGGTACTGGGAAAAGGGGTTACCCACAGGCTGTCTGGCAGTTGAGGTGTCCCTCTTTGTCATCAAGCTGTGTCTTATGAAGCTGTCTCTTTGGCACATATATCCTACCCTGGGGGCTGGCTCAAAACGCAGGGTTTTACCTGGAGAATTTCAGTTGCATTTTACTTTAGGAACATAAGATTTTATCTAAAATGCTTTAACACGGCTCATAATATTGCCCCCTCCCCCCCACTCCCTCTGCATAAACTGCAAATTCTTTCCATTGTTAACACTATTCATGGCACTCAGCGGCTCTTCAAGGCTGTGCTGGAATTATAGGCACCTTTGTTTGTGGAATACCTTAGGAAGCTTGGCACCATTGATTTGCATCAGTGCCTCCGGAATAGCCTTTGCCTTCTCCTTAAAGATACTATCTAAACTGTGAAATTCATTAAATAGCCCCAGAAATGGATCAGGTTATTTAACACAACATCCCTAATGGTGCAATATCTCAGCTGTCTGCACGGATAGTGAACATTGTCTTGGATAGTGTTATCAGCCCAGGACACCCGCTATGAATATTGATCCCGAGCTTGTTACAGGCATCACTTGCTATCAGGACAGGTCAGGGTTGGAACCCACCTAGCATCAAAGCAATTTAAAGATAGCACTCAGGCGGAATTTTAATGCCCAGGCTGAAAAAAAAAAAATCAACTCTATGCACAGAGGGAAGGTGGCTTGCTGGATCTGGATATGTTATATAGGAATAGCGTGGGTATAAATACACATGTGAGGATGTTAGTGAGCCAAACACATGGCCAAGTTGTACTGAAAAGGATGCTCACTGCCTCCTGGTCTTTTACAAAACAGGTGGCCAGAAAAAAAAATTACCTAGGACCTCCTCCTCCACTATCCCCCACGTTGAAGAAAGTATCCTGTTCTTTGGTTAGCAGGTTTCTCTTTAAGTTGGATGAGTAAGAGAGGGCATTTCTATCCCTTCAGTGTTGATGGGAGACCCAGCGAAGTTTCTTGTGTGCCATCTATTGCCTGCAGCCAAGTACTAAGCATGAGCATTCACATTACCTTGTGCTACAATGAACACACAGACCAGAAATATCTGGCCGGGCACAATGGCTCATGCCTGTAATCCCAGCACTTTGGGAGGCCAAGGCGGGCAGATCACTTGAGGCTAGGAGTTCGACACTAGCTTGGTCAACATGGTGAAATCCTGTCTCTGTTAAAAACACAAAAAATTAGGCCAGGCACGGTAGCTCACGCCTGTAATCCCAGCACTTTGGGAGGCCGAGGCAAGTGGATCACAAGGTCAGTAGTTCGAGACCAGCCTGGCTAACATGGTGAAACCCTGTCTCTACTAAAAATATAAAAATTAGCTGGGCGCAGGAGTGTATGCCTGTAGTCTCAACTACTCGGGAGGCTGAGGCAGGAGAATCGCTTGAACCCAGGAGGCAGAGGTTGCAGTGAGCTGAGATCACACCACTGCACTCCAGCCTGGGTGACAGAGTGACACTCTGTATCAAAAAAAAAAAAAAAAAAATTTAAGCCGTGCGTGGTGGCTCACACCTGTAATCCCAGCACTTTGGGAGGCCAAGGCTGGTGGATCACATGAGGTCAGGAGTTCAAGACCAGCCTGGCCAACATGGTGAAACTCTGTCTCTACTAAAAATACAAAAATTAGCCAGGTGTGGTTGTGCGTACCTGTAATCTCAGCTACTGGGGAGGCTGAGGCAGGAGAATCGCTTAACCCCAGAAGGCGGAGGTTGCAGTGAGCCGAGATCATGCCATTGTACTCCAACCTGAGAGACAGAGCAGGACTCTGTCTGAAACAAAACAAAACAAAAGAAAACATTAGCATGGCATGGTGGCACGTGCCTGTAATCCCAGCTACTCGCCAGCTACTCAGGAGGCTGAGGCATGAGAATTGCTTAAATCTGGGAGTTGAAGGCTGCAGTGAGCTGAGATCGCGCCACTGCACTCCATCCTGGACAACAGAGCGAGACCCTATCTCAAAAAAAAAAAAAAATCTGAAAAATAAGGGGCAAGCAAAACAGAAAACCACTAAGAGAAGGAGTTTGTAAGGATTCACAGGTTTAAGGAATGTGGCCTCTGCCATTCTTGGCTTTCTCTCCAATTTGTTGCTTCTTCCTTTTTCGGCTCCTTCCCTATATTTAACATCTGTGAACCTCAAGGGAAAGATGATTCATATCATTTAAACAAAATTTTTTGAGGTAATCTATGGAGTACAGTGGAAATGATCCGGGATTGGGTTACTCTTGGCTGTCTGGGCCTCCCTTGTCCCTCTGGTTTGGGGTATAGGGTGGCCCCTGGAATGCCCACCATCCTGTGAAAATAAAGAGTCTCAAGGTTTCTCATAGGAGAATGAATAAGAGGGACAGTGGGAGGCCACATACTTCCATCTGGGGCTAACTTAAGGAAACCTATTCCTAGCTATCCTGAGAACCTCAGCATTTAAAAATATAAACATGGGCCAGGCACGATGGCTCATGCCTGTAATCTCAGCACTTTGAGAACCCAAGGTGGGCGGATCACTTGAGATCATGAGTTTGAGACCAGCCTGGCCAACATGGTGAAAACCTGTATCTACTAATAATACAAAAATTAGCCGGGCACAGTGGCGCGCACCTATAATCCCAGCTACTTGGGAGGCTGAGGCAGGAGAATTGCTTGAACCCAGGAGGCAGAGGTTGCACAGTGAGCCAAGATCGCGCCACTGCACTCCAGCCTGGGTGACAGAGAGACTCTGTCTCAAAAAAAAAAAAAGTAAACATGGTGGGAAAATGTAGAAGGGGCGGCTAGGATCAAAAGGGTGAAGGGGGAGAAACAAAAAGGAAGATTAGAAAAAAAAATCGAGAACTGGGTGAGAAAGCATTATCAAAACAGAAAACAAAGTACCCCATCTGTATTTCAGGAAGGCTCTGTGATTTGCAGTCCAGGTTGTCGGGCGCCACTTTTTAGTTTCAGGGCCATCTTTTCTTTGGGATTTTCACATTCCCTTCGATGGGAGGTGGTCCAGTGGACTTGGGAAGGGCACTTCCTTTCCTGAGCTTTAAAAGCACAATCCGTCTTCACTTTAGGACTGGAGCTGGCTTGATTTCCGCAGGCTTTAAAGTCCGCAGGGAATACAGTGACCACCTCTGGGAGGGGCAGCAAGGTTTGAATGAGAAAAGCTACAAGGAGCTGGCTTCTAAGGATGCCTCTTCAATAACAGATGGGATTAGCAGCCCCCAGCACTTTAATGAGAAGGTTTCTCCTCCTCTTCCTACTCCTTACCTGCTCAGACAATATTAATTGCCAAGTCATTGTTTGGAAACCCTATGGGGCGGAGAAGAAAGGAACGGCAGAGTCAGAGGTGGTTCTGGGCCAAACACTAGGAGAAGCCTCAGAATTTGCCTGAAACAAATGCTTAGTGCTCACAGACTGCTGTGTGCTTTCCAAGAGACAAAAGAAGAAATTCAGGATTGGTGTGGCCAGTGGAAGCTTCTCCGACCACTGGTGATCACTTTCCCAGGGGACTTGGTGGGGCAGATGAGGGCCATTTCAACTGTCTCTCTTCTCGGACCTTAAATTCAAACCAGACAGGCATTTCTGAATCTTCTGCTTCTGGGGCTGAGAGGGAATGGGGGTCAGAGATGCAACCTAATTCTCAGATCCAATTTCTGTTGCAAATGATCGAATTTGTGACTCTGGAGAAGGCCTGACGTTTGTCCATTGAGGGCTGTGCTCCGGGTCACAGCAAACCAGGGCAGACACCCTCAGCCATCTCACTTGGCTCTGTGCCTGAAGCCACCAAGGTTTCCAAAGCGGCTGGAATCCCGGTGGGGGCTCACCACCTCTCCAAACCTCTTGCTGGCCTCTGGCTTGGCTTTGGAGTGGAAGCAAAAGACTGAGAGTCCGGGATTTTCTCCCTCCGTTTCTGAGACAGCAGGATGTACTAAAAAAGCACTGACTGGTCCAGTAGAAGACCGAGGTCCAAACCCAGACTCTGTCACCAACTCACAGTGACCCTGGGGAAATCTTTTCTTACCTTTGAACCTCGATTTCCTCATCTTTAAAACGGGGACAGTGGTCTGTGCCACGTGACGCCCATCTCACAGGGATGCTCAAATAATCAAAAGAGATCGTGCAAGCCTCAGGGCTTTGTGAACGCTAAACTGTGAGAACGTGAGGGATTTTACCTCCGAGGTAACCGGGTCTGAAGCTATTACAGTAATTCACTGGCGGGGAAGGAGATGCGCTGAGCATTGCCTGGGAGTAAGCAGTCCTGGCCTCAGTTGCATCCCCAAGTCTAAGGCGGGTGCACCGGAGAAAGGGAACAAACTCAAGTCACAGAGGTGTGTGTGTCGGGGTGAGGGATCCCCGGGATGGAAGCCTCCCTCGCGCCCTCGGAGAGTCCCAGAGGGTTGGGCGGAGGCGCGCGGAGACGACAACACTGTCCCCGCGGTCGCGCGCACCGGGCGCGCGGAGGCTTCCCCGAGCCCAGGCAAGCGGCCGCGGCACAGCGCCTGATAGTCCCGAGGCTGGCCCGGGCTGCGCCGGTGCCAATCGGCGCGCAGCCCCCCGCGGCGCTCTCCCCGCCCCGCCTCCCCGCCCCCCTCCCCAGCTTCACTTGGCAGCGCGGACCCGGCTCCTGGCTGGAAAGCTACCGCCAAGCCACAGCCGAAGGCAAGCCCGAGCGGCGCCATCCCCAACCCCGCGCCGCCGACCGCCGGCCCGTGGGCGACGGGCATGCTGGCATGGCAGGACGGCGGGGCCAAGGCGGCTCCCTCCCACCACAAGATTTCTTTCTCTGTCCTGGACATCCTGGACCCACAGAAATTCACCCGCGCAGCGCTCCCTGCCGTGCGCCCGGCTCCCCGGGAAGCCAGGAAAAGTTTGGCGGAGGTCGAAGCGGGGAAAGATGCCAGCTCCAGGGACCCTGTCCGACAGCTGGAGACCCCTGGTAAGATGCAAGGCGGCCCCGGCCCCAGGAGGCCTCAGCCCCAACAATGCGGAGTGTATGGGGGAACAGCCGGGCCCGGTGAGTGGCCCTTAACAGCGTCTTCCTCAGAGAGAAGGCGCACGGGACCGGGTGCGAAGTGTAGCCCCCGCCTCGGACTTGGATAGAGGCAGAGAGGAGGCTCCCCGCATTACAGGGCAGGGATTTGCCGCATCCCTGCTCACCCGCCAAGCTCACCCGCACCACAGTTCTGATGCTCGCGGTGGAAACTTACCTGGCGCCTGTCTTGCCAGGCTTACTCATTTATCGGGCATTTAATGCGCTTGCCACGTGCTAGGACCTGGGCTAAGGGCTGGGATAAAGGTGATGAAAACTTCGGAACCTGAGAGATGGACAGCATCATTAACATCACCTCCATTTTATGGATGGGGGAGCTGACGCTAAGGCTTGCGCCGGGGGTCTTCGTGAGTAGCGAGGTCAGGTGCCACCCGGAGACGCCTGCGGGGCTGGGCTGCCCCAGGCGCTCAAGCTCCCCAGACTCAACTGTTAACTGGGACTGGGCTGGGGGCGGGGCTCGGATGGAGTGTTGGGAAGCTTTCGGTACTTTCTTCTCGAAACCCTTTCTGAATTACTCCCAACGCTGGCGGACACCTGATGAAGGGGTTAGGAAAGTTTGTGGCTGGAAGGAAGGACGGAAGACAGCAGGAGTCCTGCTGGGATCAGACAGGGAAAGGCGGCTCCCTGGAGGGTCAGAGGCTCAGGTCATCGGGGGAGGCTGGATGCCGCGCAGCCCCCTGCTCCCCTCCCCAAGTTTGGCGGTGATTGCCTGGGGCCCGGGGCGCCTCTGGCGGCCGCACTTGGGCCCAGGCAGGCGGCCTGGTAATTGTTCGGATCTTCTCTCCGAGGGGCCGCCCTCCCTTCCCCCACCCTCGTGATCGATATTCTATTACTGGCGCCTGCATATCTCCTGCCCGCAGCTTGCAGGTACCGACTTCAAACCCCCTTTCCCTGTCTGATCCTAATATTGTTCGATTAAAACTTACCTTTAATAGATGACATCTATCGATCCGGCCCCGCACAAATCTGAAACTCTATTAACACGGCGGGAGAGAGAAGATGGGAAAGGGAATTTCACTTTAAAGCGGGGGCGGGGGTGGGGTGGGGCAGAGAGCTTAATAACTTCTTTTTTAATTGCTGGGAGTCCTAGATCAAAATAGGCTTCTAGGGTCTGGGGAAGGCACAGCCCTAAAAGCGTTTGACATCTAGATGTCTTAATACAATGATCCTACCCCCCAGTATGGTTACCCAATAATGTCACTATTTTTTCTTAATGCGGGGTGTCATTCATTCATTTGGCGTACATTTCTTGGACGCCTACTTGATGGCAGATTTGTAAAGGGCAAGAGGACACCATTCCCCTAAACCCGCTGGCGAGGATGTGTAGTCCGGCCTAAGGGGAGCGCGATGTGGGGACAGGAGCAGCACCCAGAGTTGGGTTGGGGGGACAGCTGCTTGCTCTAGGGAGGACGAGGACGAGGTTTGGGGACCTGGAGAGGCTTCTGTTCACCGACCCCTTCTCCCCTAGATGCTGCGGGCCCAGGCGCCGGCCAGGCGTCCCCCCTGGAGGGTTCCGAGGCGGAAGAGGAGGAGGATGCGGAGGATCCGAGGAGGCCGCGGCTGCGGGAGCGGGCTGCGCGCTTGCTGCCGGGCCTAGCGCGCTCACCTGACGCCCCGGCCGGGGCATTGGCGTCTGGGGAGCCCTGCGAGGACGGCGGGGGCGGCCCTGTGAGGTCCCCCCCGGGATCCCCCGGCTCCCCGCGTCCCAGGCGCCGGCGCCTGGAGCCCAACTGCGCCAAGCCGCGGCGCGCGCGCACCGCCTTCACCTACGAGCAGCTGGTGGCCTTGGAGAACAAGTTCCGGGCCACGCGCTACCTGTCAGTGTGCGAGCGCCTGAACCTCGCGCTGTCTCTCAGCCTCACCGAGACGCAGGTCAAAATCTGGTTCCAGAATCGCAGGACCAAGTGGAAGAAGCAGAACCCGGGTGCCGACGGCGCGGCGCAGGTGGGGGGTGGCGCGCCCCAGCCAGGGGCGGCGGGGGGCGGCGGCGGCGGCGGCTCGGGGGGCAGTCCTGGCCCTCCCGGCACCGGCGCTCTGCACTTCCAGACTTTCCCCTCCTACTCCGCGGCCAATGTCCTCTTCCCGTCCGCCGCCTCCTTCCCGCTGACGGCTGCCGCCCCCGGGAGCCCTTTCGCGCCGTTCCTTGGGCCTTCCTACCTGACCCCCTTCTACGCCCCGCGTCTATGAATCCGGAGCCCCCTGGCCCCTCTTTCGCGGGATTCACGAGGGATTGGCATCGTCGTGTGCCCTCGGCTCCTCCACCGGGGGTGCAGGTGCGCGGGTGTCAGCGCACCCCTGCCCGCCGCGCGCACCCGCGATCCTCGCGGGCCACCAAGGGGTCAGGGATCTGCCGTCCTTCAAAGTGTCCGGGGACGGAGGCTGACCTCAAGCCTTGCCGTTTCTGGACCTTGCTGTTCACTTTGGGTCAGGTTTAATTCAGTTCAGGGGCTAGTTTTTGAGGGTCTGGGTGTTCGGCGCGGGGCTAACCAAGATGCCAGGAGGGAAATACAGGGAGCAGAGACGCCCTGGCTGCCAGCTGCTGGCGGCTAGGATGGAACCTTTAAAGGTGCTGGCTCATCAGAGGGTGAGAAACAGTCTCTGTTCACAACTGACAGCTTCCCCTCCTCGTGCTCGATGGTTCAGCCCAAACCCAGAGAGTTCTTCCAAATCCTGAACGAGGCTGGGGAGAGCTTGGTCCTGGAGCACAGACGGCCGCTCTGAAACGGACTATTTTTAAAATGCATAAAACTCCACATTTCTAGATCTTTACTTAAGATTCGGACTGGAACACAATACTTGTTCCAAATAACCTCCCCAGGCTATTCCTGAGAGAGGGGGTACCTTGGTTTTTGGAGTAGGCCAGAAGTTTGTGGTAGGAAAGGTGACTGATTTGCAGCTAGACTCACCTGCTAAAGTAGACACGGGTCTGTTGCACTGCAGGTTTTGAGAACAGCCTGGACCAAACCACACAGTGACCCCAAAGGCATAAAAATGATAATGAAGGCAGCGATGGCTCAACTAATATCATGAAGTCTATGCATGAGGCTGCCTACTTTGATTTGCAGTAGTTGATACTTTAAAACTTCAGTCCTGGCTTATCTGCCTGTCCCAGGGATTCCTGGGCTCCCAATAGTGAGCCAGGATGGGGAAGAGCTAGCTCCATCAGCACACACTACATGTGGACAGTTGGACTGGACTGTTTTTTAAAAGCACAAACTCAACATTTTTAGATCTTCGTCTAGGATTCTGACTTGAAAACAATTCTTGTTACAAACAGACTCTTTATGGTGGTGAACAAGCAGAGATTGTAAGGGCCCATGAAAGCAATACTTGGGTGTGAAGAGCCGTCATATTCCTAATGGATTCACCTCCAGGAATCTGATACATGGACATGCATTTTAACTGCTGCTTTTATTACCTCCCTTAAAAAATTAGTTCTGTGAAATTCCCTTGCCACTTTTGCTTGGAATACATTTCCTTTAGTTTTCTACCTAATATAATCTTGTAGCCCACGTCTCAGAAACCCAGAGGTCCCCAGTTGTGTCATGTATGTTTCATTCTCACTTTTGATTACTTGAGGCCAGCCGAGATCTGTGTGGATACCATATTCCTTGCTATTTTTTGGTAGCCTGTGCTACTAACAATCAAATTTAATGGTCAATGGCTTCAAAGTAAAGCACCCTGTTTGGTATTATGGATTACATTCCATGACTATGATCTTGAAATATCTAGTTCTGTTATCAGGAATGATAGAAAATATTCCCCATTTCTCCTAAATTAAGTGAAGACTTCATGGTTCATGTGACTCTCATAATATTTGATAGTATGTATTATTTAATTACTTAATATCCACTAATTAGACTCTTTTCCTTCTAAAGAAGAATGTCCCCCAAACAACACATTGTAACTTTCTAAAAGACAGTTGGTGCCAGATGAGATTAAAAATGCAGTTACTCTACTAGATAATATTCACCTTACACTTCGGTAAACACTCCTTTAATAACTATTTGTTGGTTTCTCAAAAGCAATATCCCATATTAAACAGACAATTCAAATGTGACAATTCCTCTGTAACAAAGAAGCTGAATTCTGTAATAAATGGGAAACATTTCATTCCAGTCTTCTCAGGTACCAGAATCATGGACTTCAGTAGAAGAGAGGGAATAGGGAGAGAGGTGGGAGGCTGATCTGTTCGTGGCCCAGCACGGTGCTGTAATTCCTGACCCTTCTGGTTTCCACAGATCATTGCAGAGTAATGCTTGAAGCGTGTGACTTTGGACTTCTGCTGCTTTAAAAGGCCCAGTGGCTTTCCAACCAAATCCTTAGACTCAATCTATTGGTGTGTTTGTCTAATAAATTCTTTTTGTAGTAAATTTATTTTTATTTCTTGTCTCATTATTCCTTGTTCTCTATTAGCAATGCTTTCAAATAATAAGTTTATAATTATCAGAAGGTAATTATAAAGTATGTATGTATCTCTCCTTCTCCCAATAATCCCTAAATAGGGAATATTTCTACACTAACACTCCTTTCTTCAGCCATTTCAGACCCAAGCTAGATATACCCAGAGTGGCTACATTTGCACGCAGGATATACAGACACACATTTCAGGCCATTTTCTTGCAGAAGCAAAACATCTTCACAGAATCTGAATTAGTGGCTGCTAATTATATCAACACCAACCTATTAGATTTCTAGGACATTAACTCTTAGCCTTAACCTTACAAGTTCTTAATACCCCAAAACAGCCTGGTAGGTAACTTTTCAGACTTTGGCCATCTGCTGGTCATAGATTTCTGATGTTAAATATTACCATTTTAGATCCCTGTTTGAAACCACATAGCCGAGGAGCTGTATTTATAGGAGTGACTAGAGAGCGTTTCTTATATTGAGAGAACCACAATCCAATTTATGGGCAGAAATTAATTTAGTATGCTTATCTTTATAGTAATAACTTTTTTTCTTTGAGACAGGGTCTTGCTCTGTCACTCAGGCTGGAGTACAGTGGCGCAATCAAGGCTCACTGAAGCCTCAACCTCCCAGGCTCAAATGAGCCTCCCACCTCAGCCTTCTGAGTAGCTGGGACCACAGGCACATGCTGCTATGTTTGGCTAATTTTTTTTTTTTTTGTAGAGACAGGGTCTGGTTGCCTAGTCTGGGCTTAACCTCAAGCAATTCTGCCATTTTAGCCTCCAAAGTAGCTGGCACTACAAGGTCCTGCCACCACACCTGGCTAATTTTTAAATTTTTTAATTTCTTTTTTTTTTGTAGATATGAGATCTCGCTATGTTGCCCAGGCTGGTTTCAAACCCCTGAGCTCAAGCAATCCAGTAGCCTCAGCCTCCCAAGTAATGGGATTACAGGCATAAGCCAAGATTCTCACTCTTAAAGCATTCTCCTTTCTTTGGACAGATCTGTGGTTTTTGTTATTGAAGGACACAGTCTCACTCTGTCACCCAGGCTGGAGTGCAGTGGCATGATCTCAGTTCACTGCAACCTCCACCTCCTAGGTTCAAACAATTCTTCTGCCTCAGCCTCCTGAGTAGCTGGGACTACAGGCGTGCGCCACCATGCCTGGCTAATTTTTGTATTTTTAGTAGAGACGGGGGTTCACCATGTTGGTCAGGCTGGTCCTGAACTCCCGACCTCAAGTGATCCACCAGGGCTTCCAAAGTGTTGGGATTACAGGCGTGAGCCACCGTGCCACGCCGGGCCTGATTACACTTTTGAAAGGGAATCTAAGTGTGGTGCAAACAATTACCATCCTTTACCTGTAGCCCCTGGAGAGAGGAAAAGGTACGTTTTAAATTAATCTGTCTCCCCCCTTTTCTGCTTGAAACCTTTTGTGAAAATTAGTTGCTTTTATATTTTCTCAATATACATTTTTCTGCATACATGTAATATGTGTTTTGCAGATGCAGTTGACATATTTACTGAGTGGCTAGTGTTGCTGTGTCAGGTGCTATGAGGGCCGCAAGATGAACCACTGAGTCATGTGGATCTCACCAACAGGGAATGCAAGAAAAATCAGGAAAGTACTGTCATAGGTATGTTATTTTTTTTCTTTTAACTTTTATTTTGGCATAATTTTAGACTTAAGAAAAGTTGTCACGCCTGTAATCCCAGCACTTTGGGAGGCCGAGGTGGGTGGATCACGAGGTCAACAGTTCGAGACCAGACTGACCAACATGGTAAAACCCCGTCTCTACTAAAAATGAGAGAACTAGCTGGGCATGGAGGCGCGCGTCTGTAATCCTAGCTACTCGGGAGGCTGGGGCAGGAGAATCGCTTGAACCTGGGAGGCAGAGGTTGCAGTGAGCCGAGATTGTGCCACTGCACTCCAGCCTGGGCGACAGGGCAAGACTCTGCCTCAAAAAAGAAAAGAAAAGAAAAGAAAAGTTGTAACAATAGTACTAAAAATTTCCTTTTATTGGCCAGGCGTGGTGGCTCACGCCTGTAATCCTAGGTCTCTGGGAGGCCGAGATGGGTGGATCACTAGGTCAGGTGTTTGAGACCAGCCTGGCCAACATGGTGAAACCCCATCTCTACTAAAAAATACAAAAATTTGCCGGGCATGGTGGTGCGCACCTGTAGTCCTAGCTACTTGGGAGACTGAGGCAGGAGAATCGCTGGAACCCAGGAGGCAGAGGTTACAGTGAGCCGAGATCGCGCCACTGGACTCCAGCCTGGGCAACAGAGTGAGACTCCATCTCAAAAATAAATAAATAAATAAATAAAATAAATTTCCTTTTACTTTTTACCCAGATTTTCCAAGTGCTAGCATTTTACTGCTTTGGTCTTAGTATGTTCACTCCCTTCTCCCCTCCCATGCCTGCATATTGTACATTGTTTTCTGAACTGTTTGAGAGGAAGTTGCAGACATGATGTCTCTTTACCCATAAATATTTAGTGTGTTTTTCCTAAAGCACAATGACTTTCTCTTTTATAACCACAGAGTAATTATAAAAATCAAGAACCCCACACTGGTATGGCACCATTACTTAATCTAGAGACCTAATCCAGATTTCATTTGTTCTCCTTTACAACAAAAGGAAAACCTCTGATGTGTTGCATTGCAGTCCTATTTAGGCTTCCTTAGCCCAGGACAGTTCCTCAGCCTCTGTTGGTCGTCTTGGTCTTCTTTCCCTTTGTATTAAGTACCTTGTGGGGACAGAGTGTAAAACTCTGTAAATATCCAATTACTCATCAATTATTTCTTTTACTTTTAGAGACAGGGTCTCGCTCTGTCACCCAGGCTGGAGTGCAGTGGCACAATCATGGCTCACTGCAGCCTTGACATCCTGAGCTCAAGCGATCCTCCCACCTCAGCCTCCCAAGTAGCTGGGACTACAGGTGTGCGCCACTACAACGGGCTCATTTTTTTTTTTTGTCGAGACGGAGTTTCGTTCTTATTGCCCAGGCTGGATTGCAATGGTGCAATCTCTGCTCGCTGCAACATTCACCTCCTGGGTTCAAGCGATTCTCCTGCCTCAGCCTCCCGAGTAGCTGGGATTACAGATGCCCACCACCACGCCCAGCTAATTTTTTGTATTTTTAGTAGAGACAGGGTTTTATCATGTTGGCCAGGCTGGTCTCAAACTCCTGACCTCGGGTGATCCACCAGCCTCGGCCTCCCAAAGTGCTGGGATTACAGCCGTGAGCCACTGTGCCTGGCTAATTGTCTTTTTTTAAGATGGGGTCTCACTATGTTGCCCAGTCTGTTCTCAAACTCCCAGGCTCAAGCAATCCTCCCACCTCGGCTTCCCAATGTGCTGAGATTATAGACATGAGCAACCATGTCTGCCTCAGAAATAACTCCTAAGAACTGATTTAACTAGATTTTAGAATTATGAGTAGGGTAACACAAAAATTTTTTCAATAAATGCTGTTTGGAATACTCTTTTTGGTTAAGATACTACAATTCTATATACCTGTTAGCCATTTGGGTGATCTATTTTGATGAAGTGCCTCTGCCACTAGCTAATTCCCACATTTATTGGTAAAGTAAATGAAGTCTTTGATACATCTGGAAGCGTAATTCCATCATGTGGTCAGTTGAAACACCTGACTCTTAGGGGAATTGGGCAGACACAGATTCAGTGAAAGAAAAATGGAGAAAGGCCAGATGCTGTGGCTTATGCCTGTCATGTCATCACTTTGGGATGAGGCGGGCAGGTCACTTGAACTCAGGAGTTTGAGACCAGCCTGGCAACATGGCAAAACCCCATCTCTACTAAAAATATAAAAATTAGTCAGGTGTGGTGGTGCACACATGCCTATAGTCCCAGCTACTTGGGGAGCTGAGGTAGGAGGATTGCTTGAGCCCAGGAGGTCCAGGCTGTAGGGAGCCATGATCCTACCACTGCACTATAGCCTGGGCAACAGAGGGAGACCCTGTCTCAAAAACAAAAACGAAAAACAAGAAACAGAACTTGGCCAGCACCCCGGTGTCCCTTCTGATAATTACCCTCCCCAGGAGCAACCATGACTCTGACTTCAAACAGCTGAGAGAAGTTGTGTCTCCTTTTTTCCTGTAATTATAAAAACAGAATCATATGGTGTGATCTCTCGTGTCTGGATTATTTTGCTCAACACTATGAGTTTCATCCATATTGTTTTGCATAGTTGTAGATTTTTCATTCCTATTACTGTTGGTATTTTACGGTACTATGAATGCCACAACTTGTTTGTCTTTTGATAGGTAACTGAGTTCTTTCCATTTTGGGGCTACTATGACTAAACATTCTTGAGCATGTCTTTTAGTAAATAAACCTTTGGTAAAATATCTAGGCCGGGCTTGGTGGCTCACGCCTGTAATCCCAGCACCTTGGGAGGCTGAGGTGGGCGGATCATATGAGGTTAAGAGTTCAAGCCTGGCCAACATGGTGAAACCCAGTCTCTACTAAGAATATAAAAATTAGCTGGGCGTGGTGGCAGGCACCTGTAATCCCAGCTACTCAGGAGGCTGAGGCAGGAGAATTGCTTGAACCCTGGAGGCAGACATTGCAGTGAGCTGAGATCATTCCATTGCATTCCAGCCTGGGGACAAGAGCGAGACTCCGTCTCAAAAAAAAAAAAAAAAAAAGAAAAAAGAAAAATCTGAAAGTGGGACTACTGGTTATGCAGATGTGTAGCCATAGTACATATTGCCAAACAGTTTTTTTTTGTTTTTTTTTTTTTTTTGAGATGAAGTCTTGCTCTGTCACCCAGGCTGGAGTGTAGTGGCACAATCTCAGCTCACTGCAACCTCTGCCTCCTGGGTTCAAGTGATTCTCCTGCCTCAGCCTCCCAAGTAGTTGGGAATACAGGCATGCAACTCCGCACCCAGCTAATTCTTTTTTTTTTTTTTTTGTATTATTAGTAGAGACGGGGTTTTACCATGTTGGCCAGGATGGTCTCAATCTCCTGACATCGTGATCCACCCGCCTCAGCCTCCCAAAGTGCTGGGATTACAGGCATGGACCACCACACCTGGCCTGCACTGTGGTTTTAATTTTCATTTCCTCATGAGTCATGGTGTTGACTGTGTCTGCCTGTTGGCCATTTGGGTATGTATTTTGGTGAAGTGCCTGGTCAAATCTTTTGTCCATTGGCTAAGCCCCACATTTGTTGGTTAAGTAAAGTGATCCTTAAAGAGGAAGTTACTTTCCCCAGGTCACCTGCATTACTCCCAAAGGCACTGAGACTTAGTGAGATGCAGTGACTTGTCTAAGGTCACACACATGGTAAGAAAAAGAGAAGAGATGGCCAGGTGCGGTGACTCAAGCCTGTAATCCTAGCATTTTAGGAGGCCGAGATGGGTGGATCACTTGAGCCCAGAAGTTTGAGACCGTCCTGGGCAACATGACAACACCCTGTGTCTGTGAAGAACTACAAAAAATTAGCTGGCCGTGGTGGCCTGTGCCAGGCTGAGGTGGGAGGATCACCTGAGCCTGGGGAGGTGGAGGCTGTAGTTAGCCATGATTGCACCACTGCACTCTAGCCTGGGCAACAGAGTGAGACCCTATCTCAAAAGAAAAATAAATAAATAAATAAAAGAGAAGAGCCTGAAATCTGGGCCCGATGACTCCAGGGTAATTTTTTTTTTTTTTTTTTTTTTTTGAGATGGAGTCTCATGTTGCCAGGCTGGAGTGCAGTGGCATGATCTCGGCTCACTGCAACCTCTGCCTCCTGGGTTCAAGTAATTCCCCTGCCTCAGCCTCCGATGAGCTGGGACTACAGGCGCATGCCACTATGCCTGGCTAATTTTTTGTATTTTAGTAGAGACGGGGTTTCACCATGTTGGCAAGATGGTCTCAATCTCCTGACTTCAGATGATCCACCGCCTCAGCCTCCCAAAGTGCTGGGATTACAGGTGTGAGCCACCGTGCCCGGCCAACTCCAGAGTAACTTAAGTTATATGAATGGGGCCACCAATCATAAAACAATCATCAACTATTTACTTAAGAATATTTTTGTTTTTACTTTAAATTATTTATCTATTTATTTATTTTTGAGACTGTGTCTCCCAGGGTGAGTGTAGAGGCCCCATCATGGCTCACTGCAGCCTCAGCCTCCTGGGCTCAAGTGTTTCTTCCACCTCAGCCTACCAAGTAGCTGGGTCTACAGGCATGTGCTTCCACTCCTGCCTTTTTAATTAATTAATTAATTTATTTATTTTTTGAGATGGAGTCTCGCTCTGTGGCCAGGCTGGAGTGCAGTGGCGTGATCCCAGCTCACTGCAACCTCTGCCTCCTTGTTTCAAGCCATTCTCCCGCCTCAGCCTCCTGAGTAGCTGAAATTACAGGCACGCGCCACCATGCCCTGCTAATTTTTTTGTATTTTTAGTAGAGACGGGGTTTCACCATGTTGGCCAGGATGGTCTTGATCTCCTGAGCTTGTGATCTGCCTGCCTCGGCCTCCCAAAGTGCTGGGATTACAGGTGTGAGCCACTGTGCATGGCCCTGCCTTCGATTTCTATAGATTGTTTATTTTGGATATTTCATGGGAATGGAATTATAGAATACATGTCTTTTTGTATCTGGCTTCTTTTACTGAACATAATGTTTTCAAGGTTCATGTTGTAGCACCTATCAGGTGTCATTTCTTTTTATGACTGAGTGATACTTCATCATATGGACAGACCACATTTTGTTTATTCGTTCATCGGTTGATGGACATTTGTATTGTTTCCATGTTTTAGCTGTTGAGAATAGTGTTGCTATGAGTATTTCTGTACAGGTTTTTATTTGAATACCTGTCTTCAATTATTTGGGGCATACACCTAGGACTGGAAGTGTTGGATCACATAGTAATTCTATGTTTAGCTTGTTGAGGAACAGCCAAACTGTCTTCCACAGTGGTTGTACCATTTTACCTTTCCACCAGCAATGTGCGAGAGTTGCAATTTTCTCCATATCTTGGTGAATACTTGTGATTTTCTTTTTTCTTTTTTTTATTTTTATTTTTTGAGATGGAGTTTTGCTTTTGTTGCCCAGGCCGGAGTTCAATGGCACGATCTCGGCTCACTGCAACCTCTGCCTCCTGGATTCAAGCGATTCTCTTGCCTCAGCCTCCCGAGTAGCTGGTATTACAGGCATGCTCCATCACGCTCGGCTAATTTTGTATTTTTAGTAGAGATGGGGTTTCATCATGTTGGCTAGGCTGGTCTCTAACTCCTGACCTCGTGATCCGCCTGCCTCGGCCTCCCAAAGTGCCGGGATTACAGGCGTGAGCCACCGCGCTTGGCTTGATTTTCTTTTTTCTTTTCCTGTTTTTAAAATTAAAACCATGGTTCACGCTTGTAATCCCAGCACTTTGGGAGGCCGAGACAGGTGGATGACCTGAGGTCGGGAGTTCAAGACCAGCCTGACCAACATGGAGAAACCCCGCCTCTACTAAAAATACTAAATTAGCTGGGCATGGTGGTGCATGCCTGTAATCCCAGCTACTTGGGAGGCTGAGGCAGGAGAATCGCTTGAATCCAGGAGGCAGAGGTTGCGGTGAGCTGAGATCATGCCATTGCAATCCAGCCTGGGCAACAAGAACAAAACCCCATCTGGAAAAAAAAAAAAATTTAAACCAACACAAAGCCATAGAGAGTGATATAATGAACATTGGAGTCTCAGGATCGGGGAGGGTGAGTGGAGGATGAGGGATTAAAAAAAAAAAAACATTGGGTACAATATACACTACTCGAGTGACAGGTGCACTAAAATCTCAGACTTCACCACTACACAATTCATCCATGAAACCAAAAACCACTTGTACCCCAAAAGCTACTGAAATAAAAAAATAAAGATTTTAAAAAGAAGCCAAGTGCTGTGGCTCATGCCTGTAATCCCAGCACTGTGGAAGGCCGAGGGGGGTGGATCACTTGAGGTCAGGAGTTCGAGACAAGCCTGGCCAATATGGTGAAACTCCATCTCTACTAAAAATACAAAAATTAGCCGGGCATGGTGGCAGGCACTTATAATCTCAGCTACTTGGAGGCTGAGGCAGGAGAATCTTTTGAACATGGGAGGCAGAAGTTGCAGTGAGCTGAGATGGTGCCACTGCACTCCAGCCTGAGTGACAGAGTGAGACTCTGTCTCAAAAAAAAAAAAAAAAAAAAAAAAAGAGGCCGGGTGTGGTGGCTCACACCTGTAATCCCAGCACTGTGGGAGACCAAGGCAGGTGGATTGCTTGAGCTCAGGAGTTTGAGACCAGCCTGCGAAATATGGTGAAACCCTGTCTCTACTAAAAATACAAAAAAATTAGCTGGGCATGGTGGCACACACCTGTAGTCCCAACTACTCGGGAGACTGAGGCAGCAGAATTGCTTGAGCCTGGGAGGTGGAGGTTGCAGTGAGCCAAGATTGCACTGCTGCACTCCAGCCTGGGTGACAGAATGAGATGAAGGAAGGAGGGAGGGAAGGAGGGAAGGGAGATTGCTAGAGGCCAGGAGTTCAGCCTGGGCAACAAAGTGAGACCCTGTCTCTCAAAAATTTTAAAAAGAAAATTAGGCTGGGCAGGGTGACTCACGCCTGTAATACCAGCACTTTGGGAGCCCAGGTGTTCAAGACAAGCCTGGGCAACATGGCGAAATCTCGTCTCTACCAAAAAATATGCAAACATTAGCCGAGTGTGGTGGTATGCGCCTATAGTCCCAGTTATGCAAGAGGCTGAGGTGAGAGAATCACTTGAACCTGGGAGGTTGAGGCTGCAGTTTGAGCCATGATCACGCCACTGCATTCCAGCCTGGGTGACAGAGTGAGACCTTGTCTCAAAAAGTTAAAAAAAGAAAAAAGCCCATCCTAGTAGATAGGAAGTGGTAATTCCTTGCGGTTTTGATTTGCATTTCCCTAATGACTAATAACATCGAGACTCTTTTCAAGTGCTTGATGGCCATTTGTATGTCATCTTTGGAGAGGTGTCCATCAAGTCCTTTGCTCATTTTTTAATTGGGTTGTTTATCTTGTTGAGTTTTAAGAGTTCTTCATTCAAAACATTTATATCCTCCCTCCATTTCTTTTGTATATTAAAATAAATATATGGGCCAGGCACAGTGACTCATGCCTGTAATCCTGGCATTTTGGGAGGCTGAGGCCGGCGGATCACTTGAGGTCAGGAGTTCAAGACCAGCATGGCCAACATGGTGAAACCCTGTCTCTACTGAAAATACAAAAATTAGCTGGATGTAGTGACACCTGTAATCCCAGCTACTCAGGAGGCTGAGGTGAGATAATCACTTGAACCCAGGAGGCGAAGTTTGCAGTGAGTCAAGATTGCGCCATTGCACTCCAGCCTGGGCAACAGAGCAAGACTCCATCTCAAAAAAAAAAAAAAAAGTAAACAGCCACATAACCCCTCTTGGTTTGCTGTGTCAGGCACTGTGCTAGGCCCTGGGGGTGCAATGGTGAGCAAGAAGGCCTGATCCCTGCCCTCCATTCCTGCCATGTATCTAATCCAGTGGCCTTTCAGCTTAAAACAATTGTTCTAAATTGATGCATAATAATTGTAAATCTACATGGTACATGTGATTTAAAAAAAAGGAAATCAAAATAAATATATGATCTAAAGTTTCCATCCTCTCTTCTTTTGCACATTTATTGGGCACCAACTGTGTGCCAGGTGCTACCCTGGGCTCTGGGAGTACAGCAGAAGACCCTGGCTTGGTATTGGCGAGGGGAGCTCAGGTAGATGGAGGTCACAGACAGGTGGTGGTTGGTACAGTGAAGTGCAGAAAATTCCATGGCTTTCTTGTCAGCTGTTTCTGTACAAAGAAACCCTGCCCTTTGCACTGACGTCATTTGGGATTCAGGCTGGAAAGAAAGAACCCTGTGTTACTAATTCCTCCTTTGCCATGCTTGTTCTATACAGATCTGGTGTGTATTTTAGAAAAGTTTTTCCAGGGGCCCAGCTTGGTGGCTCACGCCTGTAAGTCCTGCATTTTAGGAGGCCGAGACTGGGAGTTGGGGGGTGGGGCATCGCTTGAGGCCAGGAGTTTGAGACCAGCCTGGGCAACATGGTGAAACCCCATCTCTATAAAGAATAAAAAATGTAATTTTTTAAAAAGAAAAGTCCTCCCAGACACTTATACCTCCCAGAGTATAAACAGTGGTAAAACATTACTCATAAATAAGTCAATAATATTACCAAGGCAAGTTCAAAGTACCAGAGTTACTTGTTTTTTTTTTTTTTAGTTGAACCATAACTGGTTCTTTTCACTTATAAAGCCATGAGCTTCCATCATGGTTTTCTAAAATAAGCTGAATTATAACCACCTTAACTGTGTTTTGGCAGTCTCTATATCTCTGTCTTCCAAGTGGCAAGATTCCATGTGCTTATGGAGAACAAACCCATGTAAAAGGATCCACAGCTGATTTTGAATTTCTCTTTCTTTCGTTTTTTTTTTTTTTTTTTTTTTTTTTTTTTGAGACAAAGTCTCACTTTGTTGCCCAGGCTAGAGTTCAGTGGCACAATCTCGGGTCACTGCAACCTCTGCCTCCTGGGTTCAAGTGATTCTCCTGCCTCAGCCTCAGAAGTAGCTGGGATTACAGGCATGCACCACCACACCCGTCTAATTTTTGTATTTTTAGTAGAAATGGGGTTTCACCATGTTGACCAGGCTGGTCTTGAACTCCTGACCTCAGGTGATCCACCCACCTCGGCCTCCCAAAGTGCTGGGATTACAGGCATGAGCCACTGCGCCCGGTCTTTTATTTATTTATTGAGACAGGGTCTCGCTCTGTTACCCAGGCTGGAGTGCAGTGGCGCAATCTCAGCTCACTGCAACCTCCACCTCCCAGGTTCAAGCGATTCGCTTGCCTCAGCCTCCCGAGTAGCTGGGACTACAGTGCACACCACCATGTCCAGCTAATTTTTGTATTTTTAGTAGAGATGGGCTTTTGCTATGTTGGCCAGGCTGGTCTCGAACTCCTGACCTCAGGTGATCCACCCACCTTGGCCTTCCAACGTGCTGGGATTACAGGCATGAGCCACTGCACCTGGCCTCGAATTTCTCTTTCAACTCTGAAAGATGAAAATACTTGGCTGGGCGTGGTGGCTCATGCTTGTAATCCCAGCACTTTGGGAGGGCAAGGCGAGTGGATCACGAGGTCAGGAGTTCGAGACCAGCCTGGCCAAGATGGTGAAACCCCCATCTCCACTAAAAATGCAAAAATTAGCTGGGCGCAGTGGTGGGCGCCTGTAATCCCAGCTACTTAGGAGCCTGAGGCAGGAGAATCACTTGAACCCGGGAGGCGGAGGGGTTGCAGTGAGCCAAGACTGTGCCACTGCACTCTAGCCTGGGCAACATGAGCGAGACTCCATCTCAAAAAAAAAAAAAAAAAGAAAATACTATGTTTGGATAACTCCCTGGCAGGACAGATATGGGATGTTTTGCCTTATCCTTGTCTTTAGAAGCTGAAATATTTAGCAACCACACCTGCACAAGCAAGCTGGCTCTTGATGCGGGTACTTATTTTCAAGGCTGTAAATAGACACATAACCCCTCTTGGCACTGTGCTAGGCCCTGGGGGTGCAATGGTAAGCAAGAAAGCATGGTCCCTGCCCTCCATTCCTGCCATGTATCTAGTCCAGTGGCCTTTCAGCTTAAAATAATTGTTCTAAATTGATGCATAATAATTGTACATATTTACATGGTACATGTGATGTTTTGATACATGCATACGACATGTAATGATCAAATCAGGGTATTTAGGATATCCAGCACCTCAAACATTTATTATTTCTTTGTACTGGAAACATTTCACATCTTTTCTTCTAGCTATTTTGCACTGTACAATAGATCGTTGTCAACTATAGTCACCCTACTGTGCTATCAAATACTAGAACTTATTCCTTCTGTCTAACTATATTTATGTGGGGTCTTTTTGTGTGTTTTTTGTTTTTGTTTTTCTTTAAGACAGGGTCTCCCTCTGTTACCCAGGCTGGAATGCAGTGGCATCATCACAATCACAGCTCGCTGCAGCCTCGACCTCCCAGGCTCAAGCGATCCTCCCGCCTCAGCCTCCTGAGTAGCTGGGACTACAGGCACACACCACTATGCCCAGCTAATTTTTTGTATTTTTTTTTTTAGAGACGGGGTTTCACCATGTTGCCCAGGCTGGTCTTGAACCCCTGGGCTGAAGCCATCCTCTCACCTTGGCCT